>NW_025791796.1:0-361322 GCF_000001405.40 Homo sapiens
ATATCATTCATTTAACAAGTCCTGTTTTTCACTGAGTACCTCCCATTTGCCAGGTACCACTGTAGGCAATGGGGGAGAGTTATGCATAATGAGAGAATAAACTTATTTTATTTAACGAATATAAAGGAAACCCCAGAGTGGTTGAAGTATAATGAGTAAGTGTTAAGAAATTTAGGAGTTAAGTTTTATGTGACTGCAAGGGTCTTTTAGTCTGAGGTAAGAATTTTTTCAAATCTTAATTGTGGTAAGAATCCATTTTAATGTTTTAAGCAAAGGAGCAGTCATCTACAATGCTTTCCTCTATTGGTTAGAGCAACATCAGCAAGATTTTAGGCAGAGATTAATAAGCTGTAAAATATCAAAAACCAAATGTATGTGGCAAGTATGTTCTGAAAAAGACTATATATAGTCTTTTATACATAAATATATTAAAAATTATATATATTTTAATGTTTTTATATATATTTTATAAATATGTATATTTACATATACATATAAAATAAGTAAAATATTTTTATATATTTATAAATATATATTTTTATACATTTAATCAATATATAAATAAATATATATTTCCCCCCCAAATTTGGTAGAGAGATAAGAAAGGAAGCCAATTTGTTTCATGGTAAAATGTCATGAAATTATTTCACTTATTTTTTCTTCAGAGCTTCACGATGATTATTAGACATTATCAGATATTTAGTACTACATATTATATTATAGATTACATAAATCACTCCAGTTATTTTCAACATAGTGAAGCAGCTTCGTTGTCTGGGGAAATACCTGCAGTTCATTGTCTCATGCTGTGCAGATTAATGACACGGACTCACACATGGAGCGGTTTAAGGAGCAGAAAGTTTATTGGGCAAGAAGGAAGAGAAGAGCTCCCCCATACAGAGGGAGGCGGGCTCTGAATGGAATAACCCCACTTGCGGGGAAAGCAGTCAGTTACATTGGGAGGCTCAAGGAGGTAGTGTCTGATTTGCATAGGGCCCAGGGGATTCGTTTGACCAGGTGTGTCATTCACACAACCCATGAAAAGACTGGACCTCCCACCCTAATCTTTTATTCTGCAAATGCGGCTTCTACCTGGCTGTCGCCATGATGCCTGCACATGTGCTTTACTTGGCTGGTGCCATGACACCAGCACATGTGGCAACAAAGTAAAGTGAGTGGGAACAGTCATATTGAGTGGACCTGTCTCTTAGCCACCTGCATTTACTTCTGCAAGCCTGTAATTTACATACCTAGGCTTCCAGCATGGCTTTTCAGGCTGCTTTCTGTTAGAAAAGAAGTAGTTTGGGGGCTGCTTTTTTATTAAAAGGAAAAGCCTTTGCGAGGACTCTTTTACCCTTTCTAGCTGCCTAAAAATAATTTCTTAATAACTCCTGTATTAATAGTGGGGTCTAATGTGAGAAATTAGGTACTTATAAAATTTTTCAAGTATAGAAGACCATTATTTATGCTGGGCATCTATTACAGAAGTTGTTGCCAGAAAAACACTGTAGAACTAACCTGCTAGGTGACCTATCCCTGCAATAACCAGGAGGCCGAGAGGACAAGAAGCCACTTTCCCAGCTCCTGGCTCAAGGAACACATCAATCAGCCACGGTCTGGCATGAACTGAATTGTAGAGAGCACCTCTCATGTTATTGTCTCTCTAATTATTTTTTCTAAATTAAATTTTGTATGAGTATATTTGATAGAATCTGTAATGCTAGTGGCAAAAGTCTTTGACAAACCTGTCTATATGTTGACAGCTTCTTCAGAAAACAAACAAAAATGGTGGTAAAATATAGGATAAAAAGTTTGCAATCTTGGAGGTGAGAAAGGCCATTGAAGTTTGACAAAGAAAATGAAAATAAAAAGATACATTAAATCTTGATGTCTTCTACATATTTTGATATGTAAAAATGAAAAAAGTTTATATGGGCAAAAGGCAGAAAAATGCTGAAAATATTTCTATGGCATATAGATGTGGAGATTATTTTCTGCACGATTATAAGGTTTGCATGTAAATTGAATATTTTCTCCCTACTCCAAGACTGTATAAGAGGACAACCATGCATAAAAATTAAAATAAAAATTACTAAAAATTGATATAAATAATAAAAATTTATCTAATACATAAAGAATTTGCTTAAATGAATATGAAATAGGTACATAGAAGGAAATGTGGGCAATGAACAAAGGAAAAAATGAAAAGGCTTATAAGCATGAAAGTAAGCTTACCCTTAAAAATCAACCACAGAAATGAAAACCACTGATTTTGATTAGCATGTAGGATAACGTTGCTCATGTATTATCAATAAAGAAGTACAGAATAGGGAGAGGTGCCAGAAGCAGCTATCATGTGCCACTCATGGAGAGGGAGACAGGGTGGTGAGTAAACACTAGCTCTTCAAGTGGCTCATCCATGAGGCCATGTTAGGATTCATCAAGGAAGCAACTGCAATCGATGGACAGCAGAAAGGGGCCAGGCAGGAAAGCAGTCCACCCAGGATTGGCATAGAGCCAGGTGAGGCTCCCTACCATAGGGAAAGGGTGAATAAGAACCTCCTGGGACCCACACTTCTGCCATGGGCCTTTGCAATCCTGGCACAGGAGATCTCCCGTGACCCCGGGGGGCCTCCAGACCAACACAGAGAGATTACTTGAGTCTGGACAGAGCTGCAGCTAGGCTCACCTGGAGCCCCATGAGCTTTGGGGCCCTGAGCACCTTGGTGCCAGCTGCCATAGCCCCACCAACAAGGGAGGCCAGCTCTCTTGCATGCCTCTAGAATAGGGGCTGCATCCACGGTGCTGAGGAGCAGACTGACTGCAGGCCCCGCTTGCTTTAGCAAACCAGGCAAAACCCACTAGCCTGGGTTGCCCACGCAGCCACCCCACTCTCACCTGAACACTCAGGCCAGTCAGGGCTCTCCATTTCTTTGGGAAGGAACTCCCAGAGGTAACCAATAGGCCTGAGATTTCTGGTACTGTGGTCTCCCACATGCTGCCCTCAGGCTGGGGAGGGATCGAAGAGCACAGGAACTGTCCTAGACCTTCAGCAAGGCAGCTGTCATACGAAGAGCTGTCATACAGAAAAGCGGCCAGATTATTTTCCACGTGGGTCCCTGTCCCAGCTACTCCTCACTGGACAGGGCCTCCCGGCCTGGGGTCCCAGCACAACCGCCCCACCCCCACTTGATCTTTCATTTGGCAGTGGCCCTGAGTTTCTCTGGGATAGAGCTCCCAGAGACAACCGGCAGGCTCTGTGCCATCACCAGCTGAGTGTAAGGCCCTTCCTTGCTCCCCGCAGGCTAGGTAGGGAACAAAGAGCCTGACTGCAGCTGTCCTAGGGAGAGAAGGCCAGATTGTCTTCCTTGCGAGACCCTGACCCCCGCTACTCTTCACCAGACATGGCCCGGCTTGGGCCCACAGCACAGCCTCCCCACCCCTGGATCCTTCCCCTTGGCAGTAGCAGTAGCTCTGGGTGGAGTTGCTAGAGGCAGCTGACAGGCCATCTGCCACTGCTGCCACCCCCCAGGCTAGGGAGGGAACAAAGAGCCTGCTTGCTGTGCTTGCACATCCAGCATGCCACAGCTGCTCTATGGAGAGGAGGCCAGACAGTCCCTGCAACAAGCCCCCGATCCCTCTGCTCTTCACTAGGGAGGGCCCTGGGCTTGGGCCCACAGCACAAACGTCCCATCCCGGGCTGGTCATTCTGATTGGCAGCGGCTCTGAATTTCTCTGGGGTGGAGTTCCCAGAGACAAATGACAAGCCCTCTGCCACTGACACCGCCAAGGTCCCGTCCCCTGCTCCCCCAAGCTGGGGAGGGAATAAAAAGCCCGAGCTCGCCCCAGGTCCCACACTAGAGCGGGAAGAGAAACCCACACTCTCAGAGCACTGAGAGGGGTAACCGCGTGGGTTCCTCGGCTGCTGTGGGAGCAGGGTACGCCTGGAAAACGTATGGCCTATCTCCCTGCGGTGGCCTCTGCCTGAGGGAGCCCCGCAGCCTGGAACACCTAGCAAAAGAAATGATGGTGCAGTGCTAGTGACCGGAGGGGCTTCCCCCAAGGCTCAGGAGCGGACCTGGTGAGGGGGTCACTTCTTTCCCCGCTGTACTGGAGACCAGGCTGTAGATGTGAGGAAGTACAAGGGAACCACAGGCCTGAGCAAGAGCCTATCTACTGTCCATTACTCTTAAGCGACGTCTACTGGATTGCAGCCAAAACTGCTACAACACCAAAAATATTTTGCTAATATCCCCCAGTGAAATCAAAGGCAAGAATCCAGCCACAAATAAAGACCCTGCACAAAGCCTTGGCTATCTGAAAACATTCAGAAACAAAGCCAAGTGACTATACTCAAGTTACACCACAGGTAAAGGAACGCCAATGCTTCCAGATGAGAAAGAACCAGTGCAAGAACTCTGACAATTCAAAAAGCCAGTTTCCCCATACCTCCAAATGAGTCCACCAGACCCCAAGCAATGATAATATTTTTTTTATTTGCTTTCCTTATTTGTCTGCTTGTTTTGGGATAACTTTTACTTTTTTAATTTTAATTTTTTAACTTTTAGGTTCAGTTATACATGTGCAGATTTGTTATATAGGTAAAATTGCTTGTCACAGGGGTTTGGTGAACAGATTTATCACCCAGGTAATAAGCATAGTACCTGATAGTCAGTTTTCTGACCCTCACCCTTTTGCCACCATCCAATCTCAACTATGCCCAAGTATTTGTTGTTCCCTTCTTTGTGTTTATGTGTATTCAACGTTTATCTCCAATTTATAAGTAAGAACATGTAGTATTTAGTTATTTGTTCCTATGTTAGTTCACTCAGGAAAATAGCCTCCAGCTCCATGCATGTTGCTGCAAAAGATATGATCTCATTCTTTTTTATGACTGCATAGTATTCCATAGTATACTTGTACCACATTTTCTTTATCAAGTTCACCATTGATGGGCATCTACGTTGATTCCATGACATTGCTATTGTGAATATGCCTGTGATGAACATACTTGTGCATATGTTTTTATGGCACAATGATTTATATTCCTTTGGGTATATACCCAATAATGGGATTGCTGGGTTGAATGCTACTTTGGTTTTAAGTACTTTGTGAAATCGCCACACTGCTTTCCATAATGGCTGAACCAATTTTTATTCCCACCAGCAATGCATAAGCATTCCCTTTTCTCTGCAACCTCGCCAGCATGATCTATTATTTTTTGACTTTTTAACAATAGCCCATCTGACTGGTGTGAGATGGTATCTCATTGTGGTTTTGATGTGCATTTCTCTAATGATTAGTGATGTTTAGCATTTTTTTCATATGCTTCTTGGCAAAGTGTATGTCTTATTTTATTTTATTTTTTTTGAGATGGAGTTTCACTCTTGTCACCCAGGCTGGAGTGCAGTGGTGTGATCTCGGCTCACTGCAACCTCCACCTCCTAGGTTCAAGAGATTCTCCTGCCTCAGCCTCCCCAGTAGCTGGGATTACAGGCACCTGCCACCATGCCTGGCTAATTTTTGTATTTTTAGTAGAGACGGGGTTTCGCCATGTTGGCCAAGCTGGTCTCAAACTCCTGACCTCAGGTGATCCACCCGCCTTGGCTTCCCAAAGTGCTGGGATTACAGGCGTGAGCTACTGTGCCCAGCCTTGACAACTTTTTTTTTTTTTTTTTTTGATGGAGTCTCGCTCTGTCACCAGGCTGGAGGGCAGTGGTGCGGCCTCGGCTCACTGCAACTTTTGCCTCCTGGGTTCAAGCAATTCTCCTGCCTCAGCGTCCCGAGTAGCTGGGACTACAGGCATGCATTTGCAAATATTTTATCCTATTCTATAGGTTGTCTGTTTACCCTGTTGATAGTTTATTTTGCTGTGCAGAAGCTTTTTAGGTTAATTAGTTCACATTTATTAATTTTTGCTTTTGTCATCTTTGTCATGAAATCTTTGTCAGGGGCGATGCTGAGAATGGAATTTCCTAGGTTATCTTCCAGGGTTTTTATAGTTTTGGGTTTCACATTTAAGTCTTTAATCCATGTTGGATTTATTTTCATATATGGTATAAGGGAGGGGTTCAGTTTCCATTTTTTGCATATGGCTGTCTAGTTATCTCAGCACCATTTATTGAATAGGGAGTGCTTTTCCCATTGCTTGTTTTTGTCAGCCTTGTTGAAGATTAGACGGTTTTTGTTTTTAGTTCTGCTTATGTGGTGAATCACATTTACTAATTTGCATATGTTGAACCAACCTTGTGTTCCAAGTATAAAGCCTACTTGATTGTGGTGGATTAGAGTTTTAATGTGCTGCTGGATTCAGTTTGCTAGTATTTTCTTTTTTTTGCTAGTTTTCTTTTTTTGTTGTATCTCTGCCAGGTTTTAGTATCAGAATGATGTTGGCCTCATAGAATAAATTAGGGAGGAGTCCTTCCTCCTCAAATTTTCAGAATAGTTTCAGAGGAAAGGTACTAGCTCTTCTTTATGCATCTGGTAGAACTCAGCTGTGAATTCCTGTGATCCTGGGCTTTTTCTGGTTGGTAGGCTTTTTATTACTAACACAATCTTGGAACTTGTTATTAGTCTGTTCAGGGTTTCAATTTCTTCCTAGTTCAATCTTAGGAGGTTGTATGTTTCTAATAATTTATTAATTTCTTCTAGTTTGTGTGCATAGAGTTGTTCATAGTAGTCTCTGAGGGTTTTTAAAAAATATTTCTTTGGGGTTGGTGGTAATGTTCCCTTTGTCATTTCTGACTGTGTTTATTTTTCTCTCTTCTCTTTTTTGCTTTATTAGTCTAGCCAATGCTCTATCAATCTGATGTGTTATTCTGAAGAAACAAAACCTGGATTTGTTAATCTTTTGTATGGGTTTTTGCATCTCAATTTCTTTCAGTTCAGCTCTGATTTCAGTTGTTTCCTTTATCTTGCTAGCTTTGGGACTGATTTGCTTTTGTTTCTCTAGTTTCTCTCGGTGTGATGTTAGGATGTTAATTTGAAATCTTTCCAATCTTCTGATGTAGTTTTTTCTTTAGTGATATAAACTTACCTCTTAATACTGCTTTATATGTGCCCCAGGGATTTTGATATGTAGTATGTTTGTTCTCATTAGTTTCAAAGAATTTCTTGACTTCTGCCTGAATTTCGTTGTTTACCCAAAAGTCATTCAGGAGAAGGTTGGTTAATTTTCACATATGCTTTTGATGTATTTTATTGTATTGATTTCAATGTTTATTGCATTGTAATCTGAGAAAGTGTGGTTTGTATGATTTTGGATTTTTTGAATTTGCTGAAAATTGTTTTATGATCGATTGTGTGGCTGATTTTAGAGTATGTGCCATATGCAGATGAGAAGAATGTATATTCTAATGTTCTTGGGTGGAGAGTACTGTAGATGTCTGTTAGGACCATTTTGTCAAATGTCGAGCTCAGTCCCGAATCTCTTTGTTCATTTTCTATCTCAATGCTCTAATACTGTCAGTGGGGTGTTGAAGTCTCCCAGTAGTATTGTGTGGTTATTAAAGTCTCTTCAAAGGTCTCTAAGAACTTCCTTTATAAGTCTGGGTACTTCTGTGTTGGATGTATATATTCTTAGGATTGTTAGTTCTTCTTGTTGAGTTTAACCCTTTACCTTCATGTAATACCCTTCTTTGTCTTTTTCGATTATTATTGGTTTATAGTCTATTTTGTCTGGAATTAGAATCAGACCATTTGCTTTTTTCTGTTTTCTTTTTGCTTGGTCTATTTTTTCTCCATCCCTTTATTTTGAGCCCCTGGATGTCATTGCATGTGAGATGGGTCTCTTGTAGAGAGAATACAGTTGGGTCTTGCTTCTTTATCCGACTTGCCACTCTATGCCTTTTAATTGAAGCATTTAACTCATTTACATTCAAGGTCATTCAAGGTTAGATTGTGTGTTTCCCAGCAATGATTCCTTACCCATAATAAATTACTGAAATGACAGACATAGAATTCAGGATCTGGATGTCATGGAAGCTCATTGAGATTCAGGACAAATTTGAAATCCAATCCATGGAATCCAGCAAAATGACAGAAGAGCTGAAAGACAAAATAACCACTTTAAGAAAGAACCAAAGTGAAACTCTAGAGTTAAAAATTCACTAGAAGAACTTCATAATACAGTTGGAAATATTAACAGCAAAATAGACCAAGCTAAGGAAAATATCTCTGAGCTCAAAGACCGGTTCTTTGAATTAACACTGTGAGACAAAAATAAAGCAAAAACAATTTTAAAAGTGAACAAAACTTCTGAGAAAGATTACATAAAGAGACCAAATCTACAACTCATTACCATTACTGAGAGAGAAGGACAGAGAATAAACAACTCGGAAAATAAATTCGAATATATAGTCCATGAAAATCTTCCTAATCTTGCTAGAGAGGATGATATGCAAATCCAAGAAATAGAGAGAACCCTGGCTAGATATCGTACGAGATGTACAAGGCACATAATCTTCAGATTCACCACAGTTAATGCAAAAGAAAAGGGATCTAGAAAGAAAGGTCAGGTTATGTACGAAGGGAACCCCATCAGGCTAGCAGCAGAACTTTCAGCAGAACCTTTATAAGCCAGAAAAAATTGGGGGCCTATTTTTAGTATTCTTAAAGAAAATAAATTCCAACCAAGAATTTCATATCCCACCCAAACTTAGCTTCATAAGTGAAGGAAAAATAAAATCCTTCTCAGAAAATAAAATGCCAAGGTAATACATTTCAACTTAGCTAGCCTTACAACAGGTCCTTAAGGGAGTGCTAAACATGTGAACAAAAGAACAGCATCTGCTGCCACAAAAACACGCTTAAGCACATAGCCCATAGACACTATGAAGCACTACACAGTCAAGTCTATAAAATATCCAGCTAACAGCATGATGACAGGATCAATATCTGACATATCAATATTAATCTTAAATGTAAGTTATCTAAATGCCCTACTTAAAAGGCATAGAGTGGTAAGTTGGATAAAAAGGCAAGACACCACTGTCTGTTGTCTTGAAGAGACCAATCTATATGTAATGAAACCCACAGGGTCAAAGTAAAGGGATGCAGAAAGATTTGTCATGTAAACAAAAAACAAACAAACAAAAATAGTAGGGGTCACTATTCTTATAGCATATGAAACAAGCCAACAACAATTACCAAGGACAAAGAAAGGCATTACATAATGATAAAGGGTTCAATTCAACAAGAAGACTTTATCCTAAATGTATATACACTGAACATTGGAGCACCCAGACTCATAAAACAAGTTTTTCTTGGCCTACCAAAAGACTTAGACAATCCTACAATAATACTGGGAGACTTCAATGCTCCACTGATGGTATCATTAAGGCAGAACACTAACAAAGAAATTCTGGACTTAAATTTGACACTTGACTAATTGGACCTAATAAACATCTACAGAACACTCCACCCAACAACCATGGAATATTCATTCTCATCTGCACATGGAACATATTGTAAGATCAACCACATGCTTGATCAGAAAGCAAGTCTCAATGCATTCAAAAACACTGAAATCATCCCAGGCACATTCTTGAACCACAGTGCAATAAAATTAGAAATAAACATCAAGAAGATCTCTCAAAAGTACACAAATTCATGGAAAGTAAACAACTTGCTCCTGAATAACTCATGGGTGCACACTGAAATTAGGCAAAAATCAAAAAAATTCTTTGAAATTAAAACAGGGACACAACTAACCAAAATCTCTGAAATGAAGCTAAAGCAGGAAATAAATATTTTTTAAATAAATAAGTAAATAAGATAAGAGGAAAGATTATAGCATTAAATACCTTCATCAAGAAGTTAGAAAAATCTGAATTTAATAATCCAACTTTGCACCTAAAGGAACTAGAAAAAAAAAAAGCTCAAAGCTAGCAGAATAACAGATATAACTACAAACAGAGAGAAACTTAATGAAATTGAGATGCAAAAATACGTACAAAAGGTCAGTGAAACCAATAATTGGTCCTTCAAAATAAAAATAAACAAAACTGGTAGATTGCTAGCTAGATTAACATAGAAAAAAAGCAGAAGACCCAAATGAGTACAATCAGAAATAAAAATGATGTTGCAACTGATCCCACAGAAATACAAAAGATACTCAAAGAATACTATAAGCAACTCTATGCATACAAATTAGAAAATCTAGAAGAAATGGATAAATTCATGGAAACACACAATCTCCCAAGATTGAATCCCTGGAAGAGATTGAAACCCTGATTAGACCAACATCAAGCTGTGAAACAGAATCAATAATAAAAAAAGCCTATGAACCAAAGTAAGTCCTGGGCCAGATAGATTCACAGCTGAATTCTACCAGATTTTAAAAAAAAGAACTCTACCAATTTTATTGAAACTATTCCAAAAAATTGAGGAGGAGGAGCTCCTCCCTAACTCATTCTATGAAGCCAGTATCATCCTGATACCAAAACCTGGCAGGGACAGAACAAAAAACAAATCATCAGGCCAATATCCCTGATGAATACAGATGCAAATATCATCAACAAAATGTTAGCTAATTGAATCCATTGGCACATCAAAAAGTTAACGCACTGTGATCAAGTAGGTACTATTCCTGAGATGTAAGGCTTATTCAATGTATGCAAATCAATAAATGTGATTCATCACATAAACATAATAAGAGACAAAAACCACATGATCATCTCAATAGATGCAGAAAAAGCTTTCAATAACATCCAACATCCCTTCATGATAAAAACCCTTAACAGACTAGATTTTGAAGGAATACACCTCAAAATAATAACAGCCATCTATGACAGACCCACAGCCAACATGATACTGAATGGCAAAAGCTGGAAGTATTCCCCTTAAGAACTGGAAAAGGACAAAGATGTACATTCTTACCACTCTTCTTCAATATAGGACTTGAAGTCCTAGCCATAGCAATTATGCAAAAGAAAGAAATAAAAGACATCCAAATAGAAAAATAAGAAGTCAAACTATTTCTATTCACTGATGATATAATTATATACTTAGAAAACCCTAACTTTCACAAAAAAGCAACTAGAACTGATATACAGTTTTAGGAAGGTTTCAGGACATGAAATCACTCTACAAAAATCAGTAGCATTTCCATACATCAATAATGTCCAGGCTGAGAGTGAAATCAAGGACACAATCCCATTTACAATAGCAACAAAGAAAATTAAATCCCTTGGAATACAGTTAACCAGAAAACTCTACAAAATTAATGGCAAAACACTGCTGACAGAAATCAGAGATGACAGAAATGAATGGAAAAAAATTCCATACTAATAGATTACAAGAATCAATGTTGTTAAAATGGCCACACTGCCCAAAGCAGTCTACAGTTTAATGGTATTTCTATCTCACTACCAACACCATTCTTCTCAGAATTAGAAAAAAGATCTAAAATTCATACAGAGCCAAAAAAGCCTGAATAGTCAAAACAATCCCATGCAAAATGTACCACATGAACATATGCACCTACTCTGTAACCCAGAAATATTGAAAAAAAAAAGTAAAAAAAATGAAACTAGAGGCATCACACTATTCAAACTATAAGGCCACTGTAACCAAAACAGCATGCTACTGGTACAGAAACAGACACATTGACCCATAGAACAGAATAGAAAACCCAGAAATAAATCCATGCACTTACAACCATCTGCTCTTCAACAAGGCTGACAGAAACAAGCAATGGAGAAAAGACTCTGTTTAGAAGCCCCTACTGAGGAAAGTTGTGGGCTTGAGTCTGTAGCCTAAGAACATTCAACCAAGCTAACTCTCAGGTCTCTCTATTCAATAAATGGTGCTGGGATAACTGGCTAGCCAGATACAAAAAAAAAAAATGAAACTTGACCCTTATTTTTCACCATATACAAAAATCAACTCAAAATCGATTAAAGATTTAAATTTAAGACCTCAGCCTATAAAAATCCTAGAAGAAAACCTAGGAAATACTCTTCTCAGCCACAGTCTTGGCAGAGAATTTTTGGCTGAGTCCTCAAAGGTAATTGCAACAAAAACCAGAGTTGACAAGTCGGGCCTAATTAAACAAAAGAGCTTCTGCACAGCAAAAGAAACTATCAATAGAGTAACCTACAGAATGGGAGAAAATATTCACAAGCTATGATTCCAAACAAAGGTCTAATATCCAGAAACTATAAGGAACTTAAACAAAGCAACAAACAAACGAACAAAAAATCCACTTAAAAATGGGCAAATAAGGCAATCCTAAGCAAAAAAGAACAAAGCTGGAGGCATCACATTACCCAACCTCAAACTATACTATAAGGCTACAGTAACCAAAACAGGATGGTACTGGTACAAAAACAGACACATAAACCAATGGAACATAATGAGAGGCCAGAAATAGTGCTGCACACCTATAACTATCTGAACTTTCACAAAGAGGATAAAAACAAGCAATAGGGAAAGGACTTTCTATTCAATAAATGGTGCTGGGATAATGGGCAAGCCACATGCAAAAGACTGAAATGTAACCCCTTCTTATACCATATACAAAAATCAATTCAACATGGATTGGAGAATTAAATGTAAAACCCCAAACTGTAAAAACCCCAGAAGATAACCTAGGAAATTCCATTCTCAAATAGGCCCTGGCTAAGATTTCATGGTGAAGACACCAGAAACATTGACCACAAAAAAACAGAAATTGACAAATGAGACCTAAGTAAACTAAAGAGCTTCTGCAGAGCAGAATGAACTGTCAACAGAGTCAACAGACAAGCTACAAAATGGGATAAAATATTTGCAAACTATGCGCCCAACAAAGGTCTAATATCCAGAATCTACAAGGAACTTAAATTATCGAGCAAAAAACAATCTCTTTAAAAATTGGGCAAAGGACATGAACAAATGCTTTTCAAAGACCTACATGCAGCCAAGAAGCATATGAAAAAATGTTCGACATCGCTAATCATTAGATAAATGCACATCAAAACCACAACGAGATACCAACTCACAGCAGTGAGAATGATTATTATTAAAAAGTCAAAAAATAACATGCTAGTGAGGTTTCAGAGAAGAGGGAACACTTATACACTGCTGGTGGGAATGTAAATTAGTTCAGCCATTGTGGAAAGCAGCATGGCAATTTCTCAAAGAACTTAAAAGGGAATTATCATTTAACCTAGCAATCTCATTATTGAGTACATATCCAAAGGAATATAAATCATTTTACCATAAAGACATATGCACACATATGTTCAACACAGTACTATTCTCAATAGCAAAGTTGCCATCAATGGTAAACTGTATAAAGAAAATGTGGTACATAGACACAATGGAATACTATGTAGCCATAAAAACAATGAGATCATGTCCTTTGCAAGAAAGAGATAAAAGGAAAAGAGTCAAAATTAATGAAATATAAAGTAGACAAACATTAGAAAAAATTTTAAAAGTCAGAAATTGGTATTTTGAAATGATTACCAAAATTGATAAACCCATAGTAGAATGATGAATTTTAAAAGAGAAACACACAAACTACCAATATTAAGAATAACAAGAGAAGCACTATTAGTCCTAAAGAAACTGAAGGGATAATAAGGGAATATAAAGAATGACAATATGACAAAACACATTCGCCAAAACTGGCACATCAAGATATACAAAATCTAAATAGGAATATATTTTAAAAGGAAATGAATGTAGAGCTGAAAACTTTATACTAAGAAAATTCCAGGTTCATATGGCTCAACCAGGGAGTTTTCTAAAATATGTAAGAAACGGGTAATGCCAATTGTATCTAAACTCATTCATAAAATAGAAGAAAGGATACCATTTCCCAACTTTCTTTATGAGCTCAGTATTACCCTGATACCAAAATCTGACACAGGATTTTGCATTGCAAGGATTTTGCATTACAAGGAAAGATGATTTCTCAAAAACATACACATATGATTTTATTTTATTTTTATTTTTTTGAGATGGAGTCTCACTCTGTCACCCAGGCTGGAGTGCAGTGGTGCGATCTCGGCTCACTGCAAGTTCTGCCTCCTGGGTTAATGCCATTCTCCTGCCTCAGCCTCCCAAATAGCTGATACTACAGGCGCCCACCACCACGCCTGGCTAATTTTTTGTATTTTTAGTAGAGATGGGGTTTCACCGTGTTAGCCAGGATGGTCTCAATCTCCTGACCTCGTGATCCGCCCTCCTAGGCCCCCCAAAGTGCTGGGACTATAGGCGTGAGCCACCCTGCCTGGCTACACATAAAATTTTAAAACAAAGTATTAGCAATCCGAACATGACAATACATAAAAAGTTGTGACCAGATGGGATTTATCCCAAAAACGATAGTTGGCTTAACATTTGAAAATCAATCAAGTTAATTGCTATATTCACTGAATGAAGGTGGAAAAATGATATGATCTCGCCAAGAGGCAGAAAATCATTTGTTTTAACATCCATTCATGTCTGTAAAAAATTCTAAGTAGATTGGAAATGAAAGGGAGCCTCTCCAGTCCAATAAAGGGCAATTATGAAAAACCTATAGCAACCATTATAACATATGATGAAATCTTGAATGCATGCCCCCTTAAGATTAGGAAGAATGCAAGTATACATGCTCTCACCACTTCTATTCAACATGTGCTGACCATTGAAAGAAAGTTGTTTTTTAAAGGTATTAATATTAGGAAGAAAAAAATAAAAATCTATTTATTCATAGAAGAAATATATGTGTAGAGCATACTATGGTATCTTTAAAGAACTAGAATTTACAAGGAAATTTATCAAGGGTTGCAGGATACAAGATCAACATTTAAAAACCAAATCTTGGTGAGAATGTGAAACAACTATTAACTCTGAAAAACGAAACAAAGTAAACTTAAATGTTATTATTCTTCTTCCACTGATTTTTTTATATAAAGTGTTAAGGGTATAAAAATATTAGAAGTCATGCCATAGAAGTAAAAAAAGAAAAGAAAATTCTCTTTGAATTTTCTGTTATTTTTTGACTTTTCTTTTTTTTTTTCTTTTCTTTTCTTTTCTTTTTTTTTTTTTTTGAGACAGAGTCTCGCTCTGTCGCCCAGGCTGGATCTCGACAGTGGCGCAATCTCGGCTCACTGCAAACTCCACCTCCCGAGTTCACGCCATTCTCCTGCCTCAGCCTCCCGAGTAGCTGGGACTACAGGCACCCGCCACCAAGCCGAGATAATTTTTTTGTTTGTTTGTTTGTTTGTTTGTTTTTTGTATTTTTCAGTAGAGACGAGGTTTCACCGTGTTAGCCAGAATGGTCTCGGTCTCCTGACTTCGTGATCCGCCCACCTCGGCCTCCCAAAGTGCTGGGATGACAGGCGTGAGCCACCGTGCCCAGCCATTTTTTGACTTTTTAATAATAGTCCTTCTGACTGGTGTGAGATGGTATCTCATTGTGGTTTTGATTTGCATTTCTCTAATGAATAGTCAAGCTGAGCATTTTTTTTCACGTGCTTATTGGCCGTAAACATGTCTTCTTTTAGGAAGTATCTGTTCATATAAAAAGTGGTAATATTTTTTGAGGAAAAAAATGAATAAATTCAGAGACAAACTCTTTTGTTGGATAAAAACAATATTATTGAATATATACATGTCAATGCATAAATTGAATATAATTTAATAAAATACCAGTAATACTTTTCATTGTAAAATTAATTCAAGATTATCTAGAGGAAAAAATCTATCCAAGGTGATAAAACTTTCCTAGAAGGGTTAAAAAGTCTCCATTTTGAGGACTATTTTAGATCTTCAGATTACTTTTATCTTATGAATTAGAGTGAACATTAAGAGGTGAGTAAGATCCTGGATTATATGCACAATTATGAAAAAAATCATATTTTTAAAAGTTTTGGTGGCAAGACTAACCTACTCCAAGATGGGGTTGTTATTCCACTTAAGAACGTATCTAACCTCATGTATTTTGCTTCCTTTCTCTATTTTCCTCTGTGCAGCTCTCTTTATCATGGTTTTCTTTTTGTGGTTATATGGATTTGTAGACTGTGCATTTATATGGAATGCCATGCGAGCTGTCACAGCCCAGGCAGTGGAGTGTGGTTGGCTTGTGGGTAGTAAGAAGAATTTACCAACAACTGTATAGATTTGAAAAGGAAAGTTGTATTAGCTGGAAAGAACGCTGCAGAGGAGTGCAGCAGGGCTTCTCAGCCAGAGAGGACTGAGTACACCACTGCAGTAGATTTTTCCTTAGGGTATTTATGGACCTTAAAGTGGGAGCTTAAGGGTAATTTTTACCATATTAGCCACATAGGTCATGGTAAACAATTACATTTATAGACATTTTGGTGCCTTGATGTCAGCAAGAGTTGCACAATGAGTTTAGAATACATGCATTCCAGAGATGTATAGAAATTCTAGTTACTCACAAATTTTTGGAAAAGAAATCTCATACCAGATGCCAGCTTTACATAATAGGGATGTCTAATTACTTCTGAATTCCTTGGATAAGGAATTTCGCCTCTGGATGGTCTTGCTCTCCTTGTGGACTAGTATCTCTCTGTTTCTTCACCTTTTTTTTTTTTTTAAGTCATACAACTATCTTTCCATTTATGTCTCTGCTAGTCTTCTTTTCCCTTTTCTCTTGATCTTTATTTTGATTATTGTAAATTTTTCTGTACTTCTCTCTCTCTCTTTTCTTCTTTCTTTCCTTTTTCTACTCTTACACTTTGTTTTTGAAATGTAAAATAAATTAGAACAAATATATTTGGTGATAAATTATGTTTATTACCCCCAAATCTGTGTTCTTATTTCACTTGTAAAGTGACCCATAAACTCAGTGTTTTCTCTAAAGCCAAAGAAAAGATTAAAATAATTTTAAAATAGAATTAATAAAATAAATTTGTATTTATTTTTTCTGACTCAATTAATTTTTAAAATTAATAATCTTTAATGGAAAAATGTTTTTCATCCTTGTTTTAGTTGAGCAGAGTGAAAGTGAACAAATTACAAATACCAAGATCATGATGCATCTTTTCATGCTATGTAGGAGGTCACCTTCCCTTTAGCAATTGTTCTATCCTATACCAAGAAACTATTTTCTCTAAGAATAATTATGCAACAGTATTCATGAGCTTTTTAATATTTCCTTTGCTAATGTCCTTATCACCGTCAACATCCTGCTACTGAGTAAGGTGCTTATCTCGCATGCAAAATTTAAAGGCGTGCCCAAAAACTCAATAGTAGAGATAAACATTTTAATCAATATTTTGAGAAATCAAAATTAATTTTAAAATTTGTGATAAACAAAGTACCAAATTTTAAGCAAAGGCAGGATCAGCAACTGCCATGTTGAGCCATGTTGGAACCTGAGGCAACAGGAAAAATAAATAATATTGGTGAAGTCTTTTTTAAAAATTATACTTTAAGTTCTGGGATACATGTGTAGAATATGCAGGTTTGTTACATAGGTAAATATGTGCCATGGTGGCTTGCTGCACCCATCAACCTGTCACCTACATTAGGTATTTCTCCTAATGCTATCCTTCCCCTAGCCCCCCACCCTGTGACAGGCCCCCATGTGGGATATTCCCCTCGCTGTTTCCCTGTGTTCTCATTGTTCAACTCCCACTTAAGAGTGAGAACATGTGGTGTTTGGTTTTCTGTTCCTGTGTTAGTTTGCTGAGAATGATGGTTTCCAGCTTCATCCATGTCCCTGCAAATGACATGAACTCATCCTGTTTTATGGCTGCATAGTATTCCATAATGTATATGTGACCCATTTTCTTTATCCAGTCTATGATTGATGGGCATTTGGGTTGGTTCCAAGTCTTTGCTATTGTGAACAGTGCCGCAGTAAACATACATGTGCATGTGTCTTTATAGTAGAATGATTTATAATTCTTTGGGTATATACCCAGTAATGGGATTGCTGGGTCAAATGGTATTTCTGGTTCTACATCCTTGAGGAATCGCTACACTGTCTTCCACAATGGTTGAACTAATTTACCCTTCCACCAACAGTGTAAAAGCGTTCCTATTTCTCCACATCCTCTCCAGCATCTGTTGTTTCCTGACCTTTTAATGATCACCATTCTAACTGGCATGAGATGGTATCTCATTGTGGTTTTGATTTGCATTTCTCTAATGACCAGTGATGATGAGCTTTTTTTTCATATGTTTGTTGGCTGCATAAATGTCTTCTTTTGAGAAGTGTCTGTTCATATCCTTTGCTCACTTTTTGATGGGGTTGTTTGTTTTTTTCTTGTAAATTTGTTTAAGTTCCCTGTAGATGCTGGATATTAGCCCTTTGTCAGATGGATAGATTGCAAAAATTTCCTCCCATTCTGTAGGTTGACTGTCCACTCTGATGAGAGGTTTTTTTTTGTTTTTTTTTTTTTTGTTTTTTTTCTGTGCAGAAGCTCTTCAGTTTAATTAGATCTCATTTGTCAATTTTGGATTTTGTTGCCATTGCTTTTGGTGTTTTAGTCATGAAGTCTTTGCCCATGCCTATGTCCTGAATGGTATTGGCTAGGTTTTCTTTTAGGGTTTTTATGGTTTTAGGTTTTCCGTTTAAGCCTTTAGTCCATCTTGAGTTAATTTTGTATAAGGTGTAAGGAAGGGGTTCAGTTTCAGTTTTCTACATATGTCTAAGCCAGTTTTCATAACACCATTTATTAAATAGGGAATCCTTTTCCCATTGCTTGCTTTTGTCAGGCTTGTTAAAGATCAGATGGTTGTAGACGTGTGGCATTATTTCTAAGGCCTCTTTCCTGTTCCATTGGTCTATAGATCTGTTTTGGTACCAGTACTATGCTGTTTTGGTTACTGCGGCCTTGTAGTATAGTGTGAAGTCAGGTAGTGTGATGCCTCCAGATTTGTTCTTTTTGCTTAGGATTGTCTTGGCTATACAGGCTCTTTTTTTGTTCCATATGAAATTTAAAGTCGTTTTTTCTAATTCTGTGAAGAAAGTCAGTGGTAGCTTGATGGGGATAGCATTGAATCTGTAAATTACTTTGGGCAATATGGCCATTTTCATGATATTGATTCTTCCTATCCATGAGCACAGAATGTTTTTCCATTCATTTGTGTCCTCTCTTTTTCCTTGAGCGGTGGTTTGTAATTCTCCTTGAAGAGGTCCTTCATATCCCTTGTTAGTTGTATTCCTAGGTATTTTATTCTCTTTGTAGCAATTGTGAATGGGAGTTAACTCATGATTTGGCTGTTTATCTATTAATGGTGTATAGGAATGTTTGTAATTTTTGCACATTGATTTTGTATCCCGAGACTTTGCTGAAGTTGCTTATCAGCTGAAGGAGATTTTGGGCTAAGAAGATGGGATTTTCTAAATATACAATCATGTCATCTGCAAACTTTGACAATTTACCTCCCTCTCTTCCTGTTTGAATACGCTTTATTTCTTTCTCTTCCCTGATTGCCCTGGCCAGAACTTCCAATACTGTGTTGAATAAGGATGGTGAGAAAGGGCATCCTTGTCTTGTGCTGGTTTTCAAAGAGAATGCTTCCAGTTTTTGCCCATTCGGTATGATATTGGCTGTGGGTGTGTCATAAATAGCTCTTATTATTTTCAGATACGTTCCATCAATACTTAGTTTATTTAGAGTTTTTAGCTTGAAGGGGTGAATTTTATCGAAGGCCTTTTCTGCATCTATTGAGATAATGATGTGGTGTTTTTCACTGGTTCTGTTTATGTGATGGATTATGTTTACTGATTGGGTATGTTGAACCAGCCTTGCATCCCAGGGATGAAGCTGAGTTGATCATGGTGGATAAGCTTTTTGATGTGCTGCTGGATTCGGTTTGCCAGTATTTTATTGAGGATTTTTGCATCGATGTTCATCAGGGATATTGATCTGAAATTTTCTTTTTTATGTGTGTCTCTGCCAGGTTTTGGTATCAGGATGATGCTGGCCTCATAAAATGAGTTAGGGAGGAGTCCCTCTTTTTCTATTGTTTGTAATAGTTTCTGAAGGAATGGTACCAGCTCCTCTTTGTACCTCTGGTAGAATTTGGCTGTGAATCTGTCTGGTCCTGGACTTTTTTTGGTTGGTAGGCTATTAATTACTGCCTCGATTTCAAAACTTGTTATTTGTCTATTCAGGGATTTGACTTCTTCCTGGTTCAGTCTTGGGAGGGTGTATGTGCCCAGGAATTTATCCATTTCTTGTAGATTTTCTAGTTTATTTGTGTAGAGGTGTTTGTAGTATTCTCTGATGGTAATTTGTAATTCTGTGGGATCAGTGGTGATACCCCTTTATCATTTTCTATTGTGTCTATTTGATTCTTCTTTCTTTTCTTCATTAGTCTGGTTAGTGGTCTATTTATTTTGTTAATGTTTTCAAAAAACCAGCTCCTGGATTCACTGATTTTTTGAAGGGTTTTTTGTGTCTCTATCTCCTTCAGTTCTGCTCTGATCTTAGTTATTTCTTGTCTTCTGCTAGCTTTTGAATTTGTCTGCTCTTACTTCTCTAGTTCTTTTAATTGTAATGTTAGGGTGTCAATTTTAGATCTTTCCTGCTTTAAGCTGTTGGCATTTAGTGCTATAAATTTTCCTCTAAACACTGCATTAGCTGTGTCCCAGAGATTCTGGTACATTGTGTCTTTGTTCTCATTGGTTTCAAAGAACTTATTTATTTCTGCCTAAATTTCGTTATTTACCCAGTAGTCATTCAGGAGCAGGTTGTTCAGTTTCCATGTGTTGTGCGATTTTGAGTGAGTTTCTTAATCCTGAGTTCTAATTTGATTGCACTGTGGTCTGAGAGACTATTTGTTATGATTTCTGTTCTTTTGCATTTGCTGAGGAGTGCTTTACTTCCAAGTATGTGGTCAATTTTATAATAAGTGTGATGTGGTGCTGAGAAGAATATATATTCTGTTGATTTGGGGTGGAGAGTTTTGTAGATGTCTATTAGGTCTGCTTGGTCCAGAGATGAGTTCAAGTCCTGAATATCCTTGTTAATTTTCATTGATCTGTCTAATATTGACAGTGGGGTGTTAAAATCTCCCACTATTATTGTGTGGGAATGTAAGTCTCTTTGTATGTCTCTAAGGACTTGCTTTATGAATATGAGTGCTCCTGTATTAGGTGCATACATATTTGGGATAGTTAGCTTTTCTTGTTGCATTGATCCCTTTACCATTATGTAATGCCCTTCTTTGTCTTTTTTGATCTTTGTTGGTTTAAAGTCTGTTTTATCAGAGACTAGGATTGCAACCGCTGCTTTTTTTTGGCTTTCAATATGCTTGGTAAATTTTCCTCCATCCCTTCATTTTGAGCCTATGTGTGTCTTTGCACGTGAGATGGGTCTCCTGAATACAGCACACCAATGGGTCTTGAGTCTCTATCCAATTTACCAGTCTGTGTATTCTAACTGGGGACTTAACCCATTTACATTTAAGGTTAACATTGTTATGTGTGAATTTGATCCTGTAATTATGATGTTATCTGGTTATTTTGCCTGTTGGTTAATGCAGTTTCTTCATAGCTTCAATGGTCTTTACAATTTGGTATGTTTTTGCAGTGGCTGGTACCAGTTTTTCTTTCCATATTTAGTGCTTCCTTCTGGAGCTCTTGTAAGGCAGGCCTGGTGGTGACAAAAATCTGTTAGTATTTTCTTATCTGTAAAGGATTTTCTTTCTCCTTCGCTTATGAAGCTTAGTTTGGCTGGATATTAAATTCTGGTTTGAAAATTCTTTTCTTTAAGAATGTTGAATATTGGCCCCCACTTCTTTCTGGCTTGTAGGGTTTCTGCAGAGAGATCCACTGTTAGTCTGATGGGCTTCCCTTTGTGGGTAACTACTTGACCTTTCTTTCTGGCTGACCTTAACATTTTTTCCTTCATTTCAACCTTGGTGAATCTGACAATTATGTTTCTTGGGGTTGCTCTTCTCGGGGAGTATCTTTGTGGTGTTCTCTGTATTTCCTGAATTTTAATGTTGGCCTGTCTTGCTAGGTTGGGGAAGTTCTCCTGGATAATATCCTGAAGAGTGTTTTCCAACTTGGTTCTATTCTCCCCGTCACTTTCAGGTACACCAATCAAACGTAGGTTTGGTCTTTTCACATAGTCCCATATTTCTTGGAGGATTTGTTCGTTCCTTTTCAATCTTTTTTCTCCAATCTTGTCGTCACGCTTTATTTCATTAAGTTGATCTTCAATCCCTGGTATCCTTTCTTCCGCTCCATCGATTTGGCTATTGATACTTGCGTATGCTTCATGAAGTTCTTGTGCTGTGTTTTTCAGCTCCATCAGGTTATTTATGTTCTTTTCTAAAGTGGTTATTCTAGTTATCAATTCCTCTAACCTTTTTCAAGGTTCTTAGCTTCCTTGCATTGGGTTAGAACATGCTCCTTTAGCTCAGAGGAGTTTGTTACTACCCTTCTTTGGAAGCCTACTTCTGTCAACTTGTCAAACTCATTCTCCATCCAGTTTTGTTCCCTTGCTGGCAAGGAGTTGTGATCCTTTGGAGAAGAGGTGTTCTGGTTTTTGGAATTTTCAGCCTTTTTGCTCTGGTTTTTCCTCATCTTTATGGACCTATCTAACTTTGTTCTTTGATGTTGGTGACCTTCAGTTGGGGTTTTTGGGTGGACATCCTTTTTGTTGATGCTGATGCTATTTCTTTCTGTTTGTTAGTTTTCCTTCTAACAGTCAGGCCCCTCTGCTGCAGGTCTGCTGGAGTTTGCTGGAAGTCCACTCCAGACCCTGTTTTCCTGGGTGTCATCAGCAAATGCTGCAGAACAGCAAAGATTACTGCCTGTTCCTTCTTCTGGAAGCTTTGTCCCAGAGGGGCACCAGCCAGATGCCAGCTGGAGATCTCCTGTATGAGGTGTCTGTTGACCCCTGCTAGGAGGTGTCTCCCAGTCAGGAGGCACAGGCATCAGGGAGCCACTTGAGGAGGCAGTCTGTCCCTTAGCAGAGTTCAAGCGCTTTGCTGGGAGATCTGCTGGATCTCCTGGATTCATTGATTTTTTGAAGAGTTTTTTGTGTCTCTATCTCCTTCAGTTCTGCTCTGATCTTAGTTATTTCTTGTCTTCTGCTAGCTTTTGAATTTGTCTGCTCTTAATTCTCTAGTTCTTTTCATTGTAATGTCAGAGGGTCGATTTTAGATCTTTCCTGCTTTAAGCTGTTGGCATTTAGTGCTATAAATTTTCCTCTAAACACTGCATTAGCTGTGTGGGAGATCTGCTGCTCCCTTCAGAGATGGCAGGCAGGAACATTTAAGTCTGCTGAAGCTGTGCCCACAGCCGCCCTTCCCCCCAGGTGCTCTGTCCCAGGGAGATGGGACTTTTATCTATAAGCCCCTGACTGGGGACGCTGCCTTTCTTTCAGAGATACCCTGCCCAGAGAGGAGAAATCTAGAGAAGCAGTCTGGCTATAGCTGCTTTGCTGGGTTGTGGGGGGCTCTGCCCAGTTCAAACTTCCTGGTGGCTTTATTTACACTGTGAAGGGAAAAGTGCCTACTCAAGCCTCAGTAATGGCAGATGCCCCTACCCCAACCAAGCTCGAGTGTCCCAGGTGAACTTCAGAGTGCTGTGCTGGCAGCAAGAATTTCAAGCCAGTGGATCTTAGCTTGCTGGGCTCCATGGGGGTGGGATCCACTGAGATAGACCACTTGAATCCCTGGCTTCAGCCCCATTTCCAGGGGAGTGAATAGTTCTATCTTGCTGGCATTCCAGGTGCCACTGGGGTATGAAAAAAAACTCCTGCATCTACCTCAGTGTCTGCCCAAATGGCTGCCTAGTTTTGTGCTTGAAACCCAAGGCCCTGGTGGTGTAGGCACCTGAGGGAATCTCCTGGTCTGCAGGTTGCAAAAACCATGGGAAAAGCCTAGTATCTGAATCAGAATGCACCTTTCCTCTCGGCACAGTCTCTCACGGCTTCCCTTGGCTGGGGAGGGAGTTCCCTGAACCCTTCCACTTCCCCGGTGATGTGATGCCCCACCCTGCTTTGGCTTACCCTCCGTGGGCTGCACCCACTGTCTAACCAGTCCCAATGAGATGAGCTGGGTACCTCAGTTGGAAATGCAGAAATCTTCTGTGAGTAACCTTCTGCGTTGGTCTTGCTGGGAGTTGCAGACCAGAGTTGCTCTTATTTGGCCATCTTGCCAGCCACCGTCTAAAGTTTGGTGAAGCCTTTAATTGAAAAATTTGAGTCTAGTCATATATATATATATGTATATATGTATTTTTTGCCTCATCCTACCCCTGCTTGCTTTCGTGGTACAAAGCAATAATCTCTCATCATTTATTTAATATTTTTCTCCTTTTGAATTTTATTATAACACGTAAATTTACTTCTCTCAAACTTCTATTTATTTCTGGACTAAAAAATATGCTTCTGAATAGGGTTCTGTCTTTCTCACGATAGAATTTTTGTTTTAGAACTAGAAAGTAAGTCAGCTTGGTATTATGTAGCACATTTAAAAAAATTTAGTTCTTGCAAACTCTGGTATTTTTCTTTGCCTTATTTATTTGATAACTAATATAGCTTGCCTAATAACTCCCTTTGGAAGCATTCAGTGGGTCATGGTAGTCTCAAATCTCAAAAGAACTTTCTCCATTACAATAGAGAGATTTTAAAATCTAAGGTTCCTCATGTGGCAATGAACATTTATGAACAATGGCAAAACTGGTTAGTCTTACTAGGAGAGGGAGGATGCCTACTTTGTGAGAGTAACATAAGATCCCTGAAGGCTTAAATTTCTGGAGCTCTTCATATATATACAAGAAACAAGAAGAAAGGGACAATAGAAAAAATATTGCAACTATTTTACTTGTTCACCTGATATCTTAGATTGCAGTTGAATAGACAGGTCAGAGTATTAGCAGGAATAGCCACAGGCTAAGGTCTAAATTCAGCAGTGGGGCACTATGTACTCTCTCTCCTAATAGATCTCCATCTGCATTTAATGCTTGGGATTACTTTACTGGCAAACAAAACCTTTAATTCTATTATAATTTTCCATAGACTCAAGAGAATTGACATCTGGTGTTAAAAACCAAAAATCATACAAATGACTGATATGTATCATTTTCCTTATTAAATATGGAAGAAAAGGGAGGAGGATGCAGAAATGGTAGGCTAAAAGCTCCAGAGAAAAACTTAACAGATTTTATGATTTTGCAGAAGATAAGTCCTTGACCTCTTCATTTTCACATTCAGCAGGTATGAAAGTTTCTTCTGTTGCATGTGGTTATATCATTCATTCTTAGAATTTTGACAGAAAGTTGTAGAACCAAAAAAAAGCTTGATATACAAACCACTAGCTGTACTGGCAATTTTACATGAAGGCATTACTGACCCTCCACAACTTCTCTCTATTAACTTTTCAGATTTATGCAACTACCATTATCCCAGGGGTTACTCAAAGACATTGACAAAAGATCTAGCAGCATTCTGTCCATTCAATATAACTACTTTTAACATCTAAATATTTTCAGGATTAACTTTGGTTGAAGTGTACTTGAATGAATTACATATTAATACCATCATCACCTCATTTGATCCTCATGTTACCCCCATCAGACCCAAAGAGTCAATACATTAAACTATTTGGTAGATGACAACTCAGGCTTCTGAAAGCTAAGTGACTTTCCCAGAATCACACAATAAGTTAATTGCTCATTCAAGGCATGAGAGTCAGATAAATGATTCCCAAACCAGGGATCCTTTTATGTTATTACATTGCCTAAAAAACTGGCATTCAAATGGAATTTAGAGGCCATTTAATCTGGCCATCTCATTTGATTGATGAATAAATTTTCTGGCTAAGAATCTATACATTTGTTTAGTGCTTTATATACTCATCAGCAGCATCAGCATAAATTAAATTTTCTATTATGTTCTCAGCCTGATTCACACTTTTTAGAAAATATAAAACTTATTATTTCATACTCAAATAATTTACTAACCTTGCATCATTAGTGAGCTATTACTACTAATATTACATCCCTATTTTTGAAATTTGTATTCAATATATTTATTTCATTAGGATGCTACTAATGAAATTAACTTCTTTTTTTTAAAAAAAAGGTGAATCATCTCATTTTTATCAGGTTCACTTACAAGTATGAAGTAGTTGATAAGTGACTCAGCGTTGGCCAACTGCAAGAATACCACTTAAAAGTAAATGGTTATTACTGAAGAGTGAATTATATATTTTCATTTTGTAGACTTAATATTTAAAATGGAAGATGGTGGGAAGCACACACATTTCTCACTCTTGTTGGGAAAGAAAATGACAATAAGATTTTCTGGTTTTTGTTTTGTTTTGTTTTTAGATGTATTAGCAAGACAGGTGTGGGGTAGAATGGAGTAGCCATGAACATAGACGAAAAGTGGAGAGAGTGAAAACATATCAGAGTGAAAAAACATAGATAAATGTAAGGGAGAAGAAAGAAAAAATAATAAAGAACAATATTTAAAGAGAACAAAATAAATAGAGCCAGAAAGAAACAGAGAAGGGGAAAAGAACAGGCAACAAATTAACAGGGAAAAGAAATCACAACCAGAAAAAAAAAAAGAAAATAAACTGCTTATTGATGAATAAAGAAAGAGAGAAAAAGAAAAATAAGGAAGGAGGTTGAGTAAGCACATAGGATCTCTAAACACTTGGCTCCAGGAGCTCATCTGACCACACTCAGACTCCAGGCATGCACACACAGAGTTGCCTGGAGATGTTTCTGTGTCTCCACCCTGCAAATGTGGTGAACCCTTCTCCTTCATCTTCCCTATTTCTGTAGTGTGTCATCATGGCCAGAAACTGATCAATGCACGAATTAGCTGAAATGGCAAGAAGGATTAGAGATACAGTGAGGAGGGTATGGTACAGACTTTTGACAGAACTTTCTCTACTAATTTGCCTAAAATAGAACACTTTACTCTGCTGATGCCATCATATATGGATTTTTTTTTTGGCAGAAACTTATTTTATTTTGCTTAGAGGAATGCTCATCTGATTAGACTCTGCGTCTATTCCAACCACCATTTAGAGAAGGTAGAGATAATTGAAAGATGGAAATGGGACAGGGAAGAAAGTTCATCAAGAAGTCAAGTAGTACAGAATCCCATCTGTTAAGAAACAGTAGAAAAATAACAGTGAGGCTGGGACACAGGCAGAATGGAAGAGCTTATAACCTTCAATTTCAAAGTCCTTCAGAAATCCTCAAATGTCTCAGGGATATTGTTAAATGCTAACACATCAAGAAATACCTCACTGTATGTTAGCATGTGGGATACATAAAACACATGAGTAAGTACAGTTGACCCCAGAAAAACATGGGTTTGAACCACACAGGTCCACTTATATGTGGATTTTCTTCCACCTCTGCCACCCCTGACACAGAAAAACTAACCCTTCCTTTTCCTTCTCCTCCTCAGCCTACTCAGTGGGAAGACAACAACGATATGAACTTTATGATGATGCATTTCCACTTAATGAACAGTATTTATATCTTCCTTTCCTTATGATTTTGTTATATTTTATTTTCTGTAGCTTAGTTTATTGTAGGATTATAGTATATAATACATAAAACATAAAAATATTTGTTATTCAACTGTCTATGTTACCAGCAAAACTTCAGATCAACAATAATCATTAGAAGCTAAGTTTTTAGGGAATCAAGGTATGTGCTAATTTTTTATTGCACAGGGGGTCTGCCCCCTTAACTCCTGCATTGTTCAAGCGTCGACTGTAGAAGGGGCTCTTGATTTAAGGAAATTTTTATATAGGCAGATAGTAGAATAAATGTTGAGACAAATGGCTGGCAAAGGGGGAAAGGTTAAGACATGAGCAGAAAAGCTCATTTGAAGGAACTACAAAATATTTTTTCCTATTACAATTTTGTGTGTGTTTGTATGTATTTGTGTGCATACGTGTGTGTTCATGTGGTATTTGCATATGTATATATGATGATGTGTCTAAGTATGACTTTCATAAATTCCACATGTGGCTGCCAGTAACACCCAGAAATTTCTGTATTAACCACTCTATTCCATTCTAGGGATACATAAAGCAGATAGTTTTAATGCTTCTTAAAATACGTACCCTAAGATGACACTATATAGATGTGCTGTCTGTCTTTTGGTGTTTGTTTGCTTGTTTGTTTTGATTTTCTATTTCTCTCTTCTTTCTTCCCTCATCCTATATCTTCTTGTCTTTCTTTTCTAGGTACTGTTGCAGTAGCATTTTCTGTCAAAGAAATATTTTCCCTTCCTTCCGCACCCCATGTGCTAGAGCACTTATTTATTTATTTATTTATTTATTTATTTATTTATTTATTTATTTTGAGACGGAGTCTCGCTCTGTCGCCCAGGCTGGAGTGCAGTGGCGCGATCTCGGCTCACTGAAAGCTCTGCCTCCCGGGTTCACACCATTCTCCTGCCTCAGCCTCCTGAGTAGCTGGGACTACAGGCAACCACCACCACGTCCAGCTAATTTTTTTGTATTTTTTTAGTAGAGATAGGGTTTCACCGTGTTAGCCAAGATGTTCTCGATCTCCTGAGCTCGTGATCCACCCACCTAGGCCTCCCAAAGTGCTGGGATTACAGGCATGAGTCATCGTGCCCGGCCGCTAGAGCACTTATTTAAAACAAATACACTGTTTAGTTAAATCATATTAAGAATATCCTTTTATATTACAGTTTGTATTTTGTTGTAGGCCAGTAATTTTCAAACTTAAAAAATCTATTCCCCTAAGACATTTTTTGAATATATAACCTTAAATGTATGCATATTTATTTATAAAGTATATATAAACCATTGTACTATGTTATCCATTATAAATATTAAAAAGTGAATTTAGAAAACAACGAAATGTAGTGATACATATAAAATGTTATACACCGACTAAATATAGATAAATTACTATGTTCTTTCTATACTTCAGTGGATTATCATGTGCACCTTCTGGAATGAGTATACCCCATGAAAACAATCTGAATTTTAAATATGAATTTTCTTCACAATGCACATTGTTTTTCTTTTTATTTAAACAAGGTTGAACTTACAAATCAAAGCAATATGGGAGTGATTTTAGACTAACAATATTATTTTTAGTTATCCAAATGCACAAAAAGAACATTCATTCATTGAAGCTGTGATTAAAAAATTCTTTATCTATTTAAACTGAAGAGTATACACTTGCATTATCCTACTACTTATCAAGCAGAGCAAAAAATAAAACTCACTCTAAACTTAAGTAATATAACTACAGGTTATTTCTCATCTTTGAAATGGAAGAATAACACTACAGTATCTTTATGGCTACTTACAGTGTATCTATGCTATGACTTTATGAGTTGAGATAATGATATTTTAAAGTTTTATACTTGCAAATTTTATATTGTAGCATATTGTTTGTTAAAAGGCTGTATCTTGGGTGTCACACTGGGAACAGAGAAAGAAATGTGTTGTGAGTTTATTAATATTTGAAACTCAAAAAGTGCTAAATAAGCTGCATGCAGGTGTGGAGTGGCCACAGGAGTGGTGCTCAAACAGAGTTACAGCTGGAGCACTGTGCCTGTGTTAGGTCAAAAGTGGAGCTATAGCTTGGGATTCTCGTGAACAGTCTGGGAAAAGAGTATACAAGGATATCAGACCAAAAGGAGTATAATAAGAAGTAAATTAGATGATAAGACAGAGGGTAAGGAAGAGAGTTACCAGCTAGGAACTGGGAATTACACAGGAATTGAGGGAAGAAAATGTCTAGGAAAATTTTGGGGTGGTGTGGACAAGGAGAAAAAGGGTCTAATCCCAAGAAAAGAGCTAACCCTCAAGCATAGTATATCCACAAAAACTCAAAGACCTTCAGATTTGAAGTTAGGTTGTGTCTCCATTAGGAAACTTCCATGATTTAAGAATGTAGGAATCCCAACGTGGAGGATACCAGACCCCTAACATGGAAAATGATTCTGTAGAAGCACATGGTTGAATGGGAATAAAACTGTAGCTTTGAGAACCATATTGTGTTTTCATTTTTCATTTTAAATTTGGAGAAATTAAGGTAATGGAGTTTCCCCAGAATAGGAGAGGGATGGGAAATGTTGTTTTTAGCTGAAGTACTGCATGTGCCAAATATTTTTTAGCTGTATAACTAGTATCTAGTTGGAAGACATAGTAATAACAATTAATTCTGCTTCTTAATGTACTGCAGGCCAGGGAAATGGAAAGCGAGAACAGAACAGTGATAAGAGAATTCATCCTCCTTGGTCTGACCCAGTCTCAAGATATTCAGCTCCTGGTCTTTGTGCTAGTTTTAATATTCTACTTCATCATCCTCCCTGGAAATTTTCTCATTATTTTCACCATAAAGTCAGACCCTGGGCTCACAGCCCCCCTCTATTTCTTTCTGGGCAACTTGGCCTTCCTGGATGCATCCTACTCCTTCATTGTGGCTCCCCGGATGTTGGTGGACTTCCTCTCTGCGAAGAAGATAATCTCCTACAGAGGCTGCATCACTCAGCTCTTTTTCTTGCACTTCCTTGGAGGAGGGGAGGGATTACTCCTTGTTGTGATGGCCTTTGACCGCTACATCGCCATCTGCCGGCCTCTGCACTATCCTACTGTCATGAACCCTAGAACCTGCTATGCAATGATGTTGGCTCTGTGGCTTGGGGGTTTTGTCCACTCCATTATCCAGGTGGTCCTCATCCTCCGCTTGCCTTTTTGTGGCCCAAACCAGCTGGACAACTTCTTCTGTGATGTCCCACAGGTCATCAAGCTGGCCTGCACCGACACATTTGTGGTGGAGCTTCTGATGGTCTTCAACAGTGGCCTGATGACACTCCTGTGCTTTCTGGGGCTTCTGGCCTCCTATGCAGTCATTCTTTGTCGCATACGAGGGTCTTCTTCTGAGGCAAAAAACAAGGCCATGTCCACGTGCATCACCCATATCATTGTTATATTCTTCATGTTTGGACCTGGCATCTTCATCTACACGCGCCCCTTCAGGGCTTTCCCAGCTGACAAGGTGGTTTCTCTCTTCCACACAGTGATTTTTCCTTTGTTGAATCCTGTCATTTATACCCTTCGCAACCAGGAAGTGAAAGCTTCCATGAAAAAGGTGTTTAATAAGCACATAGCCTGAAAAAGGGCGCAAAAAAAAAAAGAATAAAAATAGACTGTAGAATTTTATCTGAAATTGATTTGTTTATTTCCAAGTACTGCAATCACTGAGTACCTCCCATTTGTCAGGACTATTCTGGGAACTGAAAAAAGAAATTACTGAGGCAGATAAGGTCCATCTGCTCTCCAAGAGATACAACCTAGTAAAAATAGACCACCATTAAGGTAGAAAATAAACAGCATAGTTTCAGGAAGAGATACTGCTCTGTAAAAACTAAAAAGAAAAGTGAAATGATAAATTGTGACTCTGGATTGGGAGTAACCAATTTGTGTTTAATAATCAAAAAAGACCTTGAAGAGCTGACGTTTTGGATGATATCTGGATAAACTGAAGAAGGCAAACATGCAAACATTTGTGGTTATAGTAATCTAGACGGAGGGCACAGGTAGTGCAAAAACTCAAAGATGATGATGAACTTGGTATATTTGAAGAATACAATAAAGTCCATGTTACCCGGAATATAGTAATTTAATATGAAAATGATTAAAGTTGGAGATACTGGTAGTGTCAAAAACATACGGTCTACATAGTAAATATGAGTTTTCATTTTATTACAATTACAATAAGAAGCCATTCTGTGGCTTTAAGCAAAAGAGTGATTCCTCTACTGAAGGGTCATAAACAACTTAGCACTGTAAACTCAAGATTCTATGCGGATATCAAAGACTTGAAAAATATCATTAAGAGGAAAATATTATATTTGTAAGTGCACTTTGAAAGATATTAAACTACCAATTTTTCTTACATAAATAAGCAGAGAGTGGCAAAAGAAAGCTGGTTACTTTTACTGAAAAAGATCACAAAAACATTTTACTTTTTTTTTCTAGAGCTTCATGATTACTCCTAGCAAATTTTTATGACTTTTAGCTGTATGTTTGACCTTATTGCCAATTGATTTCACTCTAAGTTTAATAACAACAGTCTTTTGGTAGAGCAATCAGGATTTTGTGTCAGAGACAAGAAACCATTCTAGCTATTTTAAACAAAACATCATTTAATATCGAGAGTTAGGTGTTCACAAAATCACTGGAAAGTCTAAAAGAGAAGACTATAGGCTGGACGTCCAGAGATGCCTTACAGACTAACACAGGTGACCAATGTTGTCAGGGAAGTTGTTCTTGCTACAATCTTAGCCATCTGTTTGTCTGAAAAACACTACAATTTTAGCCATGTGCCTGGGATCAAGTTGATGATCTGGAATCACTTTGGACCTAACAAATCGCCCCTAGTATAACAGAAGCCTCTCCTACTGCATCCCTTTAACTAGCTGACTATATATTCAAATCTCAAATGAGTACATTAAATGGGCAGCATCCAAAACATCTGGAACCCCAAATGCAAGGGGGTCAAAAATTGAGTTTTAAAATATTTTATTTTTGATAATCGCCAAAGTTTATACTTAGGAATATAAATTTTGTACATGGTAAAAATATTCAGACTATAGAAAAAGTGGTCTGAATCTTCAAATAATCCTTCTCTATTCTCACTCTGTTTATTGCGTTGCTTCCTGTTTTAGTGAGAAAGGTAGCAGGTGAGAATTCCTTAATCTCCCATCACTACCACTATACAACCTGCATCTGTGATTAAGTTTCCTTTAACTTCTCCTGAGACTGAGTGACCTGATCCTGCTCCTACAGAAGTAAACCCTTCCACCTGTGCACCAGATTCCATCCCCCTCCTCTCTACTAAAGGCAATTACTCTGGTAACTCTCCTTTCCCTCACCTATAACATGAACTTTGTCCTCCCTATTGGGTGTAACCTTTAGCGTGTAACCACATTTCTTCCCTCCTAAATAAAACCTTCTTGCCACCTTTTCCCCTGTCCATGTCACTTCATGAGTCTTTGTGTCTCCACATGAATTTTAGGATTTTTAAAAATTTCTTTAAAAAATGATGTTGGGATTTTCACAGAGATTGCATTGAATCTATAGATTGCTTCAGGTAGTGTGGATATTTTAACAATATTAATTGTTCTATTCCATTAACATAGAAAGTCTTTCCATTTATTTGCATCTGCTTTAATTTCTTTCATCAATATTTTACAGTTTAAGTGTACAAGTCTTTCACCTCCTTGTTTAAGTTTACTCCTAAATATTTTATTTTTTGGTTCTAATGGAAATGAGATTAATTTCTTAATTTCCCTTTTAGATAGTTCTTTTTTATTGTATAGAATTGAAATGATTTCTTTTGTAGATTTTTAAATTTATAAAAATTTAATTGACAAATAAAGGTCAAATATATTCAAGGTATATGAAATGATAATTTGATATGCATATACATTGTATAATGATTACCACAATCAAATTAACACATTAATCACCATCCGTGTTGTACATTAGTTACCAAGAATGTGTTTATCTTATGGCTGAAAGTTGGTACCATTTGACCAACATATTCCCCTTTTCTCTGACTTCAAAACCCTCTGACAACCACTGTTCTACTCTCTCCTTCGATGAGCTTTTTTTTTTTTTCAGATTCTACATGTAAGTGAGATCATATAGTGTCTGTCTTTCCGTGTCTGGCTTATTTCACCTACCGTAATGTCTATTAGGTTTATCTATGTTGCTGCAAATGGCAAAACTTCCTTCTTTCTGTGGCTGAATGACAGTCTATCACATATACGTACCACAGTTTTTATACTCATTCATCAATTGATGTACACTTGGGTTGTTTCCATATTTTGGCTATAGTGAATGATGCTGCAGTGAACATAGCAGTAAAGTTATCTTTTAGAGATACTGATTTCATTTCCTTTGGGTATATATCTAGAAGTGAGATTGCTGGAACATATGGAAGTTTTATTTTTTATTTTTTGAAGAACATCTATATTGTTTTCCATAATGCCTGTGCCAATTTACATTTCCATCAATAGCGTAAAAGGGTTCCCTTTTCTCCACATCCTGACCAATACTTGTTATCATGTGTCTTCTCATAATAGCCATTTCAGCAGGTATGAAGTGATGTCTCATTGTGGTTTTAATTTGCATTTTCCCAATGGTTGATGGTGTTGAGCACCTTTTCATATGCATGTTGGCTATTTCTATGTCTGTTTTGGGAATGTAGCTGTTAAAATCTTTGCCAATTGTAAAAATCACATTGTTTGTTGTTTTACTGTTGACTTGTGTACTTCCTAATATATTATGAATATTAACCCCTTATCATACATATGGTTTACTAATATTTTCTCCCATTCGATAGGTTGCCTTTTAATGTGGTCGATTGTTTCTTTTGTGGTGCAGTGGAATTTTTAGTTGATATAGTCCCACTTGTTTATTTTTTGTTGCCTGTGCTTTTGTGGTCATATCCAAAAAATGATTGCCAAGACTGTTGTCAAGGTGTTTTTTCCTTATGTTTTCTTCTGGTAGTTTTACAGTTTCAGGTTATACATTTAAATCTTTAATTCATTTCCAGTTAGTTTTAGTATATGTCATAAGACAAGACTTCAGTTTCTTTCTTTTGCATGTGGATATTTAGCTTTTCCAACAGCATTTATTAAATAGACTTTTCTTTTCCCATTGTGTATTATTGGCACCCTTGTCAAATCTTAGTTGGCCATATATGTGTGAATTTATTTTTGGGCTCCCTACTCTGTTCCATTGTTATATGTCATGTTTTTATAGTACCATACTGTTTTAATTAATATGGCTTTGTAGTAGAGTTTGAAGCAGTGAGTGTGATGCTTCCAGCTTTGTTCCTTTTTCTCAAAATTACTTTGGCTATTTGGAGTCTTTTACAAGTACGTACAAATTTGGTTTTTTTTTTTTTCATTTCTATGATGAATGCCATTGGAATTTTAATAGGGACTGGATTGAATCTGTAGGTAATTTAATTATTTTAGATATTTTAACAATATTAATTTTTTAAATTAATGTACACAGATATATTTACTTTTAATTCTCTTTTTCCATTTATTTCATCAATGTATTATAGTTTTCAGTGTACAGAGCTTTCACCTCCTTGGTTGAATTTATTCCTAAGTATTTTGTTTTAATTTTTTTATAGTTATAAATGGGATTGTTTTCTTGACTTCCTTTTCAGATAATTCATTGTTAGTGTTTAGAGATCCCACTGGTTTTTGTATGTTCATTTTTTAATCTGCAGCTTTATGAACTCATTTATTCTAAAAGGTTTTTTTGAGGACATCTTTAGGATTTTCTCGATATAAGATCACGTCATCTGCAAACAGATAATTTTACTTCTTTTCCAATTTGGTTGCCTTTTATTTCTTACCTACTTACTCTAGCTAGTACTTTCAGTAATATTTTGAGTAGACTCGGTGAGAGTGGACATCCTTATTGTCTTTCTGATCTTAGAAGGAAAGCTTTCAATTTTTCACCATTGAATATGATGTTAGCTGTGCGCTTGTCATATGTGGCATTTATCACTGTGGTAGGCTCCTTCTAAGCATAATTTGCTGGAATTTTTTTATCATGAAGGATGTTGAATTTTGTCAATGCCTTTTCTGCATCTATTGAGGTGATCATATGGTTTTTGCCTTTCATTCTGCCAATGTGGTATATCACATTTATTGATTTGCATATGTTCAAATATCACAAACAGTGAATTATCCTTTTAATGTGCTGCCAGATTTAATGTGTTAGTATTTTGGCATTTATGTTCATCAGAGATACTGGATTGAACTTTTATTTTAGTATCCATCTGTGGCTTAGGTATCAGAGTAATGCAGGCCTTCTAAAATGAGTATGGAAGTGTTCCTGCCTCTTCAATATTTGGAAGAGTTTGGAATAAATTGGTATTAGTTCTTTTTCAAATGTTTGGTAAAATTTAAAAGAGAATCCATTAGGTCCTGGGCCTTTCTTTGCTGGGAGATTTTTGAAAGTATTGATTCAATTTTATTCCTTACTGATCGGTTAAGATTTTTTATTCCTTCTTAATTTAATTTTGACAAATTGTGTCCAGAAATTTATCTATTTCTTCAAGGTTATTCAATTTGTTGTAGTATAGTTGTTAAAACTTACACAAATTAAGTTTTTTTTATAGTTTTTGACATATTTATAATGTCAGGTATTCATTTCTACAGCATTAGAAAGAATAATTTCTTCACCCTAAATTGTTCTTCAACTTAAATTATTCGACTCTTCTTTCTTCTCCTTGTACTCTTGGTAACCACCAGTCTTTTACTGTCTCTATAGTTCTAATTTTTCTAGAATGTCATATAATTGGAGTCATACAGTATATAACCTTTCAAAACTGGCTTCTTTCAGCTAGCATTATGCATTTAAGATTCATTCACGCTTTTTTATGGCTTGGTAGTTAATGTCCTCTTTATTGCTGAATAACATTCTATTGTAAATATAGCACAGTTTGTTTATTCATACACTCGTTGAAGAACATTGTGATTGTCTCCAATTTTTGGCTGTTAGGGAATGAAGTTGCTGTGAACATTCATGACTGGGTTTTTGTGTACACGTTTCAAATCAGTTGGGTAAGTGCCTGGGAGTGTGACCATATGGTAAGGCTATGCTCAGCTTTGTAAGAAACTTCCAATTTGGTCAAGATGTCTGACTAGTTGCAGCCAGGTAGAACAGCTGTCACTGTGGGACTGGGATGACTGGCACAGTCCTAACAGGTCCTCAAGACACAAAAGCTGGGCAGAAGCTGGGTGGGGCTACAGTGCAATGGGACTCGTTCCTCACCCCCAAGAACTTTGGGGGAATGGGTGAGTTGAACTGGCAAGAAGCAACCTACTCTTGCCACAAGCCTCTGGAATCCCACTGGGAGGAGACCCCTCAATCACTACAGACAGAGTTGGCAGGGGAGGTGCTTAGAAGAGTGGTAGGAGCAGCACGCTAGCCGATATGGAGCCCAGAGGGTTTGTTGCAGGAACATCTATAGCAGAGCATGGCCAGGGATGCCCATCCTTCCAGACTTGACTTGCTTTCATAGGAGACTTTAGCCCTACGGGAACTGTCGGACATGAATTCTGCAGGGCAGTCTTCCCATCAGATAGGGCAGATACAACCTTAGTACCCCCTGGTCTGCTGACCTCTCCCAGTGCTCCAGCCTGGTTTTTTCCTGCTTGCAGTGCAGACTCAGGTTCCCTGGGGACCCGCATCTTAGCTTCTGCAATGGCAGACCATATCTGATTGGTGGAGAGTTCCAATGGGGTGGCCCCTAGGGCCATGCACCAACCTGCCTGCTCCCTCCCTCTGCTGCAGCTTCTTCCAAGCCCATGGCCAACCGCCCCTGCCCCCTGACATCATTTGGCTGGCTTGTATGTGTGCAGGTGGATTTTCCCTTCCCTTCCCCACCAGCTTGTGTGAGCACGTGAACCCTGCCCTGCCTCTGCTGCCAGCAGGAGTGCACTCTGCTCCCCTTCCTCTGCCATACTGCCATTGCAGTCCGAGCTGTAGTGGGCACAGAGCCCACCAGTCCTGCCTCTGTCAGTGACCTGCCCCTGTGCCAACACTGCCACCAGAATGAAACTAGGCACTGAAAACAATGAACCCTCCCCCTGCCCTGAGTAGCCACAGAGGGTGAACACACACCTGCACCCACCAGTGCCCTAACCCCATACTAACACCACCATCAGTGCAACAATGCACACAGTCACCAATGGGGTCCTGCTGACCCCCCAAGTTATGCTGACTCTACCCCTGCTGTCAATGCCTTCATGGAGGCAGGCATCTCAGCACCTGCTAGCAGTCTGCTGCAGCTGACAAGCATGCATCCTGATTTAATACTGCTGGTGCTGGTACTGCTAAGGGCACCTGTGAATGAGGACAGATCCCACTGCCACCACACTACAAAACCCTTTGACTAGCACCATTCCATCAACATGTAGTGACCAGCAGTCCAGGAGCACCTTAGCACCCCCATCACAGTCTGTTCATAATCTTGAGAAGTCAGAGAACAAAGTAGGGTAGGATACAAGTCCCCCAGAATTAAAACATGCAGTTGGGGGGATGACAGCTGAACTGTGGTCCCCAAAATCTTCCAGAAATGAAGCCAGTTGACTGAACCCATTTTATAACACAATCAAACTCTCAAAGTCATCTAACAGGATTAAGAAAAAAAAACATCCAAAGGAAAGGAACGTCAAAGATTGAAAAAACACTAGCCCACAAAAATGAGAAAAAACCAGTGCAAGAACTCTGACAAGTCAAAAAGCCAGCATACCTTCTTTCCTCTGAATGCCTCCACCAGCTCTCCACCAAAAGTTTTTAACTGAACTGGGATGGCTGAAGTGACACAAATAGAATTTAGAGTATGGATAGAAATGAAGAGCATCAAGGTACAGGAGTATGTTGAAACCCAATCCAAGGAAGCTAAGAATCACAATAAAACAATGCAGGAGCTGACAGACAAAATAGACAGTATAGAAAAGAACATAACTGACCTGATAGAACTGAAAAACACACTGCAAAAATTTCATAATGCAATCACAACTATTAACAGCAGAATAGATCAAGCAGAAGAAATGATATTAGTGCTTTAAGACTGGCGTTCTGAAACAAGACAGGCAGAGAAGAATAGAGAAAAAAGAATGAAAGAATGAAAACGAACAAACAAAACCTCTGAGAAATATAAGTTTATGTAAAGAGAACAAATCTGTGATTCATTGGTGTCCCTGAAGGAGATGGGGAGAATAGCAGCAACTTGGAAAACATATTCCAGGATATCATCCATGAGAACTTCTTCAACCTAGCTAGAGAGGCTAACATTCAAATTCAGAAAATACAAAAACCCATGTAAGACACTTCACAAGAAGATCACCTCCAGCATACATAATTATCAGATTTTCCAAGGTTGAAATGAAAGAAAAAAATGCAAAAGGCAGCTAGAGAGAAAGGTCAGGTCACCTACAAAGGGAAGCCCATCAGACTAAGCATAGCTCTCAACAAAAACTCTACAAACCAGAAGAGGTTGGGGGCCAATATTTGAGATTCCTAAAGAAAAGAAATTCCAACCCAGAATTTTACATCTGGCCAAACTATGCCTCATAAGTGAAGGAGAAATAAGATCCTTTTCAGACAAGCAAATGCTGAGGGAATTTGTTACTACCAGACTGACCTGCCTTACAAGAGCTCCTGAAGGAAGCACTAAATAAGAAAAGGAAATATCATTACCAACCACTTCAAAAATACACTGAAAAACACAGACCAATGACACTATAAAGCAACCACACAAATAAGTATGTATGGTAACCAACTAACAGCAAGACGACAGGATCAATTCTACGCATATCAATACTAACCTTGAATGTAAAAGGGGTAAATGCCCCAATTAAAAGGCACAGAGTGATAAGCTGGATAAAAAAGCAAGACCCAATGGTATGCTGTCTTCAAGAGACATGCAATGACACCCATAGGCTCACATGCAATGACAGCCATAGGCTCACATGCAATGACACCCATAGGCTCATATGCAATGACACCCATAGGCTCAAAATAAAGGGATGGAAGAAAATCTACTAAGTAAATAGAAAACATAAAAAATAGAGATCGTAATCCTAATTTCATACAAAACAGACTTTAAACCAACAAAGATAAAAAAAGACAAAAAAGGATAATGACATAATGGCAAAGGGTTCAATTCAACAAGTAGTGCTAACTATCCTAAATAAATGTGCACTTAACACAGCAGCACCCTGATTCAAACAAATTCTTAGAAACCTACAAAGAGACTTAGACTCACACACAATAATAATGAGAGACGTCAACACCCTACTGACAGTATTAGACAGATCACTGAGGCAGAAAATTAGCAAAGATATTCAGGACCTTAACTCAGCACTGGATCAAATGGACCTGAGAGATGTTTACAGAACTCTCCACCAAAAAGCAACAGAATATACATTCTTCTCATCACCCCATGGCACATATTCTGAAGTAAGCCACACAACTGAACATAAAACACTCCTTGGCAAATGCAAGAGAACTGAAATTATAACGACCATTCTCTTGGACCACAGCACAACAAAATTAGAAATTAAGACTAAGAAAATTGCTCATAACTATAAAATTACATAGAAATTGAATAACCTGCTCCTGGCTGACTTTTGGGTAAATAATGAAATTAAAACAGGAATCAAGAAGTTATTTGAAACTAATGAGAACAAAGATACAACATACCAGAATCTCTGGGCCACTGCTAAGGCAATGTTAAGAGGGAAATTTATAGCACTAACCACCCACATCAAGAAGTTAGAAAGATCTCAAGCTAACAACTAAGTGTCACAACTAAAAGAACCAAAGAACCATGGGCAAACCAACCTAAAAGCTAGCAGAAGACAAAAACTAACCAAAATCAGAGCTGAACTAAAGGAGATTGAGACACAAAAAGAACATTCCAAATATCAACCAATCCAGGAATTAATTGTTTGAAAAATTCACAAAACAGACCACTAGCTAGACTAATAAAAAAGAAAAGAGAAAAGATCCAAATAAACACAATTAGAAATGACAAAGGGGATATTATCACTGACGCCACAGAAATACAAATAAATATTGGAGAATATTTTGAACATTTCTGTGCACACAAACAAGAAAATCTAGAAGAAATGGATAAATTCCTGGAAACATACACCCTCCCAAGACAGAACCAGGAAGAATTTGTATCTCTGAACAGACCAATAATGAACTCTGAAATTGAATCAGTAATAAATAGCCTACCAACCTAAAAAAGCCTTGAGCCAGACAGATTCACCTCTAAATTCTACCAGATGTACAAATAAGAGCTGATACCATTTCAACCGAAACCATTTCATGAAACTGAGGTTTCGTGGATAAGAAGAATCAATATTAGTAAAATGGCCATGCTGTCCAAAGCAATTTATAGATTCAGTGCTATTCCTATCAAACTATCAATGACATTCTTCACAGAACTAGGAAAAACTATTTTAAAATTCATATGGAACCAACAAAGAGTCCAAGCTGCCAAGGCAATCCTAAGCAAAGGAACAAAGCTAGAGGCAACATGTTACCCAACTTCGAACTATATTACAGGGCTACAGTAACCAAAACAGCATGGCTACAGTAACCAAAACAGACACATATAACAATGGAACAGAATAGGTATATGATTCATTTGTTCCCAAACTATCTTTTCTCTATTAAATTGCCCTTGCACCTTTGTTGAAAATAATTGACTCTATTTCTGTGGGTCTATTTTTAGGCTCTGTTTTCTGTTTCACTGATTTAAATGTCTATTCTGTCACCAATATTGTACTGTTATTTTATTTTATTTTATTTTATTTTATTTTGTTTTGTTTTATTTTATTATTTTATTTTATTTTATTTTATTTTTTGAGACACTGTTTCTGTCTCCTTGGCAGGGTGCAGTGGTGTGACCATGGCTCATTGCAATCTCAACCTCCTTTCTCAAGTGATCCTCCTGCTTCAGCCACTTAAGTAGTCAGTACTATAAGTGTGCACCACCTTGCCTGAGTAATTTTTAATTCTTTTGTAGAGATGGGAGATCTCACTATGTTTCCCAGGCTGGTCTTCAACTCTTGGGCTCAAGTGATCTTCCTGCCTCGTCCTTCCAAAGTTCTGGGATTACAGGCACGAGCCACCATATCTAGTCCATGATGTCTTAATTAGAGTAACTTTATATTAAGTCTTGATGTCAAGCAGTATGAATCCTCCAAATTTGCTCTTTTTCTTCAGTATTATGTTATCTATTTTAAGTCTTGTGCCTTTCCATGAAACTTTTGAGTTAGTTTGTTGCTATCTACAAAACCTCTTTTCTACTTTTAATGACTTCTGTGATTTTATTGAGCTCATTCTGTTAATACTGGATAATCTCTCTATTGTAAGGCAAGCTGATTAGCAACCTTAAATCCATCTACAAAGTCCCTTTTGGCAATTCAGGTAACATATTCACAGTATAATATTGTAAGGTCTTATATATACTTGGTCTATATATAATTTGTTGTTCTCAAGTCCCTTATATTAATTGTCAGTTGTTTTCTGTGCTTCTCCAATATTACTTAGATATTACGGTTTTATAATTTTTTTGCAGATTTGATCTTCAACAAAGCTGACACTGGGGAAAGGACACACTCTTCAATAAATGGTGCTGGGAAAATTGGATAGCCACATCCAGAAGAATGAAACTGGACCACTATCTCACTATATACAGGAATCAACTCAAAGTAAATTAAAAACTTAAACATAAGACCTGAAACTATAAAAATACTTGAAAAAACCTAGGGAAAAATTTCCTGGACTTTTGTCTAGGCATAGAATTTATGACTAACATCTCAAAAGTCACAAGCAACACAAATAAAAATAGACAAATGGGACTTAATTAAATTAGAAAGCTTCTGAGCAGCAGAAGAAATAATCAGCAGAGCGAAGAGACAACCTCCTGAATGGAGGAAAATATTTGCAAACTATTCATCTAATAGTGGGCTAATACCTAGAATTTACAAAAAACCTAAACAACTCACAGGAAAAAAAATAATTCCACTGGAAAGTGGCCAAAGGATATAAATAGACATTTCTCAAAAGAAGACATACAAAAGGCCAAAAGATATATGAAAAAATACTCAACATCACTAATCATTATAGAAATGCAAATCAAAGCCACAATGAAATATTATTTTCCCCTAGTCATAATGACTATTACTAAAAACAAAAACAAAAACAAAGCAAAACAAAACAAAACAAAATATAACAGATTGAAAAAGGAACTCTTCTACACTGTTGGTGGGAATGTAAACCAGTATAGCAACTGTGGAAAACATTATGGAGATTCCTTACAAAAGTAAAAATAAAATTACCATTGGATCCAGCAATTTTTCTACTGGGTATTTACTCAAAGGGGAAAAAAAAAACAATATATCAAGGGGTTACCTGCACTCACATGTTTATTGCAGTACTATTCACAATGCAAAGATATGAAACCAACCTAAGTGGGGGTTTGGGCTTATGAAGCTGATAGTTAAAAGACTCAGGGTTTGTGAAGTTGGTGAGGGATTTTGCAAAGCTCTTCAAACTGCATGCAGAAATGTTGACCAGTGAGGATGGCAAGGTGGACAGCTCAGCAGCCAGGGATGTGCTGGTGGGCAGGGGCAGTAGCATGATGTGCAGGTGTACCCAGCAATGTTTGGGGTACTCAGGTCCCAAGTGGTGCTTGGAAGAGGTGATGAAGCTCTGAAATAATTTCTGAGCATGATCTATTATCAAGCCAGTAACATACAAAATACAGAATATTTCATGATGATATCCTGCAATAAAAATCATGAAAAAATAAAACAGAAAACAAAACAAACCAACAAAAAATGTGGTGTATATACACAATGGAATATTATTCAGCCATAAAAAAGAATGAAATAATGTCACTTGCAGCAACATGGATAAAACTGGTGTGAAATAAACCAGGCACAAAATGGTAACTATCCCGTGTTCTCACTTATATGCAGGAGCTAAAAAAATTTCATCACGTGGAGGTAGAGAGTGGAAAAATAGATCACAGAGACTGGGAAGAGTGAGTGGAAAGGGCAGGGGAAAGAACAAAGAGAAGTGCACTAAAGGATAAGATAGGAGGAATAAATTGAATGTTTGATAGCAGAGTAGCATAACTACACTTTAAAAAGTATCGTACTGGAGTGACGAACACCCTAAATATCCTGACTTAATCACTATGCATTACATACATGTAACAAAATTCCACACGTATCCCATGAATTTGTATGAATAAAAAAAGTTTAAGTTAGCTAAAAACCAAAACATAAAGCAAACAAACAAAATGAAATAATATTTCTAATTCTTGAATACTTTAATCTGATTTGCCTTCAGACAAATTTTGAAAATTATTTTGTGAACTCAAAAATATCTCATGGTTTATTGAATTTTATTTTATAGGAGGGAAAATGTATGTGTTGAATGATGTTGCATTTTCCTCCAATACCATAAGTATTTAAATTTATTTGTCAACTTTTTTCTTTTTTTAGAATAGTATAGCTTTTGTCATTTATAAACAACACATTTCTGTTTAAGATTATTCCTATTTAGTTTATATAGCCTATTGTTCATCTTAATAGATTCTTTTTGGCTACATTTTAACATATTACATTTTAACATATTACATATTTAATATAATGTTAAATATATTTATTTAACAATTAAATATATTTAAGTTCAATATATTTAAGTTAAATATATTTAATTGTTGAATAATTTATAAGAAGGTTATTGAATTTATATTCTCATTTTGAAATTTGCCCTTGTACTGAATTATCTGGGTTTACTTTTTAAAATTCTACTTTATAAAATTATCTTAAAGTAAAATGGACCTTTTCTTTGTTCTGGTAAACAATCCATTAATTTTAGCACATATACAGATTATGTAATCAGCACCGCAACCAAGATATAGAACAGGTTACTAATACCAAAAAACTCCTTCATGCTCTCTCTTTATGAATTATTTTTTATTTCTATTCTTTTTCTGTTTATTCTCTTGCCTTTTCCAGTATTACTCTAATAATAATTATACCTGTTTTCCAGGATTTATACAGTTTTCCAGGATTACTCTAATAATTATTATATATCCTTATTTTTTGTTTTACAATGGGATACATATTTTAGATTTACAGCTAGCCCTCTTTTTCTGTGGGTTCTATATTCTTGGATTCAACCAATAGTGGATCCAAAATATTAATAAAAAACAATACAAATAATACAAATTCAGAAAGTGATACAGTATAACAACTAGTTACATAGCATTTATATTGCATTAGGCATCATAAGTAATCTAAGATGATTTAAAGTATATGGGAGGATGTGTTTAGATTGTATACAAATATCATGCCATTTTAACTCAGGGATTTGAGCATCCATGGATTTTGGTATCAGCGGGGGTCCTGGAACCAATCTTCTGTGGATACCAAGGGACAATTAGAAAACTATTAAATCTTTAACCAGTTTTGTTAATTTTTTAAAAAGTCATTTCCTTTTTCTTCGTAGAAGGAAAAACATCTTAAAACTAAACTTGCTTCCTTATTTCAAAGAGTGCTAGAAATGTGGTCAGCTAGGGAAGATTTTCTTGGGCTCTATTGCCAGACCTGTGGGGAATGTAGGATGGATATGACAGTTGTGAAGAGTTCAGTCTTTGAGGTATTTGGGAAACAAGTTGTGCTTAGAGAGCAAGCCACAGATAAATGATTGACCTGCAGGTAAATATGGCAAGACCCTTGGTTTATGGTTTTAGGTTGTGAATCCACATCTATATCTTCCTGGATAATCCATTATGAACACTTCAAAAATAATGATAATTATTATAAACATCTCTGCTATTATTTCTACTATATTAAATACTTTCCTTGTAGTAAGCAATGAACTGAATGTTTAAAGTTTATTTCTATAATTTAATTTTTACACTATTCGTCTAAGGTACTCCATACTACCTCTCTTCTCTTCTCCTGGCTATGATGGACTTTCCAACATCCCCCTTTCTATGATTCACCTATCCCTCGAAACAGCTATCAGTATTAGTTTGTGCTAATTTTTTAATGTATTGTCAGAAACTTTAATGCATGATTCTTCCTTTAATACGCAACTTCCAGTAAGCAAGTATTTGCTGGAGAAAAATTGCCTTAGCCTAAAAGAATAATTTTCCAATTACGGTATTTTGAACATTGGGGCATAAATATGGGAATATTTCCATAATTAAGGAGTAATTTTTTGTTCCCCATATGCTCTGTAAATGACTGCTTCAATGTTTTCTTCTCCTAGGCCAGTCCCAGTTGTGCTTTTCTCCAATGAACATTGCTACATCACAGGAGTGCATTCCCACTTTAAATAGCAAAGACACACTTCACAATTCTTGTTGCAACTCTGTGAAAAGTTGGGTCAACATTTTAATGACTCCCACTGCAAGTAGATTATAGTGTTTAATCCCTGATCTAATCAATGTCACTGCTTTCTAAGGGGTTTTATATAAAGACAGGAGAAAAATATACATCCATACTCCAGGCTTCTGACGCTTACTAAAGAACTATGGTGATTTCAGTAGGCTTGTCAACCTCGGAGGAAATGGTGTTTTTGATGCTAGGTGCATAACTGGTAGGTTAAAAGCTAGATATGATAGTAAGGGTCTTCAGAAGCAGTTGTGGTTTGCATTCTTCAGATAGCAAAACAATTGACATTTATTTAATAATTATATAAAACAGAAATAATGGAGGAATAGTAAAGAAAAAATTATATATGACTTAAAGACAAAAATGGATGGTTCCATTAAATAGGAATTAAAGCATTCTTTCTGGTGATGAAAAGGAGAAAAAATATAAATATAAATTTATGTATATGTTTAAATCAATATAAGTGTAGTTCCCATTAGTAAACAAATTGTAGTAAAATAGAAATATTCAAATGTGTGAAGCTGAGGGTTTTCAATGCATTTAATATAAAAGGAACTTGTGCCATTTTCATATGGAAAATGCAATTTCAAACAGATGAAATTATTTTGGTAGTACATGGTCTTTTTCTAAACCTCTGAAGTTAAATAGATTAGAATTTTTATTGCATGTTATTAATATTAAAACACACTGATTATTTCTGAACAGCATTCTTAAATTTGGATTTTGAAACCTAGAAAGTTCCTTAAATTTTGCCCAGAAAATATGCTTCAAGCTTTACATAGACCATCTAATATAATTCTAACAAGTAGAGGTCAAATCTTAGGCTACTGAGACATAAGTGAAGTCAAGAATACCCTAACTACTCTTAACTGCTGGGCAATAGACTCCTTTTAAGAATTCTCGAATATCATTCTACGACAAAATTTAAAAATAATTTTTCTCTTTTTTTTTTTGAGATGGAGTCTAGCTCTGTCATCCAGGCTGGAGTGCAATAGTGCCATCTCGGCTCACTGCAACCTCCGCCTTTCAGGTTCAAACAACTCTCCTGCCTCAGCCTCCCAAGTAGCTGGGAATACAGGCATGCACCACCACGCCTAGCAAATTTTTTTTATTTTCAGTAGAGATGGGATTTCACCATGTTGGCCAGGCTGGTCTTCAACTCCTGACCTCGTGATCCACCCACCTCGGCCTCTCAAAGTGCTGGGATTATAGGAGTGAGCCACCGCACCCGGCCAAAATAATTTTTCAATATTGACAAAACAGTTTAAATATGTGCAGATAAATGGAGATGTAACCAGATTTTCCTCCACATGGGAAAACATGAGGTCATCTAAAGGAAAAATATTGCTGAAGGTAACATTTATTTGTATTTTTATTTTTGAGATGGAGTCTTGCTCTGTCTCCCAGGTTGGAGTGAGTGGTATGATCTCGGCTCATGCAATATCCGTCTCCTGGGTTCAAGCAATTCTCCTGCCTGAGCCTCCCGAGTAGCTGGGATTACAGGTGCCGGGATTACAGGTGCCCACCACCACACATGGCTAATTTTTGTATTTTTAGTAGAGACGGGGTTTCACCATTGTTGGCCAGGCTGGTCTTGAACTCCTGGCCTCAAGTGATCCACCCATCTCGGCCTCCCAAAGTGCTGGGATTACAGGCATGAGCCATTGCACCTAGCCGTGAAGGTAATATTTAAAATTTTGATATTCAGTGTTCAATCACAGAATGAGTTAAGGATGGAATAATACGGTAAATTGTAATTAACTGAGTACAATTCATTTCCAGTACATTTGCTTCTGCACAGCAACAATTAAAAACAAATTAAAAATTTTAAAAATGAATCAGGTTTTTTCCCATTTTTATTTTTCCACTTCTAACTGGACTCTGAAAGTTGCTGCAACAGAACAATTGCTATAATCCTTCTATTCTAAAGTCAGAATGTGTAGTCAATGTAAAATTTGTGATAGTTAACCAAAAAAGAAGCCAAAATTGTTTTGGAACATTTGTTTTAGTTTTTACTACAAATCAGGTAAGACTTTTTCTTTAGACTAGAAACCATGCCACTACTTTTAACTAAAAGCAGTCAGCTAATCTGCAAATTTAATCAGCCAATCAGTTAATTCAGAAAAAAGGGGGCACATAATCATAAAACTTATTTTTTCACGGAATTGATACATTGGCACTGTCAGACAGTTAAATTTATATGTGTATTGATCTACAATCTAAAATTTCAATAGTCAGTAGTCTCAGGCATTCATAATGCAAGATTTTCTTTTTTATTATTTATTTTCAAGAATTTTTGGAAGGATCATTGGGAATAAATTAATGGAAGAGAATGAAGAAAATAAAAGTCAAATAGTTCTTATCTTCTTTTTTTTTTTTTTTTTTTTTGAGACAGGTACTCAGTGCTCAAGCTGGAGTGCAGTGGCATGTTCTCGGCTCACTGCAGCCTCTGCCTCCGCCTCCCAGGTTCAAAGGATTCCCCTGCCTTAGCCACCCGAGAAGCGGGTGTGGGATTACAGGTGTGTGCCACTATGCTTGGCAAATTTTTGTATTTTTAGTAGAGACAGGGTTTCGCCATGGTGGCCAGGCTGGTCTCAAACTCCTGAGCTCAAACCATCCGCCTGCCTCAGCCTCCCAAAGTGCTAGCATTACAGGCATGAGCCACTGTGCCCGGCCCATTTTTTGACTCTTCTTCCATTTTTTCATTCTTTGAGTTTATAACAATGATTTTATTCTTTTCTGAGCATATTAATATAGACTATAACTTAAATATTAGTATATTGATATTTTAAAATTTTTGACATTCGTTTACCATGTTTCACTGACATAATGAAATCTTTTTTAGTGTACCTTGAAAACTTTTATTGAAGAAGGAATGAAATATTGCATTTTCAAAGACGGATAAGTTAGAATACAGGATTAGATAAAATTGCATTATCTATTATAGTTAAATTATTATCAAAACTAGATAAATATTCAAATGTATAAAGTGAAATATTCAAATGTGTAATATAACAAGGGAATTCATATAGTTTTCCATGTGAAAAAAGCAATTTAGCTAAAAAAATGATTTAGATGCATATAGACTTATAAATGCCTGATCTAACACTATATTTTTTTACTTAATTAATTTTGGTCTCATCAAATTTTCCGGTAACCCAGACAACTTTCCAGTTATCCAGCTAAAATTTCTGTAGTCAAAGGCTTAAATTTCATTAGGTGGCTGGCAAAGTAAACCCTACCTGGTCACAAAATTAACTTTCATTTACTAGGGCTAAGTTTCATTTGCTTTGTACCACATTTTTGACTGTTTGGTAAAGACATTGATATTCCATAGGAAATAAAATTTCTAGAACTTGGGAAGCACTGTAAATGAAAAAATTAATTTTGAAAAATAATTCTGAGTTCTTAATGTATCTTTTTTGTTTGTTTTTTCTAGTTTAAAATATAGCTTTGGGTAGAATGAAAAGAATTAAAGGAAGGAGATTCTCTTTTTAAAACATGTTTCTATGAAATAATAAATTACCAGAAGTGGAGAATAACTCTTGTAGGTTACAAGTATGCCTTTTGGTTATCAGTTGTCTTATGGAATTAAGAAATTAAAAATTAAATAATTTATCACCCTCATAAGATATTAAATGGATCTTCTGAAATCATTATAGTAAAGTCTTAGTTAAGTCTAGTGTTTAACAATAGTCGATTCAAAATATTCACATTTTTGTGTGTAAGAGAAACCTTTGAGAGTTCAACACTTATTTTATTTTTAGTTTTATTTATATGCCTTATTCAGTAAAGCACACAAATGTAATGATCTGCCTCAATAAATGTGTATTATATAACTCGTTAAGTAGTATTCAGATAGGTATATAATTGTGTGGGCATGTGATGACTACAGCTCAACGTGTACTGATGCTGGTCAAAACCAAGAGGTTAAACTTTTCAGATTATATCTGGTAGCAACTGTTAAGTGATTCCCCCCAAAAATGTTTACCCTGAGAATTTTTAGTTGGATTCTAGTTAATCAATCTTTTAGCGAATGATAAGTTAATATGTGGTTGTAGAAATATCACATTTTCAAACTCTGTAATTTTGTTCCTTTTACAATTATAAAGCCGAGTCTGCAGATGAATGGAGGGGTTCAACTGTTCCAGAGTATCTGAATTCATGTTACTTGGACTTACTGATTCTCCTGAACTCCAGAGATTCTTTTTTGTGGTATTTTCTGTCTTCTATTTAATGACCATGTTGGGCAACTGCCTGATTTTGCTCACTGTGCTATCCACCTCACACCTTCACTCTCCCATGTACTTCCTGCTCAGCAACCTGTCTCTCATTGACATGTGCCTGTCCTCCTTTGCCACACCAAAGATGATTATGGACTTTTTTGCTCTGCGTAAGACCATCTCTTTTGAAGGCTGCATTTCTCAGATCTTTTTTTGCACCTCTTCACCGGGACTGAGATTGTGCTGCTGATCTCCATGTCTTTTGACAGGTATATTGCCATATGTAAACCTCTCCATTATTCAACAATTATGAGCCAAAGAGTGTGTGTTGAGCTTGTGGCCGTTTCTTGGACAGTGGGCTTTCTGCATACAATGAGCCAATTAGCTTTTACCCTCTATTTGCCCTTCTGTGGTCCCAATGTTGTAGAGTTTTTTCTGTGATCTTCCTTTGGTCATCCAGCTAGCTTGTATGGATATTTATGTTCTTGGGATCTTCATGATTTCAACCAGTGGTGTGATTGCTCTTATAAGTTTTCTGCTTTTGCTCACCTCCTACATCATTGTTCTTATTACTGTCAGGGACTACTCCTCCACAGGATCCTCCAAGGCTCTTTCTACCTGTACAGCACATTTTATTGTTGTGTTAATGTTCTTTGGGCCCTGTATTTTCATTTATGTGTGGCCTTCCACAAACTTCCTGGTAGACAAAATTCTCTCTGTTTTCTATACCATCTTCACTCCCTTTCTGAATCCACTTATCTATACTTTGAGAAACCAGGAAGTGAAGACAGCAATGAAGAAGAAACTGAATATTCAGTATTTCAGTCTTGGGAAAACTGCTCCGTGATTCTTCATGCAATGAATAGAGATCTCCTTTGTGAGATATAATATCAACAGTTATGCTCTTAGAGCAATCAAAAAATTAAACTTAGAATTTACTTTTCAAATCATTTAGTTTAGATTTATGAAAAGAAGTCAGGGATAAGAAACGTGCGACATCTTGATGAAAAGTTAGCGCAGTGTTTACAAACCTTTTGAGTTATGGGTCTATTTGATAATCTGGTGAAATGTAAAGGTTATTTTCATAGAAAAATGAACATATCATCAAAATTGTGAACATAAATTCAGGACTTCATAGACCTCTGGATCCTACAAACATACCTCGGATTAAGACTACTTAAAAAAGCCTGAGATAAAATATGAATCTCCTGTTTTCTAATCCAGAATATTCCCATTCTGTACAGCCTTGTGGTACTCTGATGGTGTTTAGATTAATTTAGAACTATAATTAGCAGTGTAGGACAAAACAAGTATAACACTGGAAATACTTTTATGGGAAAATTTATACTGTGAAGAGATTCTTTTAGGTAATGTTCAACAATCTTGATTTAAGGGGTTCAGTTTTTCAAGTTCTGTGTCAACTTTGAAAATAAGAGAACAGTTCAAAGATTCAGAAATTTAACAATACAGTTTCTTAATAGGTGTTTATACCACTGTCACACTTCATAATTAATATAGCAAATAATCAAATAATAATTTGTAAAGTTTAAATCATAGACAGTAAACTACTCAAATCTGACTGGCTTTCAAAATCTGGCTGAAAATTATAAGTATGATGAACTTATTGACTACCAAGACTCAATGTTTGGGAAAAATATTAGCTATTAAATTAATCATAAGTTTTTCATTTCCAAAATAAATATTGCAGCATATTATTAGTCTTAGAAGAAGCTTTGTGTCTAATTTTCAACATAATGTAACCTGTGGAAAGAAAGGAAAAAAAGAATTTAAGAAATACATAGCATGATTCTCCCTAATTTGGTATATTATTGATCATGTTAAATAGATTTTTTATTACAAGACAGTCTTTGGAAATCAGCCAGCCAATCCAATTTTCTAACAGCTGAAGTATTGAAGGTCCAGAGAATTCACAGGACAGATTTAAGGCTGAATTACTGTAAGGGGCAAAGACATTTCTCTAGACAAACATGGACCCTGGAATTAAATCTTGATTCTGTCATTTCCTAGTTGTATAATCCCTGGGGATTGACTTTACCTCTCTCCCTTTCTCATCTCTAAAAAGATTGTAAAAGGTAAATTAAATATTTATCATGACTGTTTTATGGAAAGTACACAGAATGGGTTCTAAAAATGTCATTTCTATTTCCCCATAACTTCTTCCCAAAATACATCTTATATTAAAGTAGTATGCCTTTGAAGAATAACGTCTTTCAAAAAAAGTCACTAGCAGGTTAAATTCGATATTCTAGTTTTAGGATGTCTCTAAGACTGCAGCTTGTTAAGACATATGACAGAAAAACGAATAGAACGTTTTCCAGTTTTTCATTACTAATATGGTTGGGGTGACAAAACTAGGTTAGACTGCATGGTATTTTGATATACTGATAAAAATGTGTCTACTTAAAATGACTGACGTATATAAAAAGAGTTCTGGAAGCAATCGGTCATCATAGATTTGAACAGCGAGTAGCATGAGAAAAACACGACTTTGCCTTGCAAAGAAAGAAATGGCATTAATAGTTTTGCCACTTAAAAGTCCAAGATAATTGTAAAACATGCTTCAACACAACCTCCAAGCCAAATATTTAACATTAAATAATGTGCAGAAGCTTATGAAGGAATGTAGTGTTGGAGCTAGATAGAAAACCACATTTTAATTTTGAAACACTAGTTCATTTTAACAAATTATAAACTCTTCCTTATGTCAGCTAAGCAAATAAAAAAAAGGTTAAGGTGGAAATGTACTTTTACCTCATTTTGACTTTTCTGCCAAAATTCTCATCTTTGTTTTTGGATATAAATCTCTGCTCCTGAAATGTCAATCTTTAGTTCAATAATTATTTGTTGAACATCTACTCTGTTTCAGGCCCTCGCTGGGTGCCGGAGATCCACTAAAATACAAAATCTGTTTCTCTGTCTTTGAGGGACATGTATCCAGCAATCAGTTAGATCAGTCTGTGGTAGGTGTCGATTCCAGTGTCACAAATTTCTTGTTTTGCAACGTTGAGCAAGTTTTTTTCAATGTTTCTAAGCCTCAGTTTTTTTACCTACAAAATGTGGTAATAATATTTAACCATTAGTAATGTTGTGAAAATTAAGCAAAAATACATGTAATATATTTAACGATGCTTGGTGTTCATTAATGCTTTAATAAATACTAACTAATTATATTTTTGTTATTTTTGCTGTTGTGTTAAACATGCATAAGATAGCAGGTACTAGAATGGAAATAAGGGTTCTTACTTGAAATTAAATGGCAGAATTTCATACTGTAATAGGATGTATCGATTTACCTAGTATTAATTATTGTTAAAATACTGGATTTTTGTCAATTATTATTAGTCTTTGATGCATTTCTGTTTAGCATTGTCCTTTGTATGTGTTGGCCTTTGCATATTTTTCCAAAGAAGTATTATACTTTTGGGGTTTCTTATTTTGAATTGAAGAATATGCCAAGATTGCATAAAAGGGAAAAATAATAAATACACTATGTTCAATAGGTCAATGTCTTGTTTTTTGTTTTTTTCACAATGATTTTAAATTAAATAAACATAGTTAAAAACTCTGAAGTATTTTGTCCCTCATATCTTACCCATTCAAAAGATAGTAATGGAAAAGCTGTCTTATATATATTAACTGAGAAGTAAATGACTTAATAGTTATCTATTGAATTTTTTAAAAACACGTTAATAAATAAGGCAGACTTTGTCCAGATTTATAAAAATATAATAAATTTTTTATTTTGAGACATGGTAGAATGTACTGTTCAGGAAATTGTTAAAAATAAAACCATAAAATTAAAGCATGAAGTAAGATATTTCATCTGACTAATAAAGTCCTAAAGCTGGAGAATAAATATCTAATCTCTACCAGGGAATTTCTGGTAGTGGAGCTCATTTGGGGGGAATCAGTTAAGCCCTGAACTGTGCCCTCAAAGCCTTACTCATGGAGCCTGGTTAAAATTTCTGCATAAATACAGCATGTCAGATTAGCCATTCTTCAACATGTTACACATGCCAATATCTGAATATGGCTCTCACATTTGCAGTACCCTTGACTCTTCCTCAGACTGCAGTTTAGGTGACTCACTCTAGAGCCCTTGTCATCAAAGAAGGAAGATGAGTCAGAGGTACAAAGAAAAGAAATTGGAGGTAGAATGAGAGGAAAAATGGATGTAGTCAAATAAATAATTAGCTATTAATAAATTCACAATTTTGATTCCCCCTTTTTTCTCATCCACTACTCCATACAATCCACTAAATAGTCCTCCTATTTTAAAAATATGTATTGACTTAATTTATGTCTCTTCATCTCTGCTGCCACTGCTAGTAGTACCACCTCACAGTATACTATTATAGGGTAGTACATAGAGTACTGCTTAGTCAATACCATTGCAACGACCTGCGAGTTGGCCTCTCTACCTTTCTCCTCATGGTTTCCCATCTTCATTCTCCACATAACAGCAAGAAGTATTTCCAAAACATAAATGTGAGCATGAGGAACAGTGGAGCACAGGTTGAATTCTTCATCTGTATATCATATACTCTCAAGAGGTCTATGAATAGAATCCAGGAGGTCTGGGGACCTAGGTGAAAAAAATCACACATGTATTTTTTTTACTAATATCTAATTGACCTGTAACATTTCTTTCAATTATGAATGTAATCAGTATTATCAATACTTGTAATAATGTCATCACAAATAGATTTATGTCATAAAAAGCTGTTGCAGACATCTCACAGGATTGTTAAAGATCACTATTTCATTTTATTTTTTAACTTTTAAGTTCAGGGGTACAAGTGTAGGTTTGTTACACAGGTAAACTTGTGTCATGGGAGTTTGCTGCACTGATTACTTCATCACCCAGGTATTAAGCCTACTAATCATTGGTTATTTTTCCTGATCCTCTCCCTCCTCCTACCCTCCTCCCTCTGAAAGGCCCCACTGTCTGTTGTTCTTCTTTGTGTCCATGTGTACTTAATGTTTAGCTCTTACTTATACATGAGAACATGCAGTATTTGGTCTTCTGTTTCTGTGTTAGTTAGCTAAGGATAATGACTTCCAGCTCCATCCATGTCCTGGCAAAGGACATGATCTCATTCTTTTTATGGCTGCATAGTATTCCATGGTGTATATGTACTACATTTTCTTTATCCAGTCTATCATTGATAGGCATTTAGGTTGATTCCATGTCCTTGATATTGTGAATAGAGCTGCAATGAACATATACATGCATAGGTCTTCATAATAGAATAATTTATATTGCTTTAGCTATATACCCAGTAATGGGATTGCTGGGTTAAATGGTATTTCTGTCTTTAGGTCTTTTTGAGGAATTGCCACAGTGTCTTGCACAATGGCTGAACTAATTTACACCCCCTCCAACAGTGTGTAAGCGTTCCCTTTTCTCTACAACCTCGACAACATCTGTTATTTTTTGACTCTTTAGCAACAGCCATTCTGACTAGTGTGAGATGGTATCTTATTGTGGTTTTTACTTGCATCTCTCTAATAATCAGTGATGTTGAGTTTTTAAAATATGATTATTGGCTGCATGTATGTCTTCTTTTGAAAATTGTTCATGTCCTTTGCTCACTTTTTAATGGGTTGTTATTTTCTTGTAAATTTGTTTAAGTTCATTATAAATGACAGATATTAGACATTTATCAGATGCATAATTTGAAAAAATGTTCTCCTTTTGTGTAGGTTGTGTGTTTACTCTGTTGATAGTTTCTTTTGCTGTGCAGAAGCTCTTTGGTTTAATTAGATCTCATTTGTCAATTTTTGCTTTTGTTGCAATTGCTTTTGGCATTTTCATCATGAAATCTTTTCCCTTGCCTATGCCCTGAATGGTATTGCCTAGGTTGTCTACCAGGGATTTTATAGTCTTGGGTTTTACATTTAAGTCTTTTAACCATCTTGAGTTAATTTTTGTATATGGTGTAAGGAAGGAGTTCAGTTTTGATCTGCTGCATATGGCTAGCCAGTTATCCCAACACCATTTATTGAATAGAGAATTCATTTTCCATTGCTTGTTTTTGTCAGGTTTGTCAAATATCAGATAGTTGTAGGTGTGTGGTCTTATTTCTGGGTTCTCTATTCTGTTTCATTAGTCTATGTGTCTGGTTTTGTACCAGTGCCAAACTGTTTTGGTTACTGTAGCCCTGTAATATAGTTTGAATTCAAGGAGCGTGATGCCTTCACCTTTGTTACTTTTGCTTAGGATTGCCTTGATTATTCAGTCTCTTTTATGGTTCTATATGAATTTTAAAATAGTTTTCTCTAGTTCTGTGAAGAATGTCAATGGTAGTTTGATGGAAATAGCACTGTGTCTATAAATTGTGTTGGGCAGTATGGCCCCTTTAACGATATTGATTCTTCCTATCCATGAGCGTGGAGTATTTTTCCATTTGTTTGTGTCATCTCTGGTTTCTTTGAGCAATGTTTTGTAGTTCTCCTTGTAGAAATATTTCACCTCCCTAGTTAGCTTTATTGCTAGGTATTTTATTCTTTTTGTGACATTCGCTATTAGATTGCGAATGGAATTTCATTCCTGATTTGGCTCTCAGCTTGACTGTTGTTCATGTATAGGAATACTAGTGATTTCTGAACATTGATTTTGTATCCCAAGACTTTACTAAAGTTGTTTATCAGCTTAAGAATCTTTTGGGCTGAGACTATGGGGTTTTCCAGATACAGGATCATGTCATCTGCAAGCAGGGATAGTTTGACTTCCTCTCTTCCTATCTGAATGCCCTGTATTTCTTTCTCTTGCCTAATTGCCCTGGCCAGAACTTCCAATACTACATTGAATAGGAGTGGTAAGAGAGGGCATCCTTGTCTTGTGCCAGTTTTCAAGCGGAATGCTTCCAGCTTTTGCCCACTCAGTATAATGTTGGCTGTGGGTTTGTCATATATGGCTCTTAATATTTTGAGGTATGTTCCTTCAAAGTCTAGTCTGTTGAGTGTTTTTATCATGAAGGAATGCTGACTTTTATTGAAAGCCTTTTCTGCATCTACTGAGATAATGATGTGGTTTTTGTTTTTAGTTCTGTTTATGGATCATTACTATTTTAAAATTGGTTTAGCTATTAGATTCTCACTAGATCTTATTCAGTGTGTTCAGAAAGCACTTGTATTACTATATCACAATTGAAAAAATATTTGAATACTACAGTTTAGTATAATTGATTTTCTTTGTGTTCTTATATTCTTAAGTTTAATTTATTTTTAATTGACAATAATTCTACATATTTATGTGGTACATAGTGATGTCATACATACAACATGTAGAGATCAGATCAGGGTAGTTAGGTAGTTAGCATACCCATCATTTCAAACATTTATCATTTTTTGTTGGGAGTATTTGATATCTTTTCTTCTAGCTATTTGAACATATAAAGAATATTATTTTTGGCTATAGTCATCCTACAGTTCTATAAAACATAAGAACTTTTCTCTAATCTAGCTGTGATTTTGTGTCCTTTAACAAATATCTCCCTTTCTCCTTTTTTCTCTACATTTTTCAGCCTCTAGTAATCTCTATTCTGCTTTTTCCTTCTGTAAGATCGAACTTTTTTTTCTTTGTTTTTTTTTTTTTTTTTTTTTTTGAGATGGAATCTCACCCTGTTGCCTAGGCTGGAGTGCAATAGCATGATCTCTGCTCACTGCAACCTCCGCCTCCGGGCTTCGAGCGATTCTCCTGCCTCAGCCTCCCAGAATAGCTGGGAATACAGGTGCCTGCAACCATGCCCGGCTACTTTTTGTATTTTTAGTACAGACAGGGTTTTGCCATGTCGGCCAGGCTGGTCTCAAACTCCTGACAGGCGATCCGCCCGCTTTGGCCTCCCAAAGTGCTGGGATTACAGGCGTGAGCCACCGTGCCTGGCCAAGATTAACTTTTTAAAATTTCCACATAAAAATGAGAACATGTGATGAACAGCTTTTTGTTCCTGCTTTATTTCACTTAACATAATGTACCCCAGTCCCATACATGTTGTTGCAAATAACATGATTTCATTATTTTTATAGCTGAGTAATATTCCATTGTATACATGTACTGCATTAAAAAAAATCTCTTCATCTGCTGTCAGACACGGGTTGATTCCATGTCTTGGTTATTGTGAATAGTGCAGCAATAAATATGAGGCTACAGATGTCTCTTTCATATATCGATTTTCTTTCCTTTGGATAAATGCCCAGTAGTGGGATGGATGGATCATATGGTAGTTCTATTTGTAGTTTTGTTTTGTTTTTTAAAGGAAACTCTGTATCATTCTTCATAGTGGCTGTGCTAGTTTATATTCCCACCAATAGTGTATAAGAGTTCCCTTTTCTGGCTCACGTTTGATCCCAGCACTTTGGGAGGCCGAGACAGGCAGATCACGAGGTCAGGAGATAGAGACCATCCTGGCTAACACGGTGAAACCCCGTCTCTACTAAAAATACAAAATATTAGCCGGGCGTGGTGGCGGGCGCCTGTAGTCCCAGCTACTCGGGAGGCTGAGGCAGGAGAATGGCGTGAACCCGGGAGGCGGAGCTTGCAGTGAGCCGAGATCGCACCACTGCACTCCAGCCTGGGTGACAGAGTGAGACTCCGTCTCAAAAAAAAAAAAAAAAAAAGAGTTCTCTTTTCTCCACATCCTCACCAGAATTTATTATTTTGTCTTTTTGATAATAGCCATCCTAACCAGGGCGAGACAACCTATCATTGTGGTTTTGATTTGCACTTTCCTGATGATAAGTGATGTTGAGCATTTTTTCCATATATTTATTGGCCATTTGTAATTCCCTGTATATTTTATCTTATGCGTGCAAGATATTATTCTGAGAAGGGTTCAGACTTCACCAAACTTCCAAAGGGATATACGATGCATTTGTATATGCACACACACACATACACACACACACACACACACACACACACACACACACACACAGCTAGGAACCCCTGCAGTGGGGATCGAGAGCACCATAATTGAAACTGGATTGCCTGATTTGAATCTAAATTTTCACCATTTACCAGGTTTGTGGCTTGGGGAATGTGAATTAGCTTCTCTATTCTAATTTTCTCATCATCTTCTAAGCAGAGTTTGTAAGTTAGCAGGCTGCAAGCCACAACTGTCCTCTATTCCCAACATGTTTTGTGTTCCCTCAAAGATTTTTAAAGAAATCAAGTTAATTACCAAAATTAGATAGTGGAAAATTTCACAAACAAATATAGATTTATTTATTTTCATGAAAAATGAAACAACAAACAAGCCTGACAATATTTGGCCAGAATTCCAAGTTGGAGCTGAGCTTGTAGATCGAATTACAACCAGAGGCCTCGTCTCTCTGTTTTGTTTTGCACCAGGTCACTCCATTCATATATATTACACCAGCAATTCTGCCTACATGAATAGAGCAGCCTGGTGCAAAACAGAACATGCCCTTTCTACTACCATGCCTACAACTTTTTTTGCATCTCTAACTCTCACTTTACTGTAATCCACCCTTGTTCCTAGCCTTTCATGCCTTACTCTCAACCAACATAGCATTCGTTGAATCACCAGGAATATAATGTTCTTACAAATTAATCCTATATGAGACATTAGGTCAAGCAGGGTTATAGAATCTGTTATACTTCCATCCTCTTCTTGTGTTATACCTCTCTCCCCTTGTGTCCTGATTCGTTTTCTGTTTGCACTCTAGCAGAAATCTGTTTTCAGTCATTGGCATTTCATTACACATTGAAGAGCTATGCTAGCACTTCCAAGGATACGTCTAATTATAAGAGGATGGGATTTTTCTCTAGATGAAGTATCTCAGAATTAGTAGGGAGGAGATGACTGTCATAAGTTGGATTTTCTGCCTTTTAGGCTCCTCTCAGTAAAGATAATCCAGGAAATGTTTTTTGGCCCTTTTTACATATCAGAATCTGTGAGATGTACTGAGGAAACAGAAATGATAATACAACTTTCCTATCCTTGAAGAGATTATATTCTAACAAGAGGAAAGATAATTGCCATGGTATAAATTTGCATTCAGTGATATGGGAACCTAGGAAAAGGCAAGTCTGAATGTCCCTTGCAAAGTCAGAGTAAGCTTAGAGATCAGAGGTAGTGCTGAATTTGAGATCTGGATGACAGGTTGGAGTAAAATAAGCCAGGAAGGGAAGAGCATGAACAAAGGCAGAGGAGCATAAAATGCCCAATGAATTCAGGAGCTGCATTTGGTTTACTATTGCTGGAGCACAAGATATTAAGTTAGTAGTAGTGGAAAGAGAATCTGTGCTGATAGGAGGTGGTCAGAGCCTTGGATGCTACTATAATAAAAACATTAGGCCTATTGTAGAGGTGATGGGGAAGCATTGATTAAGTGGGGGCAGACTACCAGCAGCTGCTTAACTTTTATCCAGTTTCTGCTGTGAGAACTTTTTACAGACTTCTCGGGTGATTTGCTGAGGAAGTTTTATCTTATTTTTCTATGTAGTGGATAAAAAGGTGCTAAACATATAGTCTGCACTTGAAGACTATATTGGAGCTACAGAAGAAAAGTTACCCTTGTTCTTCTTGTCTCTTTCTACCCCTGCTGTATAACTTTGAATTTGCTTGTTTGACCCACATACTGAGACTTGGCTTATGTGGAGTTATGTGGACTATTAGCCTAGTAATTTCCAGACCGAAGTCTCTCTTTTTCCTCTTACTACCTTCTTTCCTCATCACCTTATGTCTTGAAGCAAATTCTCAGAGTCTCTTTACCTCCCATACTCTGAAATGACCTATTGGTTTCTAGAAATCTGTTCCTCTGCATTGCAATTCTTGCATTTTCACAGATGTGGCAGTTGGTGGAAGCCTAGACATTAAGATGATAGAACACCTGGAGGGGAGCAGGAAGGACTGCCAAAGAGATCTAGATATCCCTCACAAGGGAGGCACTGCTCAGCACTTGTTTTTCCAGGTGTGAAGTATCCTGACCTGATACTAGTTTTGACAATTTTCATCCACTATTGATGAATATCATATATTTATTTATTCTCAAATATTTATTACTAAAAGTTTATAATGTGATGGGCATTATTTTATGGATTACAGAAAAAATAGCAGTGAGGCTTGGAAATAGAAAGCAACAAATTACTACAATGTAGGATTCTGCCTACCTCCACAGCCCTATTTTGCATTTTTCTCCCCCTTGAACACTAACTTCCCTTTTCTTCTAGTGTGCCGGGCTCCATGCTGTTGGGGCCTTTCCCAAATGCTATTATATCTGTGTAATGATATCCATTTTCTCAACCTGCCTGTGTCCTGTACATGTACCCTCAGGACTAAACCTTGATGGAATTTCTCCAAGAAGTCTTCCAATGACCACAGCAACCGGGGAAGGTTCCAACATTATATGTTCTTTTGCTATTCTATACATGTTCCTAATAGTGCACAGCATAATTATAATTAGAAATGATTATGCTATCCTTTATTGAATACCTTTATATCCCCCCTCTAGACTAGAATTCCTTGAGGGTAGAGCGAAATACATCATATTTACTCTCTATTGCCAACAAGTAACAGAAGGTCTGGCATACAGATACTCATGCACTTGTTGAAATATTAAATGAGCTGCAATGATAGAAGTATCTGCAGGTTAGTTTTGGAATATAGAGGAGGGATTGGCCAATTATGACAGGTATAAAGGAAGGTTAATTGATGTAACAGAATGTGGTGATAGTCTAGTAGAATCTTAAAATAGGATCTTAGGACAGCAGGATTGAGGGGAGAGCATTCTAGGCAAAAGGAAGAGCATATGCAAAATGTGGAGGGTAAAACAACATGATGTGTTCTGAGAAGCGGAACTCATCCATCAGTTTAGAAGAAAAAGATGCTGGTTAGGAGACTGGTAAGCTATGAAGCTAAAGATTTAGGCATTTAGATAAACATTAAACTACTTATAAAGGCAATTTTCTATTTACAAATGTGCATACCTTTTGAAATAAAATCTTATTACTGAGGATTTATTCTATGAATATGTCTGGATATGCAAGAAATGGTATATGTTCACTATTACTTATCGTGGCACTATAATAAAATAAATAGGAGAAAACTTCATTACCTATCAATAAGATACAAATTAAATAAATTATCCATAGAGTGAAATAATATGAAATGGTAAAAATAATTAGAACTCTCTGTACTGATATTAAAAGCTCTCTTCCATACTATTAAGTAAACAAAAAAAAAGTTCAGATATGTAAAACGAATACTCATTTTAAATGATAAGAGGCAAAAAGTATTAATCTAACCAAATCTGCTTGTATTTGGTTAAAGAAAACACAGATATGGTAACAAAAATTAAATAAAATTAATAAAGTAGATTCAGATGCGTGTGTGTTTGTGCATGTGTATGCATACATGCAAGGGAAACTGGAGAGATAAGAGCAGGGATGGAAAGCACACTTTCAATTTTATATATTTTGATATTATTCTGATTTATTCTTTTTTATTATATTACCTTATTTTTATTTTAGTATTATACCATGCTTCAGTTTTATCTTCTTATCAAGGTTGATATACACCCTTTCTTTATAGAATTTCTTATCAATATCTTTATTTAAACAGTTACATTTTTAATTATGAACATGACAATTTCAGCAAAAATAATGTACCAACTTTGTGCCAATAGTAGTGGAGGATGCAAAGGAAGGCAAAATCTAGTGCTCTGGAGAATCTTCCAATTTAGTCAGGAAGACATGCAGCACATAACTAGGTGTATGTGTAAGTATTTTACCATAGGTCTACAACATTCATGACATAATCTCAGCTGCACAGGGCAATGGGAACACCTTAAGTATTGTCAGGTAAAATAATAAGAAAATGTAAGTGATATTTTAGCAGTCAGTTATGCTCACTACCTGGGTGATGAGATCATTTGTACCTCAAACTTCAGCATCATGCAATATACCCATGAAACAAACCTGTACGTGTACCCTCTGAATATAACGTAAAAGTTGAAATGTTTTGTACATATTATGGGGTACATGTGATGTTTCGATACAGGCATACAATGTCTAATGATCAAATCTGGGTAACTGAGGCATCCATAACCTCAAGCGTTTATCATTTCTTTGTGTTAGGAGCACTCCAGTTCAACTCATTTCGTTATTTTTAAATATACAGTAAATTATTGTTAATTATAGTCACCCTATTGTGCTACCGAATACTAGACCTTATTCCTTCTGTCTAACTGTATTTTTGTACCCATTAGCTATATCCTTTTTACCTCTCCCTCCCCACTACTCTTCCCAGCCACCAGTAGCCATCATTTTATTCTCTCCATGAATTCAATTTTTTTAGCTCCCAAATATGAGTGAGAACATGTGATATTTGTGTAAGTCAGCTTAATAGACAGCTTCTGAACAGCTTGGCTAAAGAAACATACATTGTATTTTTTTCTTTTTTTTTTTCCTAACTAATGTTGGTGAGGATGTGGATAAAAGGGAACCTTCGTATGCTCTTGGTGGGAATGTAAACTGGTACAGCCACTATGGAGAACATTATGGAGTTTCCTTAAAAAACTAAAAATAGTACTACTATATAATCCAGCAATCCCATTCCTGGGTACATATCCAAAAGAAAGGAAATCAGTATATTGAAGAGATATCTGCTCTCTCATGTTTATTTCAGCACTATTCAAATAGCCAAATATGGAATCAACCAAAGTGTCTATCAACGGACGAATGGATAATTAAACTGTGGTACACATACACAGTGAAATATTTTTCAGCTATACAAATGATGAAATCCTGTTATTTGCAAAAGCATGGATGGAACTGAAGGACATCATGTTAAGTGAAGTAAATCAGGCATGAAAAGACAACTATCACATGTTCTCACTCAATTTCTCATATCTCAGCTAAAAATAATTGAACTCATGGAGAGAGAAAGTAGAATGATGGCTACTGGAGACTAGGAAGGGTAGTGGGGAGGGAGATATAAAGAGGATATGGTTAACGGGTACAAAAATACAGTTAGAAGGAATAAGGTCTAGTATTCGGTAGCACAATAGGGTGACTATAGTTAACAATAATTTATTGTATATTTAAAAATAACTAAAACAGTTGAACTGGAGTGCTCCTAACACAAAGAAATGATAAACGCTTGAGGTTATAGATGCCTCAGTAACCCAGATTTGATCATTACACATTGTATGCCTGTATCAAAACATCACATGTACTGTATAAATATATACAACTATTATGTATTCATAGTATTTAAAACAGTACTATGATTTTTGAAACATGGGAACATATTATCTATTAAAAACATACTGGAAATATAAAATGGAAGCAAGGAAGGAGGGAAGGAAGGAAGAAAGGAAAGCAAGTCCAGATTAAATCCTGGCTCCATAATTTATTAGTGGTACAATGTTAGTTAAATCACTTAAACTTGACCGGGCGCGGTGGCTCACGCCTGTAATCCCAGCACTTTGGGAGGCCGAGGCGGGCGGATCACAAGGTCAGGAGATCGAAACCATCCTGGCTAACATGGTGAAACCTTGTCTCTACTGAAAATACAAAAAATTAGCCGGGCGCGGTAGCGGGCGCCTGTAGTCCCAGCTGCTCGGGAGGCTGAGGCAGGAGAATGGCGCGAACCCAAGAGGCGGAGCTTGCAGTGAGCCAAGATCGCACCACTGCACTCCAACCTGGTGGACAGAGCCAGACTCCGTCTCAAAAAAAAAAAAAAAAATCACTTAAACTTTTCTCAATTTTTCCATGTCCAAAATAATAATAATAATAACAGTAATAATAATATATACCTCATACAATGTTAAGAATTCAATTAATATTTAACACACAAACTTAATTAATTACAACATATTTATTAATATATAATTAATTAAGCATCTCTGGCAGAGTGTGATGCATATTGAATATTATATGTTACATATTAGTACAGTTTAATTTCCATCCTGAAGAAGATTGTTGTCTTGCCTCAGAGGCTTCTCAGGGCATTTCCTCTCAAAGCTCAGTGTCATTAACAGACACATGGTGATTAACCAGGTTCACCAGAACCACTTGAGGGATATCAAATCGGGGTCTCATTTCCTACAGACTCTGAACTCACAGAACTGTGATTTCCTACTCAATTAACAAATTTTCATGGCCATGATACAGAATGTGTAACACATCTCTTGATATATTTGCTTTTCTCTGTGTTAGAAAACTAGGGGTCATTAGCATTAACATAAAAGCAAACACTAGAAAATGTCTCTCTGCATCCCTCCTTTTCTGTAGAAACTTGGTAGGTAAAGTCCTGGTGACTGGGTTTCTGAGGACCACAGATACCAGGTGTGGTTCCATCCATTTTTATGGTCTTTCATATATTAATAGAAATCCCATCAGCTTCTCTTTCCCTTACTTCCTCACCACTCTTTTCCTATTTGGGATCCTCTCAGTCACCCCCCTAGAAATCAGCTTTTAGGAAGTTTTATACGTGAACTACCATTGGACAAAATGAATTGGAAGGCAGGAATCCTACACACCAGAATATTAGAGCTTGAAAGGACCTCAGAGAAGATTTAATCACATCAGTGGCTTGCAGAGGGTCCCATAGCTAATGACAGAATTTGACAGGAACATTTGATAATCTCTGAAATTCTTTTCACTTCAACATTTCTATGATTACTATATTTTATATTCAAAGAGTAATGGAATAGCAATAAGGAAAATATAAAAAGGACATTTATTTAGAAAAAGATAATTACTGTACTTCAAAAAGTGTAACAAGTCACCACTTTAACTGTTCACTGAATCAAATACTATAGCAGATACTAAAAACGAAGCAAAACAAAACAAATTTGCCAACAATTGAACAACAATAACAAAACAAAAAAACAAGAAAGGGAAAAGTCCGCTCTCAAAATGCTTATCAACTATGAGAAGAAATAATACAGTCTGAAGAATTGTTTAGGTAACAATATATTGCAATGCATAAAATCAATGATGTAAGACATATTAGCTCTGAAAAAAATAAAGACAGAGAAGTCAATAAAAGAATTGAAGAAGATTCCCTGAAGAGACGGGGCTTAGATTAAACCTTGAAGGGTGACGTTATAAAACTGCACTGTATTTTAGTTCTAAAACCATTGAAAATTTTGAAACAAATATTGTAAAATTATTTTAAAAATAGATTTTCTGGAAAAAGAGTGGGACACAATTATAACTGACCAGAAAAAAATGGCATATCAAACACATTCTTTCTTTGTCAAGTTTCCTATAGTGAAGTTTCACAATTCCCCGACCACGTCTCATATGGAAGAGCACTTTGCTGACTATCATCTCAGCTTCTAAGATGAGCTGGGGAAAGTAGTTGTTTAAGTAGAGGCAATGTATTTGCTGTGGGGAGAGAAGTATGACTAAAGGAACTTTTATGCCAGGAATGAAGTTTGGTGCTGAGGTCTCAGTGTTTGAAGCTCATCTAGTTTGAGACAACTCTCAATTTTCTTTGTGCATGTATACATTGAATTTTTTGCACAATGGGAAGTGTTTTTACATCTCTCTACATTTACTCCTGGTTTCATTTATTAGACCATAATTAGAAATCAACTTCTAAAATCATGTAAACTCAATGGAGGTAAATAAGGAACAGAAAAATCTAGTCAATTAAAAAAAGAAAAAGTGAAGAAATAAATTAAATGACTCTACAGAACCACACTTCAGATAGCTTTGATTAGACCAACAACTCTTGGAGTTTAAGACATAGCATCTTGAAATTATACTTAATAGTCCCTTAAAGTGTTTGCTAGGTACGTCTTTAACAATGAACCATGGACACTCAGTGTTAGGCTTTTCTGTGACTATGAGAATCAAAGATTAAAGAGCATGCTCAGATAAGTGATTGTCAATAGACAATATGAGGCAGGGAAAGAGAGGACTCCATCAATGGATGGATTAGAATGGGAACTGGAATACGCCTTTACTCAAATTTTCTTAGGTTGGTGATTATATGACCTATCTGTATTTTTTCCTTAGGGTTAATTTCCCAGGTTGCTTTCCTAAGGCTTAGAACTGATGGCTTTACTTTACAGCATATGCAAACTTTAATATAATGGAAACCATGACATTTATTTGGTTATAATTCCGGTAATGTATATATTAAGATGCTGAACAGGCACACAAAATTCATAGCCTGATAAGGAAACAATTATACTATATTCTCAACCTCAATCAGCCAACCATCGAACATTGACTAAAACAAAATATGAACAACCCAACTTAAGAGATTTGGTCTTATTACAAGGACTGAGAAGGCAGGTTTATAATGTTCCGAGAGCCATATAAATAAAGAACATTATTACTATTTTTTGTTTAACCTTTATTCATTATTAGATCTCTCCAGTAATCATTAAACACATTCATAAATTGAATTGGCTGTACTTCATCACAAGAAACACTTTTAAGATTACGTCTTTTTAACTATGCCAACTTCCTTAACTTTTACAGCAATTTTAAACAAGTAAGGCAGTTTACAGTTGGTACAGGCTCAATATAAACCCATAGAAACTATTGAGTCAGTATAGTAAGATGTATATTCATTTCTTTATCGTTGTTAAATTATCTATCCACCTATATTGCCATATGTATATATATGTATCCACCCATCCATCAACTTATTAATCTATCTGCCCATATACTTACCTATTGGCTATTTTATCTATTCGACTCCTTAAAATCTATTCATCAGTCATCTAAATATCCATCTGTATTTATACTCAGGCTAAGGAAATATTACTCAGAATATTATGTAAATTTTGACAATTCTAGGGAATTGGCTAATTATTAGTGATTACAATAGCTCAGTTTTATACATTAAACATTTCTTCTACATGTAGCTCTCAGAATGACAATGACCAAAATGCTCTTGGAGATAATCTGGCCCTAGTTCAATAGAGAGGAAAAGGAAGAGAGAGACAGAGAGAGAGAGAGCATCTTTTATGCTAGATTCTTTCATTGAATAGCTTACTTGGGAAAGTAACATCATTCCCTGGTTCTCAATTTCATCATCTGTAGAATAAATAGATTTGACTAGATGATTTGTATTTTCTAAAACCTCCACTTATTAGATATATATGTTGAGGAACCTCTGTTTAATGAAGTCCTTACATCAAATACTGTGTTTAACCATAGGGAGAATGGCTCAGATCCTTTAAACCCCACTATTTACAATGTGGCTTTGGATTAAAAAATGGTACAGTAGCGCCCTCACCCTCGCCCTCGCCCTCTTTGCACGGTCTCCCTCTGATGCCCAGCCGAGGCTGGACTGTACTGCCGCCATCTCGGCTCACTGCAACCTCCCTGCCTGATTCTCCTGCCTCAGCCTGCCGAGTGCCTGGGATTGCAGGCGCACGCCGCCACGCCTGACTGGTTTTTGTATTTTTTGGTGGAGACGGGGTTTCGCCGTGTTGGCCGGGCTGGTCTCCAGATCCTGACCGCGAGTGATCTGCCAGCCTCGGCCTCCCGAGGTGCCGGGATTGCAGACGGAGTCTCACTCACTCAGTGCTCAATGTTGCCCAGGCTGGAGTGCAGTGGCGTGATCTCGGCTCGCTACAACCTCCACCTCCCAGCCGCCTGCCTTGGCCTCCCAAAGTGCCGAGATTGCAGCATCTGCCCGGCCGCCACCCCGTCTGGGATGTGAGGAGCGTCTCTGCCTGGCCGCCCATCGTCTGGGAAGTGAGGAGCATCTCTGCCCGGCAGCCATCCCGTCTAGGAAGTGAGGAGCGCCTCTTCCCGGCCGCCATCCTGTCTAGGAAGTGAGGAGCGTCTCTGCCTGGCCACCCATCGTCTGGGATGTGAGGAGCCCCTCTGCCTGGCCGCCCAGTCTGGGAAGTGAGGAGCGCCTCTGCCCAGCCGCCACCCCGTCTAGGAAGTGAGGAGCGTCTCTTCCATGCCGCCCATCGTCGGGGATGTGAGGAGCCCCTCTGCCTGGCCGCCCAGTCTGGGAAGTGAGGAGCACCTTTGCCCGGCTGCGACCCCGTCTGGGAACTGAGGAGTGTCTCTGCCCCGCCGCCACCCCGTCTGGGAGGTGAGGAGCGTCTCTGACCAGCCGCCCAGTCTGGGAAGTGAGGAGCCCCTCCGCCTGGCAGCCGCCCTATCTGGGAAGTGAGGAGCGTCTCCACCCGGCAGCCGCCCCGTCCAGGAGGTGGGGGGCAGCCCCCGCCCGGCCAGCCGCCCCGTCCGGGAGGTGGGGGGCGCCTCTGCCTGGCCGCCCCATCTGAAAAGTGAGGAGCCCCTCTGCCCGGCCGCCGCCCCGTCTGGGAGGTGCACCCAACAGCTCATTGAGAACGGGCCATGATGACGATGGCGGTTTTGTCAAATAGAAAAGGGAGAAATGTGGGGAAAAGAAAGAGAGATCAGATTGTTACTGTGTTTGCTACAAAGAAGTAGACATAGGAGACTCCATTTTGTTCTATACTAAGAAAAATTCTTCTGCCTTGGGATGCTGTTAATCTATAACCTTACCCCCAACCCCGTGCTCTCTGAAACATGTGCTGTGTCCACTCAGGGTTAAATGGATTAAGGGAGGTGCAAGATGTGCTTTGTTAAACAGATGCTTGAAGGCAGCAAGCTCGTTAAGAGTCATCACCACTCCCTAATCTCAAGTACCCAGCGACACAAACACTGCGGAAGGCGGCAGGGCCCTCTTCCTAGGAAAACCAGAGACCTTTGTTCACATGTTTATCTGCTGACTTTCCCTCCACTATTGTCCTATGACCCTGCCAAATCCCCCTCTCCGAGAAACACCCAAGAATGATCAATAAATACTAAAAAAATTTTTAAAAAAATGGTACAGTAAACATCATGACACCAAAACAATTTGTTACTGCTTAGGAAATAAATATCTATATTTTTAAGTGAATGATGTAGATTTTGTCTCTAATTAGCATGATTTTGAAAAACCTAGTGTATCATTGGGTCTTATTTTTATCTTTTGTAGAACAGGGCTATGGATGAGATTTGTTGTATAGTACTCTAGGTTCCTTTTAATCTTTTAGATAGATAGATAGATAGACAGATAGCTAGATGTGATAGATACACATAGATATAGATATGACTATAAGAATTTGCATGGAGTTTCCTATACTGTTTTAAAACTATGAAGTCCACTCTAGGGAACGTAGGGACTAAAGATAAGTAAGATACATTCCTATTCTTACCCACAATGGGTTACAAACATATTAAATGGCAAATATTTTTACTTACCAAAAACCCTCTATTGCCTTCTGAATTTTGAGCTACAAAAAACCCACATTCATTAGCTTCTTGTCAGCAATAAACATTCTATTGCTACTTTAGTGTATAGGGTACTATACTAGGTGCTGCTGCTTTTATACTTGTCTTTTTTATTAGAGACTATTGCTAGAGATAGGGAGGAAATCTACTCTTTCTTAAAACATGTGAAAGTCTCAAAGGAAATTATATTCAGATAGATCTGAAAAAAATAAATATTAGACATTGTGGGTCCTTTCACACTAAAATGTTAAGTATACATTTTATAATGCTCTATAGTAAATGTTAGGTTGTGTAAGAAACAATTAATATGACCAGAACTTCATGACAGCTGAGGCTGATTACAGAAACAGTTCTACCATGAACTAATTGAGTTCTTGCAATAGCATCAATATGTTGACCAACTGAATGAGGGGGATAAATGCTGAACAGGTATTTTATTTTCCTATGAGGAAAATTAAGGAGTATGATCAGTCTTCCTAGATTTAAAGATATGGCTGCTTAGTTTCCTCATGGAATACTTGACATCTTTATTCCTAACGGTATAGATCACTGGATTCAAGAGGGGAGTGTATATGGTATAAAATACTGAGAGTACTTTGTCTATTGGGAAATTTGTGAAAGGCCACACATAAATGAAAGTGCATGGGCCAAAGAAAAGGGTCACAACAGTAAAGTGGGCACTGCACGTGGAGAGGGCTTTGGAGGATCCACCAGAGGAACGCTGCCGAACGGTGACCAGGATGATAGTGTAAGAGATCACCAAGAGGATGAAGCACACCAGGCAATCATGCCACTGGTTGAGATCATGAACACCCCCAGAATATATGTGTCAACACAAGCAAGTTTAATCACCAAAGGGAGGTCACAAAAGAAACTGTCTACTTCATTGGGTCCACAGAAGGGCAGATTCACTGTAAATGCTAACTGACTCAGAGCATGGAAGATGCCGACAATCCAGGAAAGTATCACAAGCCCAACACACATTCTTCGGCTCATGATTGTTAGGTAATGTAGAGGCTTACAGATAGCCACGTACCTATCAAAGGACATGGAGATCAGCAGTACAATCTCAGCACCCCCTAAGAGATGTAGGAAGAACATCTGGGTCATGCAGCCTTCAAAAGAGATGGCTTTGTGTTCTCTAAGGAAGTCTGCAATCATTTTGGGGGTGGCAAATGAGGCCAGGGACATGTCAATGAAGGAGAGATTGCCCAGCAGAAAGTACATAGGGGAATGAAGGTGTGGCTCTGATGCAATGGTGACCACAATAAGAAGGTTCCCCAGCACAGTGGCTGCATAGACTATGGAGAAAAACAGGAAGTAGAAAATCTGGAGTTCTAAAGAACTGGACAGACCCCGTAGTATGAATTCGGTTACCGCAGACTGATTGCTCCAGGCCATTTGCTCTGATTTCTGGAAGGACTCTAGCATTTCCAGTTGGGAGGAGAACTAGGAAAAAATATAGCAATCAAACTCAAAGTGGGATTTTTGCACAGACTAATTTAGTGGCAGCCTACCATCAGATAGTTCCCTATTGTCTCTTTTCCAGACTCACAGTGGCCAAAAATTTTTCCCAATGGCCTTCCTAGATATTTCAAATGATTCAATTACATATTATTTTTTATGACTTAGCAATTTGTTTTACAAGTAAAATACAAATATTCATAAAAGAAGTAAAAATTAATGGTTTCAAATATTTACTCCTCAGTTTGTGAAATACTTTTTAAATTTCACAGCTTGCTGACAGCAGCCTTTTGTAAGAAAAGGGAGTAAAAACCTTTTTCAAACATCATGAAGGGTGAAAGACGGAGGAGGAATATTTGAGGATCAAAGCTTATTATTAGTGGGAAGGATATGGGCACTGGTCTCTTGCAGTGGCTAGGAAAAAGGAATCAAACATGAGGGAAGGAGGATGGCTACAGAGAAACATCATCTGTTTCAATTTTCCAGTGGAGATTGTCTAGAATAAAAGTGAAATGGCTGGGCTCGGTGGCTCACACCTGTAATCCCAGCACTTTGGGAGGTCGAGGTGTGCAGATCACGAGGTCAGTAGTTCGAGACGAGCCTGACCAACATGGCGAAACCCTGTCTCTACTAAAAATACAAAAATTAGCTGGGCAGGGTGACATGCGCCTGTAATCCCAGCTACTCAGGAGGCTGAGGTAGGAGAATCGCTTGAACCCGGGAGGCAGAGGATGCAGTGAGCCAAGATCGTGCCACTGCACTCCAGCCTGGTGACAGAGTGAGACTCTGCCTCAAAAAAAAAAAAAAAAAAAAAAGTGAAATCACCTCTAATTATTTGTCCTTTATTTTAGTTATGCAGATATTATGAATGACACTTGATGTATGTCACCAATGCCATACATTTTTCAGAGGCTAATGAACATGTTCTGGTTAAAGCCTGAAGTACTCATACATTTCTAAGTACATTTTAAATAGAAAGACTGTTAAATACCATGCTGCCAGAAGCCAGGCAATTTTTAAATGCTAGAAATTATTGATTTCACAGAAGCTGTTTGAAACAAAAAACACTCTTCCTGTTTCCAGAGTTTACATGGAGCAACTGTTGAGACAAGTTTACATCAGACAGAAGAGAGTAATGAATTTATAAGTTATGTAATATAACGCACCTCAAAAGTTGTAACTTGGCTGATTAAGGAAATCTCTGTCTCACTGAGATCTGAGATTTACAAAGTGCACTGAAAGCCAATTGAAATGATGTGTACTCAAAATTCATAACAAAACTTTTTCATCTTTCTACTAATCCAAGCATTTGTTTTTCTTTTCTTCTCAAACCTCTGTTACAACTATATATTCTAAACAAATTGTTCTAAGACCAAACCCAATTTACTCATTCAACTACCTATTGTTCTTTCGCTTTCTATTAAAAATGCTGTGGCCTTTGAAAAACAAATAAACAAAAAACCTTCACATTGTTCTTCTAGCTTTACCCATCCCAGAAACTTTTAAATTTCTTTTGTACTCACCTACCTGATTTTTAAATAGAAGTCTCTAGCACAGCACTCATTTAAATTGGTGTACCAGAAATAACAGTGACCTGAGAGTCAGAAAATGGGAATTGAAATCTTGTCCTAGGAGTGTGGGATCAAGTAATTTACTGAGTCAACCGATGCTTCCAAGTCTTCATATGTAAAATAGGGGTGTTGATCTAGATAATTTTAAGATCCTTTCCACACATGTAATATAATAACCAACTCCTGAAAGCAGGGACAACTGCGTCACAGTGAAGTTAGGTGAATCCCTTGCCTAATTTCTGGGGAAAGGAGGCTCACAGTCCTTGAGACCTTTGTATTTATGACAGTTGTATTGATATGAAATAATTTTGTGAATTACATGGCAAGAAAAAGACCAGCTGCTGCTTGGGGAATAAACAAATGTTCAAGTTGCAGTGGGAGTTATTAAAACTTTCTAGTTGGTTTGGCCATATTTAAAGGTGAATTACAGAATGCATGATTGCTCGTAAATGTTTCATGTACAGGACATGGATGTGATTGGCTGGGAAAATATAAAGAATAACGCGTATCTTGGACCACAGCAAAGACAAGACAAATAGTATCTATTATTTGACTTATGAGACTACAAGTGTTATCTCCCAGTTCCTCCATTAACAAATGAGTATAAGGCCTGTGTATCCCCATTTGGAAAAAAACTGATACAGAAAATAATAAAATGAATGTTCGAGAATTTAAATTTTGTACTATTCACTTGAATCATTATGGAGTAATGGAAGAAAAAAGTGAAAAGTGAAAAAATTCTGGTTTATAAATTCTAACTATGTAAAGAATGTGAAGTAATCATCAAAATTTTAATATCTGCTAAAAATCAGAATAACAATCAATAAAATTTAAATGCCACCCATACTTAAATATTTCTCTATTAACAAGAAAGTTTTGACTATATTTCACAGAGCTTGTATTCATAAGATGAAAAGAAATAACTTGATGAAACTGCATTATATGCCTCTAGTGTAATATAAAGAACATTGAATCTCAGATTTGGAGGCCTGAGTTTACATCACAGTACAAGACTTTATTATATTATACTGAGTACATCACCACATTATCATAAATCTCAATCTCCTCATTTGCACTGAGAGATAAAAAAACAAAGCACTGGTATATCAGTACATAAAAAGCTATTAAATTAGACAATAAAAAGACCAAGAACCCTGCATAAAATGGGAAAAAAGCGCAAATAGCTATTTTCTATAGAAAAGATGCTCAAACTCTTTTTTATATGAACATATGTTGAAATTCATTGAGATACCACATATCAACTATCATATGGTAAATGTTTCTATCAGGCAGCAAAATTCTAGCAGCTTGAACACCTGCTCTAGATGACACTACAGTGAGGTAATGCCAGAAGGAATATAAAATAATAAAATCCCATGGAGGAACATTTAAATATATTAAATATACACATATATATTTAAATAGGTATATATATGTGTGTGTGTGTGTGTGTATATATATATAAATACACATATATATACCTATCTATATATATACACATATATATACCTATTTATATATATATACATATATATACCTATTTATATATATATACACATATATATACCTATTTATATATATATACACATATATATACCTATTTATATATATATACACATATATATACCTATTTATATATATATACACATATATATACCTATTTATATATATATACACATATATATACCTATTTATATATATATATACACATATATATACCTATTTATATATATATACACATATATATACCTATTTATATATATATATACACATATATATACCTATTTATATATATATACACATATATATACCTATTTATATATATATACACATATATATACCTATTTATATATATATACACATATATATACCTATTTATATATATATACACATATATATACCTATTTTTATATATATACACATATATATACCTATTTATATATATATATATATATATATATTTACCTCTAAGGAGAGGGAGATGATAGGGGACAATAGGATTGACATGTTGGAATGTCAGGGATAAAATCAAAACATCTCTGATTTTATCTACATTGTTAGTTTTGACTTAGGTTAAGAAATAGAGTTCAACTTAGAAAGCAGAGCTACCATGCACTGTAGGATAAGGCATTTACCATAGGAATTAGACCTTAAACAATTCTGGAAGGACTTAGGAAAGCAAAGACATGAAACAGGGAGCTGCAGAATCAGAGGCAGCAATAGCCAGTCAATCGAGAAACCAAGCCCATCTAGCCAATGAAGTAGAGGTCATGAAAGGAGCAAAATTTAGAAAATTTTGCTGGTAGAAAAATTTTTGTTCAGTTGCTGCTTCTGAGGATCTGCAGGCAGGCAGCCTGAGGCTTCTGTTGATCCTCCAATTCAGAAGTTGGGAAAAAGGTGGACGCAGAGTGAAGTGGCTGAGAACAAAACAAGCTAGAAGCTGTTGGCACCTCTGCATCTGTATAGCCACAAAGATCAGAGAGTAATGGCTGGTGCTTTGGGCTGCTTTTCAAATTCCAAACACATTTATTTTTAGACAACTCCAATACGGAAAGACGTGTAGAAAAGAATTCTGGGAACTGTAGTTCTCAGCTTAACCACTTTGACAATAGAAAGATGTAAGGTGCCACTCTCCGGTCTGTAGGAAAGACTCATGCACTTGCATTATTTACCTGGGAGCTCCGCTGGTACTGGAACTTTCAGAACGGATTTCCTAACATATCTTGTGCCTCACCTGGAGTGTATCAGATGGCTAGGGTCTGGCTGGTACTCCATATTTACATATAATATCTCATCATTCTGTATTCCTCCCGTGTGTGTGTGTGTGTGTGTGTGTGTGTGTGTGCGCGCGCGCGCGCGCGCACATGTGTGTCTATCTCTCAATGTTTCTTTGTATTTATTCTATTTATCCTAAGACCCTGATGAGTTAAAAAATAAAATATATAAACAGTGCTGGAGTCACGCATTGACTTTTAAAACTTCTGCTCATGTGTGGCATATGATACTTCTAGTCACATTACATTGAACAAAGTCATGTATCCAAGGTTCTGGTAGATAAAGTGAGGGTTATACTCCTTCCACAGCATGTGAAGGTCCCTGAAGGGATGAGCCATATACAAAAAGGTAATCAATTTTGATTTTCTAAAATTCAGTCGGCTGGGTATGGTGGCTCACTGTTCATCCCAGCACTTTGCGAGGTGGAGGTGGGCTGATCACTTGAGGTCAGGAGTTCGAGACCAGCCTGGCCAACACGGTGAAACCCCGCCTCTACTGAAAATATAATTAGCAGGGCATGGTGGCACATGCCTGTAATCTCAGCTACTCTGGAGGCTGAGACAGGAGAATCGCTTCAACCAGGTGGCGGAGGTTGCTGTGAGCCAAGATTGTACCATTGCACTCCTGGCTGGGTGACAAGAGTGAAACTCTGTCTGAAAAAAAAAAAAAATTCAGTCTACTACATAGACTGCACAGGAGAATAATCATATTATTAGTATTCAATAAATAAAAATATTCATAATGACAGTTACTTGGATGTCTCATTTAATTAATTACAATCACATTCACATTTCTGGTAACTTAGTCAAAATTATCTCCTTATATCCATTTCATTAAATGATCTGTATTAAATTTCTCCCTTCTCCAAACTATCTAAATAAATGCTTACATAATACTGCTTTCAAATAATCATAATTCTGCCCCTGACATTAAAATGACCCGTTATCTTTTATATCAAGTTAAATTTTTAGAAAGGCAGTCTTGCTCTTCTAAACTGCTAACTAAATATCCTGTTTCATGGCAAATAAGCTGCACTGTTTTCCTTCCCCGTGCATTTTTTTTCTTCTGCCAATTAATATTTTAGTTTTCATTCTAAGTCAAGTTCATGACATGTCTCCTGCAAGAACACTTGCTTGATTGATTCTGCACATTACCAGTTTTGTTTGTTTGTTTGTTTTTGTTTTTAACTAAAGTCTAGTTCATCCATGGTCTCTGAGAATTGACTGAACATGAGGTTTATTTGGTGGTATTTTTCACCAATTGTTTTATTTATAGGTGTTTAATATTTCCAAATAACTGTAAATTACTTGAAGCAGAGATGAATGTTTGGATTTTGTTCTCCGTTGCTTCTAATATAGCATTAGAGAACCAAGAGTGCTTATTAGAATTAGTTGATTTGATATTTCCTGCTGCTTTTTGAAATTAGGACTTTCCCAACTTCTAGTCCCTGACTCTCTCAGGTCCAGGTGAAAACAATCTTTGTAAATTCCCATAAGATTCTTGAAATATCTTTCCTTTGTCAACTCAATAATGCCATCTTTGTTGTTTAATAAATCCCATTGCAAGGTGATTTCTTGTTCAATTCCCATGTCCCTACAACATCCATTTTATCCACAGCTGATACACAACTAATGATTCAACTAGGTCATTTATTTATATTTTAAATTGCCTTCGATGCTCTGTCAGAAGCCTACTTAACACTGAATAATCTAAAGCCCTGGTTCTTCTATAGATCTGATAAGTAAAAGTGTTTTACAAATGAGTTCTACTGAAATATTTTAAATGTTTGCCCTTCCCACTCCCATTTCCTAATCCCTATTCCATGAAGCTTAGGTCAATACAACAGTTTACATATGTTAACATTTACAGAAGAAGAATTCAAACAGAGGTGAAATGAAAGAGACTGATCTTTGAGCACTTTCCCATGAAAATGTTGTTATATATCCTTTGTGATATAAAATTTTAAATCATAGAATTATAAATATTTATAAGGAACACAGTCATATTTTAATTAAAAAGAAAGGACCAAAAGAAGTTAAATGCCTTTCCTTTGTCTGTATGACTGTATTGTAATAAATTAGTCTCTCTGGATGAATATCAGCAAAACTAACTTTCTATGTATTTCTTTTGAGTTTCAAACAGGAAACTTTATCTGGGAATACTTTAACAGTTCATCTCTGGAAATTTACAAGAGCTCTACAACTGTCCATCGAAACTTCACTATAATGTGCTTAAGAGCCCTTATATGTGATATAATTTTTATATGTTTTCATCAGTAAGGATATCTTTATGGACAAATTCCAAATGACTAAACATGTATGTGTATGTGTGTTTCACACATTGTCAGCATAAAGTAAGTTCTTACTGTTATCGTTAGACTTACACAGATGAATAGATGGACAAATAGGTAGGTATGTCTGTTCAGAATGATATTATCTTGGTTGGATTGCCATTAGTATCAGAAAAGAAAGTGTTCTTTTCAATACCTATGATTTAAGGAACATTTTGCTATAAGCTCTAATATTTCATAATTTCCATTCAAAACAATATACCAAATGAGAAGGATGGAAAGAATAGTCAAGGTAAGTTTTATGAGAAGATAAAATTTCTGAAAGTAGATAATTGGAAATGAATCTTTTGCTTCTATTGAATCTGACTTTCCTTTTTTTTTTTTTTTTTTTTCGTGATACAGGCTTCTGCCTATGAATCAAGACAATGGATGTGGGCAATAAGTCTACCATGTCTGAATTTGTTTTGCTGGGGCTCTCTAATTCCTGGGAACTACAGATGTTTTTCTTTATGGTGTTTTCATTGCTTTATGTGGCAACAATGGTGGGTAACAGCCTCATAGTCATCACAGTTATAGTGGACCCTCACCTACACTCTCCTATGTATTTCCTGCTTACCAATCTTTCAATCATTGATATGTCTCTTGCTTCTTTCGCCACCCCAAAGATGATTACAGATTACCTAACAGGTCACAAAACCATCTCTTTTGATGGCTGCCTTACCCAGATATTCTTTCTCCACCTTTTCACTGGAACTGAGATCATCTTACTCATGGCCATGTCCTTTGATAGGTATATTGCAATATGCAAGCCCCTGCACTATGCTTCTGTCATTAGTCCCCAGGTGTGTGTTGCTCTCGTGGTGGCTTCCTGGATTATGGGAGTTATGCATTCAATGAGTCAGGTCATATTTGCCCTCACGTTACCATTCTGTGGTCCCTATGAGGTAGACAGCTTTTTCTGTGACCTTCCTGTGGTGTTCCAGTTGGCTTGTGTGGATACTTATGTTCTGGGCCTCTTTATGATCTCAACAAGTGGCATAATTGCGTTGTCCTGTTTTATTGTTTTATTTAATTCATATGTTATTGTCCTGGTTACTGTGAAGCATCATTCTTCCAGAGGATCATCTAAGGCCCTTTCTACTTGTACAGCTCATTTCATTGTTGTCTTCTTGTTCTTTGGGCCATGCATCTTCATCTACATGTGGCCACTAAGCAGCTTTCTCACAGACAAGATTCTGTCTGTGTTTTATACCATCTTTACTCCCACTCTGAACCCAATAATCTATACTTTGAGGAATCAAGAAGTAAAGATAGCCATGAGGAAACTGAAAAATAGGTTTCTAAATTTTAATAAGGCAATGCCTTCATAGTTTTTGTGACACAGAACATTAGACACAATGCTGTGTTAGGCTTTTCTTTCTAGAGGGTTCTTACCAAATTGTAATTGCCAAGAATTTGTGAGGGCTCAAGTTCAGTGCATTTTGAAACTATTCTCATGAATGTGAATGTGTTCAAAATACATTTGAAATTTCAGAAAAGCAAGTTAAAAGAAATAAAGACTATAAAAATGTCAGGAGTGACAGTTCCAGTTAGGACATTCAATATCAATAATCAATTTATTGGAAAAGAGGACCAAGGAATGAGGAGAAGAAATATAGATTAAAGCAGAACTAGGAGATAATGACAATTACCCACAGTGAGCAACTGAGTCACTTAGTGAGATGCTCCTAAAGTATGACAAGCTAGCAAGATTCCTATAATCCTTAGGAACTCCATACTGCTGTAGGATCTTAGCCTCTGACAGAGAAGCAATGATTTTCCACATACGTTCCCAAGCCACTCCTACTTAACATTTAAACCAATTTGTGATCTCTTCTATTAAAGAAAACTCTAGATATATTTTATTTCGAATGTTAATGACGTCCATAAAATTGCCGTAAGTGTAGCAATCTTTACCAACCACTTTTAGTTCATCATCAAAGCAATACAGTCATGATATTTCTTTCTGATAATGCGGAATGAGTAGGGAGGCTGGAGAATTCTGCAAATCAGAAAATATGAAATGAGTTGCAGATCAGTACACTTTGTTTTGTGCAGACACGATGGTTGCTTAGTTCCTAAGAAGTTAAAACTAGAATTGAGAGACACAGTTTATAACAGTTGAATTTATGGGGAGTCCATGCTTTCATTTTAAAGTGTTATATTGCTTTCCATTTTGGTTATTTTTTTCTTGAAATATTTGGATGTAAAAATAATGAATCTGCATTTAGTAATACATTGTCAATGTAATAAGTATGTTTTTGTACACAAATAGGTTTTATTACTGTTATAAATAAATCTGGTAGGTTCAATATTAGCTTTAATGTATACAAAGTATTACTACCACCTGCTGGTACTAACTGGAATTGCAAGTATTGAAAGAGGAAAAATAATTGTGTATACCCTACTTTGCAAATCATCTTTAAATGATGGCAAACATTCATGAGTTAACTCTTATTTAGAATTTTCTAAATGATATTGATAAAATATAGTGTCTTATATATGATCCAACATGTATCCACAAAGGGAAAGATATGTTGCAACCACAGTATTTGATAATATCAAGTTGTTATTTTCTGGTATGATTGAGTAAATGGAGAAAACAAATGAAATGCATTAATTATCATTTATGAAAGATAATTAAAACAGAAAATCCTTAGATGTTCATATTAAACCAAGTTATAAAAGGAATTTATTTTTTCTTCATCAGTTTGTGTTTTATTTCTTCATTAATGTACTAAGCAAATAAGGAAAAAACTTACAGCTTGAAAGTCTGTGATACTGTGTTTAAAGCCTGAGCAGTTTTGAAATTATTAGATAATAACGTCTACAGTATTAACATAAAATAAAACATGCTTCTGTAAGCACAAGATTAGCATAATTCTATTTTAAATAGGGATACAAATAGGCCAATTTAGGTTTTGAGTGTGAACTTTCTCTTGGTTGCAGTTATATGTACAAATATGTTCATATTCAAGGACTTCGTTTATGTAGAATGTTTTAGCTGGTGCTTAAAAATGCTAGAAATAATTCTTTTACTTGACATATTTCTTTGTCCAGGGAATATTTTCAAAACTGTGCTGCTTTTTGCAATATAAAACTGTGGAATCTTTTGGAAGAGACGCTATTGATTTTCTGTGCTTTTGTGGAGAATTCTAAAACTCAAGAACATTTGCCAAAATACCCTCAAAGGTGTAGCTGATCAGCAGACAACTCTATAAGGCAAGTCAATAATGAGATTAAGTAGTTGGATTGATAGTAAAATTCTGTGGCTGATAATAAAAAGGATTACAGAAAGCCTTTGGAGGGCTTACATATATAAATGGAACTATCACATTTCTCGGTGGCTTAGTGTGAGGAGTCAATATTCATGGTACCTCTGCATGTTATATAAACACTTAAAAATCTTAGTTAGGACTTTAGGACTCATGGTGGTTGGTTTTATCGATATATCTCTTAGACAAGATGCTGACACTCTTTCACCAAGGATAACTGCAGTGACATGGCCATGGACTCGTTAAGCAATAGTAAGGATGGTGCCAGCTGCCACCAGAGTTTCCAGAGACAGAGATAATGTTCTGCAGAGAATACAAGATAAGCAGGCAAGTATAATTTTAAGTGATCTGCACTATCTGCAATAACACAACTGAGGGAGTTCTGGAGCATTTATAAGAAGAGTGTGTTGACAAGCAACTTCATCTTCCTCTACGTGTTTAGGAAGCTGTGAAGCTTGACAACAATTGAATGCAGATGGAAAAACTGTTAAAAATCAGGTATAGATAAAAACAGATAAAGTGTAAATTTTAATATGTGAAGGAACTGGATATATGTAATAGCAATAAAAACTACAAATTATGTTTGTTTCTAAAAATGCTTAAGAAAACTTTTAGAATACTATATGGTATAATGATGGTGGATTTACCATAAAGCTTGTAAAGCTTAGGTTTTATAACTCCTCCTTTGCATGGATTTCCTCGAAGGCCCTAGAATGGAAACTAACAACCTTTTATTAGTTATTTCGATTTTTTTTTCCTGAAACAGGTGTCCTCAAACTGTATAAGCTTTAAGCCTAGCTTGTCCAACCCATGACCTGCAGGTTGCATGCGGCTCAGGAGATGGCTTTAAATTCAGCCCAACACAAATTCATAAGCTTTCTTGAAACATTATAAGATTTTCTTGTGATTTTTTTGTAAAGCTCATCAGCTATCTTTAGTATCAGTGTATTTTATGTGTGGCCCAACACAATTCTTCTTCCAATGTGGCCCAGAGAAGCCAAAACTTTGGACACCCCTGCATTAAAAGGCTCTGCAGAATCTGAAGTCTAATGTGTAGTTTTAAAAGTCTTAGACTCTGGTATCTTTTTTTTTTTTAAACAGTGTTTAATACTACTTCTACTACTAGTGGTGTAAACTTAAGCTAAGTACTTAATACCTCTTAGCCTCAGTTTCTACATATGTTAAAGGAGATAATAGTGGTCTCTACACCACAGAGTTATTTGAGGCATAAAAGAAGCAAATAATATGAAGCATATGGTTGTCAATAAATGTTAGTCATTGTATCATTCTGGGTGATAACCTCTGGATATCTTTGTTTATGGGACTTGATAGTCTCTTGAGCTAACACTTGACTTGTTTAATTTAAAAGGTAAATTTTCATTTATATGTTTTAAATATTCATGTCTGTATATGTGTGTCAGTATTAATTTGAAAAATTAAAAGTAACTTCCACTAGAAAATTACACTGGTTCTTACATTAATTAAAGCTTCTGGAAACTTGTTTTTCTGTCTGTTCACAACTGTCATTAATCAAGAGAAGTATCAAGTTGTTGCTTAATCATTATGCTATTGCTTCTTTACAATGAATAAATATTAAATTGGTTTATTGATTTTAGGATGAATTCACATTACAATTGTTGTCAGAATAAGAATGATGTTTGACTCATATTATTAAGGTGAAGAGATAGGCAGATGGATAGATTAGTAGATAGATGAAGTTTTGTATTATATGAGCTGTCTTATGTGAAGTATTTTTCTGCATTGATAAGGGTTTAGGATAATGTGATCACTGGATTATGCTGCTATATAGAAGTTCTTGGTAAAATGCTGTTATTTGTGCATATCCAGACTCCTTATGAAAGTATTTTCAAATTTAAAAAACTACCAGTGAATCTATTCTCTACATGTGAGTTTTTAAACAACTCAGTTATAGCAAAATTTGTTGAGAGAGTTGGAGTAATCCTCCTATTTCCCTATTCTTTCCCTGATATTATTTTGCATGATTTTTGGATGTATATGTCAATTGAAAAACGGGGAGAAGAAAACAGCCAGGGAAATCTAATTCATGTGAACTTCTTGCATGTACTCTCAGATGCCAATGAAATCCGCTAAGCAACTTGATAGTTTTTTGGTTTATAAGTTTCTGTTGTGCTTTGTTGTTTGGAATTATTTTTAATGCTCTTGGTTACACCATGAGGTAAATATGCACAAATTATTCTGGAGCGTGTAGGACCAACACTCAAATGAGACTGGAAATGTGACTGGGATCATTGATTCATGTATTCTGTCTCTATTGTTGCTAATATAACTCAATTGACATGTTATTTTTTCTCTTTGATTTTTGTAAAACAAACAAATAAATTCCAATATCTAGTATGCACTAAAATACTATAGTTTCATTTTTATTTTTTACTCTGATAATTTACACTGCCAATATAAGGAGATGAATACCTATTTTTTAAATTAAAAAATGTTCTCGGGCTGGAGGCTCCAGGTTTTTTTCCCCCATTAGCCTTTTTATGACTACTAAATGCAAGACCACTGTTAATTCGCCTTTTTTCTTTGTGTTTTAACTGTACTAGGAATCTGAAGCCATCAACAAAAGCCAGATTTTTCTCCCTTTGCTCACTTGCCACCTGTTAAAGAAAATTTAAAGGAGAGATTTTTTTTTTTAGTTTGAGACTAGAAATAGCAATTTAATTAGTAATTTGTTTTTATATAATAATATATTTATATCAATTTTTTCTTCTTGTTTGAGTGTACTTATATTGGTTGTCCTACAGTTAAGAAAACGGAAACCATTGGGTAAATTAAGCAGATTTAATACAATGTATTAAATGCTTGTGAATAATTCAAAGACTTACAGGAACATGCATTGGAGGCTGCAACTGGAGCTATTGTGTTCCAGAGCACATTACCCCAGTAATGTGATGTAAGGGCAAAAGGCAAAAAGCCTTGGTGTCATTGCCACTCCTTCATCACCCTCAGCACTCTTGAAGGTGGTGAATAGTCACTGGACACAGGTATGGCTGCCACAGTTGCTTTCCCTCACATCTCATCATCATCTTGCTCACCAGCGGCAATTATATCAGTAGATCCCTCTGCCTCACTTGTGCTTTCTAAAGCTCATTTGGTGCATCTAATTGGTGGAATCTATTTTGCACAGAGAAACTTGGCTTCAAAAATCAATTTGTAGATTTCAAGATTCTTATGCAACAGAAAACATGCTAATAGAGGGTGGATTGGAGGGAGACTCCGTCAATCAATCAATATCCATTACTTTAATTTTTTTATTATAACCTTTTTATTGCAGTGTAAAAGCAAGGTAAAGAAAAATACACAAACATGTTTAGCTTAATGAAATATTACAAGGCAAACACCATTATAATCACATTTCAAGTCACAAAATAGAACTTCGCCAGCCACCCCTGAAGTCCTCAAGTTTGTTCATCTCGATGACAACTCTCTCCTCCAAAATTAACCATTACCCTGACTTAATAAATTATTTGCATTTCTTTTCAGTTTCATGAATACATATATACTCAAATATACATCCATACACACTCAAACTTGGCCTCACCAACTTTGTTTCCTTTTCTTGTAGCCTACAAGTCTCACTATCACTATCTCTTCAATTTCTGTATAATTTATCTTTCTTTTTCTTTTTTTTTTCTTTTTTTTTTTTTTTTGAGACGGAGTCTTGCTCTGTCGCCCAGGCTGGAGTGCAGTAGCGTGATCTCCGCTCATTGCAAACTCTGCCTTCCGGATTCACGCCATTCTCCTGCCTCAGCCTCCTGAGTAGCTGGGACTACAGGCGCCCGCCACCACGCCCAGCTAATTTTTTGTATTTTTAGTAGAGAAGGGGTTATAATTTATCTTTTGAAAAACCTGAGTTATTTACCATCTAGGGTCTCCCAGAGTCTGAAATATGCTGATTGCATGCTCATGGTACAGTTCAACATGGACTTCTGTCACTGCATTTTCTGCAAATTGCCTATCCAGCAGCTTAATCATATTTAGTTTGATACTTTTTGCAAGACAAATGACAGATGATGTTATATTTTTTCATCCAAAAGATCTTGATGTCTTGCTTTATCTCTTTGGGAATGATAGTGCTGTTGTTGCTGTAGTAGTTGATATCTCTAACCATTTTTGTTGGCTGAAGCTTATTCTCTACTATATTCCTCAGGAAGTCTTCTTGAAGACCCTATTCTCTGAATTCTGGCGTGTTGGCAAGTTTCTTTGAAACATTTATGTACTGTAATTTCATTGGCTATTCCTTTATTTTCTTGATTATCTTAAATTGAAATAATGACTCTCTTTGTAAGCACTTTGTCTGGAGTCTGCAAAGCCTGTATTTTTCTTCACTCACCCTAGCATACCATATAATTAGAAGTTTGGAACTGATCTTTTAATTTTTGGAGGGAGGTATTAATAATCCTTCTGATATTTATATTAGTAGTTAAATAATTAAATAGTAGTTAAAGTAATTAAATAGGACTCTATTGCACTCAAGAGATTTTAAAACGTTTAAATTTCTAAATTTCCTTTAAGTATATTAAAATGTACCTAAATAAAATTGTTCTTCAAGAGTAACATGTAATTGAATCATCAACATCTTTATATAACTTTTCCAATTTTTTAAAGAAAGATACCTCTCTTGCAGCTCAATTGCTTTTTAAATAAAATAAATTTGAATCCCTGTTTGTACCTGGAGACCGTTTTGATCTGCCCTCCTCACCTCACATTTCACACATGGAGAAAAAAAGTCTGCACTTATAAAGCAATTATGCTACAAAACATGAAATGACTTCTTATCCTAAAGGAAAAGAACAAATTATGAATATATTGTAAAGTAGCTCAAATAAGATTGAGGCTGGTCTTTCTGTGTGTCTGTTTCACTTAAAACTCATGTAACATTTACAAAAACACATTAACATGTAGGCCATAACGTCTTGATAAATACCAGAAAGTCGGTAATTACGGAAGACATTATCTAATCACAAAGCAATGAAAATAATGAAATGATAAATAGTCCTTCCTTACCCACCCACTGCACCCCAAAAATAAACCCTATACCTTTGGAAATTTTAAAAAAATGCTTTGCAAGTAAGTCCATCAGTCAAAAAGATAATTCGACAAAATATGTCACTCTTGTAATCCCAGTACTTTGGGAGGCCGAGGCGGGCAGATCACGAGGTCAGGAGATCGAGATCATCCTAGCCAACAAGGTAAAACCCTGTTTCTACCAAAAATACAAAAATTAGCTGGGCATGGTGGCGCGTACCTGTAATCCCAGCTACTCAGGAGGCTGAGGCAGGAGAATCGCTTGAACCAGGGAGTCGGAGGTTGCAGTGAGCCGAGATCATGCCACTGCACTCCAGCCTGGCAGCAGAGCGAGACTCTGTTTCAAAAAAATATATATATATGGTGCAGTGCATATTGCTCAGGTGATAGGTGCACCAGGCTCTCACAAATCTCTACTGAAGAACTTACTCATGTAACAAAATACCACCTGTGCCCCAATAACTTATGGAAAAATAAAATTTAAAAATAACATTTCGAACTGAGTAATACAAATAGACTTAATATCAACACTTGTGAAGCAAATGTCTATTCATAAATGTGCAAGTTAAAACATAAGAGAAAAAACAGTAAGCTTAGTGTTCTATATACGAAATTAGAAAAAATTACTAAACAGGAATAAGGGAAGAGAAGGAGAAAAATCATAAACATAAAGCAGAATATAATGACATTTTCTCCAGCTGTCTTTATGGGCGTAGCTTAAGCTTAATGTCAAAACCCTGTGAAGATGCTAGAATAAGGAGAGTTTTTAGACAATTTTGTTTTTGAATGTAGTACACGTATCTGTTAGGATTTGATTAGGAAAGCTGAACCACTAAGGGTGACACGTAATAAAGAATTGATTATACGGATTAGACATTACACAATAATAAGAATCAGTGGAGAACTCTAGGCAAAGCTGTTGCTTCTGAAGCTGGTGGTGTACCTGAAGTTGCTTATAGGTTAGCAAGGTAGTGGCTGAAAGAAAAACTAGATATGAAATCTGAAGTTTATCTAGTTGATATTTTCTAGTGAACAAGTCTAATTTCTTTCTTGGTTTTTAACTGTAATTTTTTGAGTTATTTTGTTTTGTGGCAGCTCCAGGGATCACAACCTGCATGCTGACTTATCACAATTTACTTCATATTAATACTAATTTAGTCCCAGTAAAATATAGAAACTTTGTTTCAGTATACCTTCATTTCCTCCCACTTCTTTGTGCTGGTATTGTCACACACATTACATCTCATATTTATAAGTAGAAAATAAAGCTTTATAATTATTTTATACAATTGATTTTCAAATCAGGTTGTAGAAAAAAAGAAAAAAGCCCATTTATATAGGATTTAATATTTACCTACATAGTTCGCTTTACTTGTGCACTTTAATTCTTTATATTGAATGAGGTTACTCCCTGGTGTCTTTTTATTTCAGCTTGAAGAATTTCCTTTCATATTCCTTGTAGAGAAGATCTAGTAATTGCTTATCATTCTCTTTGTTTGAATCCAGGACTATCTTTATTTCACCTTTATTTTTGAAGGATTTTTTTCTTTGTTGCTATTTTTCTTTCAGTAATTTCAATATGCTATCTTACTGTTTTTCAACCTCCATTGTCTTTTCCAGTGAAAAGTCACTTGTTAATTTTAATGAGGTTTCCTTATCCTATGTGTTGGCTTTCTCTTACTGACTTCAGAATTTTCTCTCTGTCTTCCAACAGTTTGAGTATGATAGTCTATAATAGGTATGGATCTTTTTGTGTTTATCTTCTTTAAAGTTTGTTAAGGTTTTCGGATCTGAAAATTAAGGTTCATCAATTTTGGGATGTCTTCAGGTATGTTTTTCAGGTATCACATGTTTTTCTGCACCTTTCTCTTTGGTCCTTCTGGGACTTCCATTTTGGTCATTTTGCTATAATTTTATTGTGTCCTGCAAGTCTGTGAAGCTCTGTTCATTATTCTTCATACTTTTTTTCTTGTTTTTTTCAGATTTCATAATTTCTATTGATCTATCTTCAGGTTTGCTGATTCTTTCTTATGGCACCTAAAATTTGGTATCAAATCCCTCTAGTGAATTTTCATTTTACATATTTTATTTTTTCTCTTTAGAATTTCTATTGTTTCTTATTTATAATTTATATTTCTTTATTTTCATTCTCTTTTTGGTGAATATTGTTATTATTCTTTCCTTTTAATTATTGTTTTCTGATCCAGTCATGTCTTTCTTCTTTTTATTTTTTTTTCCAATTTTTAAAATATTTTTATTATAGATTCAGGGGGTACATGTGCTTGTTTGTTACATAGGTATTACATGTGTAATGGTGGGGTTTGTGCTTCTAGTGTACCCATTACCCATATATTGGAAATTTTCAAACCTACCCCCTGCATGCCCCCATTTGGAATTCTGAGAGTCTATTTTCCCCATCTTTATGTCCATGTGTACCCTTTCTTTAGTCCCAACTTATAAGTGAGAACATGCAATATTATTTTATGCTTCTGTGTTAGTTTACTTAGGATAATGGCCTCCAGCTTCATCCATGTTACCGCAAATGACATTTTATTCTTTTTTTATGGCTATGTAGTAATCCATGGTGTATATATATCACATTTTCTTTATCCAGTCAGCTGTTGGTAGACACTTAGTTTGGTTCTGTGACTTTGTTGTTGTAAACAGTGCTTCCATAAATATATGAATGCAAATATATTTTTGATATAATGATTTATTTTCTTTTGGGTAGACAGCTGGTAGCTGGATTGCAGGGTTGAATGGTAGTTCTACTTTCATTTCTTTGAGATATCTCCATATTGTATTCCACAGAGATTGAAATTACATTCACACCAACAGTGTATGAGCATTCCCTTTTCTCTGCATCCACACCAACATCTGTTTTATGACTTTTAATGAAAGCCATTCTGACTAGTGTAAGATGGTATCTCTTGTGGCTTTAATTTGCATTTCTCTGATAATTGGTGTTGGGCATTTTTTCATGTGTTTGTTGGCTACTTGTGTTTCTTCTTTTGAGAATTGTTTATTCCTGTCTTTTGCCCAGTTTTTGATAAGGTTGTTTGCTTTTTTCTTGTTGAGGTGCTTGAGTTCCTGGTAGATTCTAGATATAAATCTCTGGTTAGAGGCATAATTTGTAAATATATTTTTCCCATTCTGTGGGTTGTCTGTTTATTCTGTTGATTATTTCTTTTGCTGTGCAGAAGCTTTTTAGTTTGTTTAAGTCCCATTTGCCTATTTTTGTCTTTATTGCAATTGCTTTTGGGTCTTCATCACAAACTCTTTGCTTAGGCCAATATTAAAAAGAGTTTTTCTAGGTTTTCTTCTAATATTTGTATAGTTTCAGGTCTTACATGTAGGTCTTTAATCCGTCTTGGGGTAATTTTTGTATATGGTGGGAGGTAGGGGTCTAGTTTTGTTCTTTCATATATGGCTAGCCAGTTTTCCAAGCACCATTTATTGAATATTTATTGATTAGAGTGTCCTTTCTCCATTGCTTGTCTTTGTTGACTTTACTAAAGAACAGCTGGTTACAGGTACGTGGCTTTGTTTTTGGGTTCTGTATTCTGTTCTATTGTCTATCTTTGTATCAGTACCACGCTTCTTTAGTTATTATATCCTCGTAGTATAATTTGAAGTCAGACAATGTAATACCTCCAAATTAGAACTTTTTGCTTAGGATTGCTTTGGCTCTTTGGGATTTTTTGTTTTTGTTTTTGTTTTTGTTTTTGGGTCCATATGAACTTTAGGACTTTTTTTTTCTAAATCTGTGAAAAATGACATTGGTAGTTTGATAGGAATTGCATTGAATATGTAGATTGCTTTGGTTGGATAATGAGGTCATTTTAATGATAGTTATTCTTCTAATTCATGAGCATGGAAAGTTTTTCCATTTTTTGTGGGTCATCTTCAATTTCTTTCATCAGTGTTTTGTAGTTCTCCTTGTAAAGATATTTCACCACCTTGATTAAGTGTATTTCTAGGTATTTTATTTTTGTGTGTGGCTATTGTAAATGTAATTGAGTTATTAATTTGGTTCTCAGCTTGAAGATTATTGGTGTATAGAAATGGTACTAGTTTTTGTACATTGATTTTGTATCCTGAGACTCTTCTGAAGTTGCTTATCAAGTCTAGGAATCTTCTAGAGGAGTCTTTAGGGTTTTCTAAGTATACAATCATGTTGTCAGCAAACAGAGACAATTTAACTTCCTCTTTTCCAATTTGAATGCCTTTATTTCTTTTTCTTCCCTGATAGCTCTGGAGAGGACTGCCAGTGCTATGTTGAATAAGAGTGTATGTTTATATGCATTAATTCCTTTCTTCTAGGTTTCTAGTTTGTGTGCATAGAGGTGTTCATAGTAGTCTCTTATTTTTTGTATTTCTTTGGTGTCAGTTGTAATGTCATTTTTATCATTTCTGATTGTACTTATTTGAATTTTCTCTTTTTTTCTTAGTCTAGCTAGTGGTCTGTCAATTTTGTTTATTCTTTCAAAGAAACAATTTTTTGTTGCATTGATTACACTGTGTTTTTTTGTCTCAATTTCACTTATTTCTGCTTGGATTTCAGGTATGTATTTTATTCTACTAACTTTGGGTTTGGTTTTTTATTGTTTTTTCTAGTTCCTTCAGGTGCAACATTATATTGTGAACTTTAGATATTTCCATCTTTTTGATGTAAGCATTTAACACTGTAAACTTTCCTTCTAGCACTGCCTTTGTTGTATCCCAGAGACTTTAGTATGTTGTGTTTCTATTTCATTTATTTTAAAGAATTTTTACAATTTCTGTCCTGATTTCGTTTTTTACCCAAAAGTTGTTCAGGAGCAAGTTTTTAGTTTCCATGTACTGGTGTAGTTTTGAGAGTATTTTTGGTATTAATTTCTAATTTTATTCCAGTGTGGTCCAGAAGGTACTGGATATAATCTCAGTTTTTAAAAATGTATTGAGACTTGCCTTATGCCTGAGCATATGCTTGATTTTGAAGGGTAGTCTTTGTGCAGATAAGAGAAATGTATATTCTGCAGTTGTTGGGTAAAATGTTCTGTAGATGTCTATTAGGTCCATTTGGTATATTTTTCAGTTTAAGTCCAGAGTTTCTTTGTTGATTCTCTTCTTCAATGATCTATTTAGTGATTTCAGTGAGGTATTAAAGTCCCCCACTATTATTATTATTATTTTATTATTATTATTATTTTGAGACAGAGTCTTCCTCTGTCACCCAGGCTGGAGTGCAATGGTGCGATCTTGGCTCACTGCAACCTTTGCCTCCTGGGTTCAAGTGATTTGTGTACCTCAGCCTCCTGAGTAGCTGGGATTACAGGTGCACACCACCATGCTCGGCTAGTTTTTTGTATTCTTAGTAGAGATGGGGTTTCACCATGTTGGCCAGGCTGGTCTTGAACCCCTGGCCTCAAGTGATCCACCCACCTCAGCTTCCTAAAGTTCTGGGATTACAGGCATGAGCCACTGCACCTAGCTCCCCACTATTATTTTATTTTATTTTTGAGACAGAGTCTTGCTTTGTTGCCCAGGCTGGAGTGTAGTGGAATGATCATGGCTCATTGCAGCCTTACCCTCCTGGGCTCAAACAATCCTCCCACCTCAGCCTCCCAAGTAGCCAGAACTATAGGCGTAACCACCATGCCCAGCTAATTTCTTTTTTTATGTGTAGAGGTGAGGTATTAGTTCATTCTTGCATTGCTATAAAGAAATATCTGATACTGTGTAATTTATCAAGAAAAGAGGTTTAATTGTCTCAAGATTCTGCAAGCTGTACAGACAGCATGATGCTGGCATCTGCTAAGCTTCTTGGGAGGCCTCAGGAATTTTACAATAATGGCAGAAGGCTAAAAGGGAGGTTGCATGTCACATGGCAAAAGCAGGAGCAAGAGAGAAAAGAAGGGAAGCGCTACACCCTTTTAAATAATCAGATCTCATGAAAACTCACTATCATGAGGCCAGTACCAAGAGGAATGGTGCTAAGCCATTAATGAGAAATTCACCCCCATGATCCAATCACCTCCCACCAGGCCTCACCTCTAACATTGAGAATTAGATTTCAATATGAGATTTGTGTGGGGACATACATCCAAACTATGTTATATCAAATCTCACTATGTTGCCTAGGCTGGTGTCAAACTCCTGGACTCAAGCAATCTCCCACCTTCGCCTCCTAAAGTGCTGGAATTACAGGCAAGAGGCACTGTGCCTGCCCCTTCCAACCCCCAACTATTATTGTTTTGCTATCAATTTATTTTCTTAGGCCTAATAGTATTTGTTTCATGAATCTGAGTGTTCCAGTGTTGGGTGCATATATATTTAGGATAGTTAAATCTTCTGGTTTTCAATCTTTTTCTTATAATCAATAATGCCTTTTTTTGTTACCTGTTTTTAAACTTTTTTTTTTGGTGTAAAGTGTCTTTTGTCTGATATGAGAATGGATTTTTCTGCTTGCTTTTCTTTTCCATTTGTGCAAAATATATTTTTTCCATCCTTTTAGTTTAAGGTTGAATGTGTCTTTAGTTGGTAAGTGGGTTTCTTTTATATAGAAGATGGTTGAGTTGTCTTTTTAAAATCTGATTTGTCACCATGTATCTTTTAAGCAGGGCCTTTAGGCCATTTATATTCAAGGTTAATATTGATATGTGAGATTTTGATCCTGACATAGTATTGTTAGCTAACTGTTTTGGAGTTTCAATTGTATAGTTGCTTTCTAGGATCTGGGAGCTTTGTATTTATATATCCTTTTTCTGATTATTAGTATCATCCTTTTGTTTCCATATTTAGAGCTCTTCTGAGCATTTCTTCTAAGACCAGTCTAGTGGTGACAAATTATCTTAGCTAATGCTTGTCTGGGAAAGACTTTATTTCTCCTTCATTTATGAAGTTTAGTGGCATGATATAAAATTCTTGGATAATTTTTTTTCTTTATGGAGGCTAAAAATAGGTCCTTAATATGTTTTGGCTTGTAGGGCTTCTGCTGAGAAATTTGCTTTTAGTATGATCAGTTTTTCCTTGAAGGTAACTTGTTCCTTTTTCCTAGCTGCCTTTAAGATTTGTTCTTTAGCATTGACCTTGGATAGTCTAGTGACTATATGCCTTGGTGATGTTCATTTTATATGGTATTTTGCAAGTGTTCTCTGTATTTCTTTTCTTTTCTTTTTTTCTTTTTCTTTCCTTCTTTCTTTCTTTTTTTTTTTTTTTTTTGACAGAGTCTTACTCTGTCACCCAGGCTGGAGTGCAGTGGTGCAATCTCGGCTCACTGTTACCTCCATCTCCTGGGTTCAAGCAATTCTCCTGCCTCAGTCTCCCAAGTAGCTGGGATTACAGGCACACACCACCATGCCCAGCTAATTTTTGTATTTTAGTGCAGATGGGGTTTCACCATGTTGACCAGGCTGACCTCGAACTCCTGACCTCAAGTGATCTGCCTGCCTCGGCCTCCCAAAGTGCTGGGATTACAGGCATGAGCCACTGCATCCAGCCTCTCTGTATTTCGTTATCTGGATGTCTACCTCTTTAGCAAGATTAGGACATTTTCTTAAATTATTTCTTCAAATATGTTTTCCACATTGTTTACTTTTTCTTCTTCTCTCTCAGGAAGGCCAATAATTTGTAGGCTTGGTCACTTTACATAATCCCATATTTCTTGAAGGCTTTGTTCATTTTTCTAAATTTCTTTTTCTTTATTGTTGTCTGACAGAGTTAGTTCAAAAGATCAGTCTTTATACCCTAAAATTCTTTCTTCTGCTTGGTCTAGTCTATTGATAAAGCTTTTACTTGTATTTTGCAATTCCTTTAGTGTTTTTTTTAACTCCACTAGTTCTGGTTAATTTTTTTAAAAATTCTTATCCTTTTTTTAATTTCCTGGATTGCTTTAGTATTTGGTTAGTGTTGATTTTCAACCTTTTCTTGGATCTTTTTAAGTTTCCTTGTAATTCATACTTTGAATTCTTTATCTGTCATTTCTGAGTATCCATTTTCATTAGGGCCCATTGCTGGAGAGCTATTGTGGTCCCTTGGTGGTGTCACAACATTCAGATTTTTTATGGTGCCAGAATTTTTACACTGGTTCCTTCTCATCAGGAGAGACTGCCACTTCTGATTTTTAAATTTATTTTCATATAGATAAGATTTTTTTTCTTGCCCTATTTTTCTCTCTCTCCTTTCCCCCCACCTCCCTGCAGGGTGAGACTGTAGAATATGTTGTGTGAGGTCTTTTGGCTTTGCTTCTATAGCCCTATGCACTTCTGTTGGCTCATTTTATATTGGGTTGTGCAGTTTGACCTATAGGAGCTTACAGGTAAGAGACAGCTGTGGCACAAACAAAAGAGTACATATTTATGTTAGTCCATTTTCACATTACTATAAATAACTATCATAGACAGAGTAACTTATGAAGAAAAGAGGTTTAATTGACTCACAGTTCTGCAGGCTTAACAGGAAGAATGGGAGATCTCAGGAAACTTACAATCATGACAGAAGGCAAAGGGGAAGCAAGGACCTTCTTCATATGGTAGCAGGTGAGAGACAGAGAAAGAGAGAGAGAGAGGAGGGATATGCTGTAACCAACCAATGGGTTCATGTTGCCTGCTGCCTAGACACAGCCAATTTCTGAAGACAGGGGAATTGCAATAGAGAAGGAGTAATTCATGCAGAGTTAGTTGTGTGGGAGACTGGAGTTTTATTATTACTCAAATCAGTCTCCCCAGGCATTCAGGGAGCAGAGTTTTTAAGGGCAACTTAGTGGATTGAGGGGAGTCAGTGATCCAGGAGTGCTGACCCGTTCAGTATAAAATCATAGTGAGTCGAAGCTGTCTTCTTACACTGAGTCAGTTCCTGGGTGAGGGCCACAAGATCAGATGAGCCAGTTTATCAATCCAGGTGGTGCCAGCTGATCTATCAAGTGCAGGGTCTGCAAAATATCTCAAGCAATGACCTTAGGAACAGTTTAGGGAGGGTCAGAAACTTGTAGCCTCCAGCTGCATAACTCCTAAACCTCCAATTTTTAATCTTGTGTCCTACAAAGGCAATCTAGTCCCCGGCCAAGAAGGTCTAATCTGGGAGAGGACTGTTATCATCTTTGTTTTAAACTATAAACTGCAAACTAGTTTCTCCAAAAGTTAGCTCTGCCTATGCCCAGGAATGAACAAGGACATTTTGGAGGTTAGAAGCAAGATGCAGTCAGTTAAGTTAGATCTCTTTCACTGTCTAAGTCACAATTTTGCAATGGCAGTTTCAATGCCACACTTTTAAACCATCAGATCTTGTGAGAACTCACTCACTATCATGAGAACAACATGGGGGAAATCTGCCCCCATGATTGAATCACCTCCCACCTGGTCCCTCCCCTGACACATGGGGATTATAATTTGACATGAGATTTGGGTGGGGACACAGAGCAAAACCACATCAGTACTTGATCTTCATTTATTGTGAGGTGCTCTGTGTTGTTTCTAGTGACAGGCTAGACAGTGGAGGGCTAGGCACCCTGAGCTTTCTTTTCCATGGGGTCAGGGGCCACACCTTGGCAGAGCTGGACCCCCCTGCTTGCCCACAAATACACCAATGGCAATTATGGGCACCAGCCCTGGTGAAGGTGGCTGAGGGGAGCTTCTGATAAAATGCTCTGTCTGTGTGGGGGCTGAGGGGGATTGCACCATCTCCATGTCCTAGATAGAAGGAACATTATCTGTTTCCCTATCATGCCCTTTCCTGGGGCTTGTGATTCCCAGTTCAGATGCACACTGTAGTCTATCCCCAGAATACAATGTGGTGGAGAGCCATGGGAAATACCTATCTTGTAACTCTCTATGGGAGTGGTTTGGGGGTGGAACTTCTTCACTCTGCCCAATACAGATAGCTTTATGGCTCACCTGTTCTCTTATATAGTAATGCTGCTGCTTCATGGGGATGGGGCAGGGCTCCACCTTTGGGCACATGTGGGTGGGTGTTGGTTGTGGTGATGTTGACTGGTTGGATCAGCCTGACCTCAGACCCTGGGGAAATGGTCAGGTGCCAGTAGTGTTGGAATGGGCTAAGTAATTCCCTAGTTCCCAGGCCTCTAGGTGGCCCACTGGATAGTGTGTACGAGTCCTGAAGGGGCTGGACCTAAGTCAGGTTAACCCAGAGTTCAGGTGCTGGCTGTGATGGGGAGAGGCAGGCTAGTCCCTTGATCACTGGCAGAACTCTCAGGTGAGGGCAGGTGGAACCTTTAGGCAGTGGAAGCCCAAGGGAAGATCATGTGCCTGTGGGGTTGGGTTTTCTGAAGTGATCTGGGCCACAGCTGAAATGCTCAGGAGGGGTGGGCATCTGTGCTGTGGGCATTTCACTGGTGAGGGCAGGATTCTTCAGCTGGGACAATGGAGATCGGCAGCTGTGGGGAGCATGGCACACTTGCATTTTCCTCTCACACAAGTGGCACTGGATTTCACTGTTAGGGACAAGCAAAAGTGCCAAACCTCCTTGATCCCATGCTGGCCTAGGGGTGGAAGAGGTGGAGGCAGTGGTAGGGGTGAAGGCAGTGGTAGTGACAACTGTGAAAAGCTTGTTGCTGACCTCAGAGGAACTGAGGGCTTTCAGAGGAACTGAGATGTGGCCTTAGTGTTCAGGTGGGGGCAGGGTGGGTGTGTTGGGGGCTGGAAGCCAGTGAGTCCTATTCTCCAGGGAGCAGCAGAGGCAGGGGTTTATGGACCATGCAGCAGCCCACTGCTCATCCATATCTCAGCTGTGCTGTTCATGCTGGAGGTGTAGGAAGGTACTCTGCTTCCTTGTTCCCTCCTTGACCTGGGGTTGGTAGAGACAGAGGCAGTAGTGATCACAAAAGGCCTGCCAACCACCTGTGAGAACTCCTGTGGGAGTTATGTAATCAGGAACAGAGAGCTGTGGCTACAGTGATCAGGTGTGGGTGGGGTGGGTGTGCTGGAGGCTGGAAGGTGGAAACCCCATTTGGCAGAGAGCAGTGGAGGCAGCAAGTTGTTGGGGCATAGTATGCCCACTGCTTCTTTACATCTCCATTATGGTGTCTAGTGCTAGAGGTCTGCAAATGTGCCCTACCTCCTTGATCCCCCCATAGGGGGTGGGGAAAGTGCCAGCAGAGATTGTAAAAGGCTTGTCAGCTACCTCTGGGAGTTTTGCTCCCAGAGGAATGCAGAGATGTGACCACAGTGTTCAAGTGGGGGCGGGGCAGCTGTGCTGGGGGCCTAAACCTGTGAGCACCCCCTGGTGAGAAGCAGTGGAGGGGAAGTGTCACATGGTATGCAGTCTCGCTGCTCCTCAGTACCTGGGCTATAACATCTATCCAATGGACATGCAAAAGTACCTTGCTTCCCTTCTTGGCAGGGCAGTGGCAGCTGGCACCAGGCTGTTCAGGGATCAAAGGCCAGTGAAATTCCATGTGGGCTTGAGCAGTGACTCTGCATAGACTCCAGGTGGCTCTCTGTGTTGGTCTGGAGGGTGGGGTAAGGGTGTATAGGGGACTTTCCTGTGCTCAGGATTACAAATGTCAATGGCAGAAGTGTGGATCCCCAGGGGACTCTCACTCACTCACTCTTTTCCTTTGTTAGGGAGATTCCCCCAGCTCTGCATGGTCCTGGGTGGGCAGTTACTTGGCTTCATGGCTTCACTCCTCTCTGTTCTCCATGTGTCCACTTGCTTCTCTGGTGAATCTCAGCAAGATCTCTTAGGTGATCCTAAGACTTAGTATTCACTTGCCACTTTGTTTATTCTCCATGAGATGGAATGCACTAGGTGCTTCTAGTCAGCCATCTTGAACCAGAACCTCCTTTAATTCCAAAACACGTTTTTCTTTAGTTATTTCAATATATTTTAGTATTTACTTTGAAGTGTTTGTTTGATAAATCTGTCATTTGTGACATTTTATCAATAATTTCTATCGATTATTTTTCTTCCTGTGTCTGAGTCAGTTTCCTTTTTTGGGCGGGTGGGACATTGTGGAGGCCTGTCCTGCAGATCTTGACTCAGTGATGGATGAATAACGTACACTGGCACAGATATTCTGCTTTGCCAGTCCGGCTGAGTGTCCGGGCCACTTACAGACTCCAAGAAGAGTGCTGTAAAGAGTCAGCAGCCAGCAAGACTTGCATTTATTTAGTAAAGATTAATTGACAAAGGCTTGAGTCAACACCACTAGAGGGTAATTGACATTGCAGACTTCTCAAGTAGAAAGGAATTAAGCACCCATGGTAGAACAAGTGTTAGTCTTAGGACCACATGAGTAAACAAGCTAGTTAGACAAAATCCCCCACATTCCCTTGTATTTACTTTTGTTTATCTAATTAAAGGTAAAGGGACTAGGCTGCCTTCAGCCAGATCTGTTACCAAAGTTTTGCAAACTCTCAGACCTTTCAAGAGGGTTTGTAGCTATTATAACTAAAATTTTTCCCACCAGCCTGACTGAATCCTCACAGGACATCTCTTTTTTGTTGTTTAAAGTTATACATTTTAGACAATATATTATAGCAACTCCTGATTCTTTTCTCTTTCTCTCTGAGAAGTTATTGTTGCTGCTATTACTGTTTGTATTATTTTTATTTGTTTAGTGACCTAACAAGGCTAATTCTGTAAAATCTGTTTCCCTGAAATATACGGCTGCCAGTGACTCTGTTAGGGTTTTTCTTGTTGCTAGTTCTTCTTCTTATATTTAATCTTGGTGTACTAGAGGTCACTTCTGGTTGAACATGGTTAATGGTCACTCAATGATTAGAGAGGTTATGCTGCATTATCTTGAGCCACTCAGTTTTTCATCTTTTGTCAATGACAGGCAGTTTAGAAGTTGTTCCAGCTTTTACTTTCATCCACACATCCTTGTGTCTATGCTGCTTATGTGCAAGGCTTTGTATTCATCCAGGGACAAGTAGATACTTATGGGTTTCCCTGACTTCTGAGCATTCATGCAGTCTTGTGCATGTGCATAACTGTTTGAACTTTCAGGGATATGTGGAAACTTATCAAGGCTCAGCATCACTATTTCATTTCTCCAACCTCTCTAGTAAATATCTCATAAGTGTGCCAGTTTCCTGCTTGTTCTATCCAATATGTCAATATTAGGCTAACCCCAATGCTGAATTTCATGACATTTTGACACTAAGATCATTATTATTTTAGACAATACCCCAGGCATGTGCTTTTCTGTTTCCAGCTCTAAATTACATCAGCCACCTCTGGCAGAAAAGCAGCTGACTTCCACCACTTTCCCCACCCTGCTGGAACTATTATGCTGAAGGAGTTTGTTGGGGTAGTGATAATGCAAGAAGCCATAGGCTAAGATAAGATACTGCTGTTCTTATCTGATATTCATTAGGTTTTCACAAATACAGGTTTCCCTTTCTTTTTGTCTTAATGTCAATTTGGACAGCCATCACAAAGTAGCATAGACTAGGTGGTTTATAAGCAACAGAAATTATTTCTCATAGTTTTGAAGGCTGGAAGCCTGAGATCAGACTGCCAGTCTGGATGGGTTCTGGTGAGTGCCCTCTTTCAGGTTGCAAGCCATCAACTTCTCCTTATATCCTCATGTGGCAGAAAGAGAGCTAGAAATCTCTCTAAAGTATTTTTTACAAAGGCACTGATCCCATCCATGAGGGGTCCACCCTCATGACCTGATTTATCTCCAAAAGTCTCCATTTCCTAATACCACCTCATTGGAGGTTAGGATTTCAACATATAGATTGTAGGTTGGTAGGGGGGACACAAACATTCAGTTCCTAACAGTCAATATCCAGGATTCTGAAATAGTTGTTTCCAACCACTTTTTTTTTCCAGTTTATTATTACTTTTGTTAGGAAAGACTTGATTGAATTCCTTACTCTTTCATTTCAAAATTAGGTCTTGCCTTTCTATAAATTATGTACACTCCAGATGGAGGCACACTTCAAAGATAAAAATCTTAAAATGGTACTTCCTTTAATAATGCAATGTTTCTCCCTCTGGATGGCTTTCTCTATTATTAAGATAAATTCCAAATTATGTAATTTTTTTTTTTTAAGATTTTAACCTTTTTTTTTCTCTTTTTTTTTTAATTATACTTTAAGTTTTAGGGTACATGTGCACATTGTGCAGGTTAGTTACCTATGTATACATGTGCCATGCTGGTGCGCTGCACCCACTAACTCATCATCTAGCATTAGGTATATCTCCCGATGCTATCCCTCCCCCCTCCCCCCACCCCACAACAGTCCCCAGAGTGTGATATTCCCCTTCTTGTGTCCATGTGATCTCATTGTTCAATTCCCACCTATGAGTGAGAATATGCGGTGTTTGGTTTTTTGTTCTTGCGATAGTTTACTGAGAATGATGATTTCCAATTTCATCCATGTCCCTATAAAGGACATGAACTCATCATTTTTTATGGCTGCATAGTATTCCATGGTGTATATGTGCCACATTTTCTTAATCCAGTCTATCATTGTTGGACATTTGGGTTGGTTCCAAGTCTTTGCTATTGTGAATAATGCCGCAATAAACATACGTGTGCATGTGTCTTTATAGCAACATGATTTATAGTCCTTTGGGTATATATGTAATATTTTTAAGCTAGATAAATCTTATGTACTCTAGATTTAAGCTATATTTGTTCTAGTTTTTAAACTTTGCACCTCTCACCAAATAACTTTTACCTCTTGACATACAGATACTGTTTTTTTTTTTCCCTCTGCTTAAAACTTCCTTGTCTAGAAACATAATCATACATTTAACCTGGCTAAATCTGACTCTCTTTATGTATAAGCAGAGACCTTCCACACATTTTTAAAATATAATAAAACCTTCCATACCACCCTCTACTTCCCCTATGAAAAAAAACAAGTATAATTTTACTTTAATTATTTGTCAAGGTATGTGCTTTCTGCCTTAGAATATAAATTCTATAAAGTCAGGACCTGCTATCTTGTACCTCAATGAATTTCCAACTCCTAGTTTAGTATATGTAAACTAGAGTTCCTTGATCATTCAATGAAGAAATGCAGTTATGTGCTGTTACAAAGTGATTTCAAATTAACCAGGCATTGAACACAAAAAGCTTGTAACAGGACAAGTAAGCCATGACAGAAGGCATAATTGTAGTTAAGAATAAAAGTTATTTTTTAAGCTTCCTAATTTGAACGTTTAAAATATATACAAAAGATGATAATGTGCTCACATGCTCCCATCTGTGTATTTATACCCAGGTTTCATAGTTATCAACATATGTCTAGTCTTTTCTTTTTTCCTATGGTTTCAAGTAAAATTGCTAAGTACAAGGGTCAATTGCACACATATTTTGTAGACATTGCCAAATACACTTCCTTTTTATTGCATTCTCATTTATATGAGAGTACCTCATATATATGAGTACCTCATAGACTTCTCAAGAGAGTACATTGAAATTTTAGATTTTTGTCAATGTAATATATGAAAAATTATATTTCAGTGTAGTTCTACTTTTAAACCAGAAGTTCTTAAAATTCCCCATCAAAACCCTCACAAAATTGCTCTTGGTTCCTGAGAAGAATGAGTAAGAGGATTGGCATGGTGAAGAAAGACTCTCTGTTCAGGCTTTCCTGTGCATTTTGCTGCTAAAGCATGGCTTTCTCAAAACACTGTTATAATAAACAGATGTTACCATTCTTTGCCCCCCCCCCTCAGAAAGTCAACAAACAAAATTCCTTGAGAATCCAAAAATTCTGTTGCCATAACCTTTGTTTTTGACTGGACAACTTTGATTGTACCAATACTATCTCTTGGTAGTCATTCTTTTGATTGTGCTGTGTCTTTGGGATCATACTGGTAAAGCCATGTTTCATGTTCTGTTACAATTCTTCAAAGAAATATTTCAGGATCTTGATCCCACTTGATATAGTTTGGATGTTTGTCCCCTCCAAATCTCATGTCTAAATGTGATTTCCAATGTTGGAGGTAGGGCTTGGTTGGAGGTGATTGAATCAGGAGGTGAGTCCCTCATGAATGTCTTAGTAGCATCCCCTTGATGATAAGTGAGTTTTCGTTCAGTGAGATCTGGTTGTTTAAGAATCTGAGACTCCTCTTTCTCTTTCTTGCTCCTGTTTTTGCCATGTGATGCACTTTCTCCCCACTTGTCCTCTGTCATGATTGTAAGCTCCTGAGGCCCTCATCAGAAGCAGATGCTGGCACCATTCTTCCTACCAGTTAAGGAACTGTGATCAATTAAGCCCCTTTTCTTTATAAATTACCCAGTCTCAGGTATTTCCTTATAGCAATTCAAGAATGACCTAATACAAAATTGGTAATGAGGAGTGGGACGTTGCTATAAGGATACTTGAAAATGTAGAAGTAGCTTTGGAACTGGATAATGGGCAAAGTTTGAAAAAGTTTGGAGGGCTCTGAAGAAGACAGGAAGATGAAGGAAAGTTTGGAACTTCTTAGAGACTGGTTAAATAGTTGTGACCAAGATACTAATAGAAATATGGACAGTGAAGACCACACTGATGAGGTCTCAGATAGAAATGAGAGTTTTGGGGAACTGGAGTAAAGGTCACTCATGTTACACCATAGCAAAGAACTTGTTTGCATTGTGTTCATGTTCTAGGGATCTGTGGAAGTTTTAACTTAAGAGTGATTACTTAGGGTATCTAATGGAAGAAATTTCTAAGTAGTAAAACATTCAAGATGTGGCCTGGTTGCTTATAACAGCCTATGGTCAGATATGAGAAAAAAGAAATAAATTTAGATGTATTTAAAAGGGAAGCAGAGTGTAAAACTCTGAAATATTTTTAGCCTGGACATGTGGCAGAGAAAGAATCCAATCCAAGCAGGCTGTAGGGCAATCACTTGCTAGAGAGACTAGCATGACTAAAGGGCAGCCAAGTGCCAATACTCAAGACAATGGGAAAAAGGCTCCAAATGTATTTATTTCAGAGATCTTGGAGACAGCCCCTCCCATCATAGGGACAGAGGCTTAGGAGGAAAGAACGATTTCAGGGGCCAGGCCCAAGATGGCACTGCTCTGCTCAGCCTCAAGACACTGCTCCCACATTCCGGCTGCTTCAGTTCCAGCCGCAGTTCAAAGGGTCCCAGGTACAGCTTGGGCTGCTCCTTCACAGGGTGCAAGCTGTAATCCTTGGTGCCTTCTATGTGGTGTTAATCCTGCATGTACACAGAAGAATACTGTGGCAAGGGTGAAAAAGGTTTGGCAGCTTCCACCTGTGTTTCAGGGGGTATATGAGGAAGCCTCTATTCCCAGGCAGAAGCTTGCCACAGGGGAGGAGACTTCACAGGGAACCTTTACCGGGGCAATGCTGAGGGGGCAATGTGGGGTTGGAGTCCCCACACAGAGTCCCCACTGGGGCACTGCCTAGTGGAGCTGTGGGAGGGGGGACACCACTCTCTAGACCCCAGAATGGTCAATTCACCTGCAGCTTGCACACTGTGCCTGGAAAAACCACAGGCACTTAACTCCAACTTGTGAGAGCAGCCATGGGGACTGCAACCTGCAAGGCTACATAGGCAGAGTTTCTCAAGGCCTTAAGAGTCCACCCTTTGCATCAATATGTTCTGGATGTGGGAAATGGAGTCAAAGGAGATTATTTTGGAGCTTTCATATTTAATGACTGCCCTGCTGGTTTTCAGACTTGCATGGGACCTATTATCCTTTTCTTTTAGCCAATTTTTCTCTTTCAGAATAGTAATGTTTACCTAATGCTTGTACTACTATTAGAGCTTGGGAGTAAATAACTTCTTTTGATTTTAGAGGCTCATAGGTGAAAGGAGATGAGTCTCAGATGAGACTTAAGACTTTGGATTTGATATTGGAACGAGTTAAGACGTTGGGGGACTGTTAGTAAGAGATGATTATTTTGTGATGTGAAAAAGACATGAGATTGGGAGGGCCAGGGGTAGAATGATATGGTTTACATATTTTTCCCCCCCAGATCTCATGTCGAAATGTGATCCCCAGTGTCGGAGGTGGTGCTTGGTGGGAGGTGTTTAGATCATGGGGGCGGGTCCCTTATGCATGGCTTTAGCACCATCCATTTGGTAATGAGTCGGTTCCCACGAGAACTGGTTGTTCAAAAGCATGTGGCATCTTCCTGCTCCCCTTGCTTCTGCTCTCACAATGCGATGTGCCTGCTTCCCCTTTACCTTTTGCCGTGGTTGTAAGCTTCCTGAAGTTCTTACTAGAAGCTGAGCAGATGCTTATGCTATGTTTGTACAGCCTGCAGAACCATGAGCCAATTAAACTTCTTTTTAAAATTAATTACCCAGTCTCAGGTATTGCTTTACAGTAATGCAATAACCTACTAATATATACTTGTTTAAAATTGCCATTGAAAGCTCTGCTCTCATCTGCAGCTGATCTGGGCACAATGGTTTTGACACCCATTGGGCAATATGATTGCTCAACTTTAATTTTTCAGTCGGAGTTGTGTAAGCTGAACCACTTGAGATGCTTACAGTGTTGACTATTGTTTGTGCGGTTAATAATCAGTCCACTTCAATTAGGGCTGAACAACATGAATTTTTTGCTCACAAATTGATATGGATGGTCTGCCATTGCGGGCGTCTTCTTCAACATCATCTAATTCCTTCTTGAAACAAGTTATCCATTTGCAAATACTTGATTTCTTTGGGCCATTGTACCTATAAGTTTTTAGTAAAGTTTCAATTATTTCACCATTCTTCCATTTTAGCTTCATCATAAATTTGATGTGTATTTTTGCTTCAATTTTAGCAGAATTCTTGTTGCTCTCATAGGACTTCTTTTCAAATTGATGTCTTATCCTTCTTAGTGCCTCAAACTAGATCCTGTTCAGATATATTATAAAAAAGTTATTATTAATTTATTTTGGTGCAAAAATTTGAAATACATCCATAGTCATTTTATATTTATTTTACATGAATCTTTTGAAGACCCTTCATATACATACAATGAAATACTATTCATCCTTAAAAAAGAAGAAAATACTGTCATTTGAAAAAACATGGATGAAACTGGAGGGCATTATGTTAAGTAAAATAAAGTAGGCACAAAATGACAAACACTGCATGATTTCACTTATATATGAACTGTAAAATTTGAACTCAGAGTAACGAAGTAAAATGGTGGTCACCAGAGGATGGGGGGGTGGGACAATTGGGGAGATGTTGGTCAAAGAACATAAAATTTAACTAGACAGGAGGACTATATTTAAGAGATCCATTATACTTCATAGTGACTACCGTTAATGACAGTATATTGCATATTTGAAAATTTCTAAGAAAGTAGATTTTAAGTGGTACTCATCATAGAAAACAAATGCTAAGTATGTGAGGTAATGCCCGTGATAAATAGCTTGATTTAGCCATTATGCATTGTACACAAATATCAAAACATCATGTTGTACAATAAAAATATATAGAATTTTTATTTGTCAATTAAAAAATAAGTTCTTGAAATAAAAAAACACAAATAATCTAGTGCAGCTCCTTGTGAAATCAAAAATATGGCTCTTGGAAAAGCAAAAATAACAGAAGAATAAGAAAAAAGAAAAGATCAGTACTGATGAAAATTAAAGTTAAAAAGAGACTGTACAATTAATTATTATAGATCAGAAAAGTGTTCATAAATTTATATGTTTAGGAAGCTAAACAACTTAAATAATGTAAAAGCATAAGACAACATTCATTGACATGAATTTTTAATTTTTTCAGAAATCATACATTGTCAAATTTTCTAAGGAGGAGAAAATTCAAGCTGTAATCATCATGGATTACATTAAAAGAAGCTAAAAGTATCATCCTATAAAACTCACAAGCTCTCAAAGACTTGGAACCAACCCAAATGTCCATCAATGATAGACTGGATTAAGAAAATGTGGCACATATACACCATGGAATACTATGCAGCCATAATAAAGGATGAGTTCATGTCCTTTGTAGGGACATGGATGAAGCTGGAAACCATTATTCTCAGCAAACTATTGCAAGGACAAAAAACCAAACATCACATGTTCCCACTCATAGGTGGGAATTGAACGAGAACACTTGGACACAGGAAGGGGAACATCACACACGGAGGCCTGTTGTGAGGTGGGGGGAGGGGGGAGGGATAGCATTAGGAGATATACCTAATGTAAATGATGAGTTAATGGGTGCAGCACACCAACATGGCACATGTATACATATGTAACAAACTTGCACGTTGTGCACATGTACCCTAGAACTTAAAGTATAATAATAATAATTAAAAAAAACTCGCAAGCTACATTCATGTTTATGTACAATCTTTCCCAAACCATCAAAGTACAGATAATGCTAGGATATAGAAACACTTTTCTGAGCAACCCCACTAATTTTGTGAGCCTATCATTGTCTTACTACCAAAATAGGAAGTGGATAGCCCAACAAGTTAAAACTACTATAATTGTAAACCTATACGAAAAATCCTAAATAAATAATTAGCACATCAAACCAAAGTTATAATATTCTCATATAACACACCATAATTAAGTGGAGTGTATGCTAAGAATACAAATATGTTTCTATGGGATATCCTATCAATAATTTTTAACATTTAAAATTAAAACAGGAATTCATTTAACATTCGTATTGCAGTGCATCAGCTGTTCTTTGCTGAGTTTCTTCTCACTGATGTGTGGAATATCACTGAAGATTCAGTTCAATTCAATTCTTCGTATAGTGTCGCAGAAATCTCTCCATGTAAAACTCTTCCTAAATCTATTAGAAACATAGTGCGTGTAATTGGTTATAAGTAAGACAAGGGAAAGAGCTCTGGAGTTGAAAGAAAGTTGAAAGTGGTTTGGCTGTCTGGACTTGAACCCTTTTCCCTATTCAACAAGCCAGCAAATATTTAATGGCAAGGAATCATCATGGGACACATTCATACTCCCGTGGTTCCTGTTCAATCCCAAGTCCTAAATGAAATAGATAAATGATAAAATGGGAAAAGGGTGAAATAGAGTGTCAAGAAGAGGAGGTTTACCTAAGTCAATATTTATGATAGTTATAACACCTTAACTCTAAAGTATGTGCACATTTGGTGCAGGTCCCCTTCAAGAACATTTGATCTGAAAGAAGCCAAAACTTGTTTGAACTTTCTCAAAATCTGTAGATAATTGAATCAGGTAAGTCTTTTTTTAAAAAAAAATTTATGTCGACAACTTGCTTGATCCAATTGCTTGAGATTTTTTTTTTGGAAAATGGAAGTAAGACCTTTAACTAGAGAATGAAACTTGGAGCAATGGCTTATGATTCTTGGACTTACAGTTTTGTGCAAAGTCCTTTGACTCAACCACAAAATAATTATATCAATTTTAGTCCAGAGCATAAAATTTGAATTTGGGTATGATAGAAAATGACTTAAAGATCAATTTCTGTAATATTTGAGGGTTTTTTTGGTTCTATGGGTCTTTTTCTGAAATATTGAATAGAAAAGACTCTACAGAAGCATATTAACATCATTCTATACTCATCTCAGTTCAAACCAGCCCACTCTGACATCTAGACAAAAGTGGCATTCAGTAGAGGATATGGTGCCATTCTCTATGAGGATTTCTGGCATTTTTCAAATCTTCATTTTACGGCTATCATCACCTTATCTACTAATATTCTGTACTGACATGTGTACCATTTCAGTTTACATATTCTCATATAGTAAAATGTTAACTGCAAGGGAATTTACCTCAAACCCAAACCATTAACGTAACTTCAGAGACAATATGGATTAAGATTATCCATGATTTCCTTCATGAACCCAAGACTATCTCCTTTGAGGGCTGCATGGCCCAGATATTCTTGTTCCATGTCTTTGCTGGTGGTGAGATGGTGCTCCTTGTAGCCATGGCATATGACATATATGTAGCCATATGCAAACCTCTCCATTATGCAACCATCATGAACTTGTGCACATGTACAGGCCTAGTGGTAGGATCTTGGGTCACTGGAGTTATGCACTCCCTGAGCCAGTTAGCTTTCACTGTAAGTTTGCCCTTCTGTGGCCCAAACATAGTGGACAGTTATTATTGTGACCTTACTTTGGTCATCAAACTTGCCTGTACAGATACTTATATCCCTGAAGCGTTGATGCTTTTGGACAGTGGTCTTATGGGGGTGACTTCATTTTGCTTTTGCTGATCTCCTACACGGTCATTCTGATTACTGTGCAGCGACCTTCCTCAGCAGGTATGGCCAAGGCTCGCAGCACTCTGACTGCCCACGTGACTGTGGTGACCCTGTTCTTTGGGCCTTGTATCTTCATCTATGCCTGGCCTTTCAGCAACTTACCAGTGGATAACCTTTTGTCTGTATTCTCTACAGTTTTCACACCTATATTAAACCCCCTTATCTACACACTGAGAAACAAAGAGGTAAAATCAGCAATTCATAACCTGAAGACCCAGTATGTAACTTCCAGGCTGTCTTCCCAGCTCTCTCTCATAGGACCAGATTTGTTGAATTGAGTAGACAAGTGGGAACTTGAGACACAGACTTTGCCTTTTTCTTCTCACCATCAATGTTTTTAACAGTTAATTTGTTTGCTTGAAATTATAAATGTGTGCTCTTTGTTAAATACTTGTAAAGAAGCCTATACACAATTATGCATTCTTCAATCATACTTGCTATAGTTTTGTAGTTAATTTGCTTATATTTGCTAACTGAAATCAATGACAGAGTGTTTCACAAACTATTGCACAATTTAAAATATTTTGATAAGATAGGAAATTGTTTGATAAAAATTTAGGTGCATATTCATACTTGCTAAACTAAAAATGCTATGTTTCAATTATGGTTAAGATATTCTAAGTAATTTGTGAGATTTACCTTTAGCAGTAAAAACTAATTCCATTAACATTCTTTTCTTCATACATTCATTGTACATCAAAAAGTTCATGCTGTGTATTAAAAAGATCCATAGATTAATTAAGCATGTAAAAACTAATTTTACAAAAATTTAAGATAACACTTTTCAAATCTACTTTTATTTTGTTTTTTCCTCCTCACATACAAAATTTGAGGGATGTAAGAGATCACATTTTTTTTGAAGCTATATAAAATCACTTGATGTTACCAAGGTACCATTTATTCTTATCATTTTGTCACCAAAATTGTGTTAACATCAAAATATGACAGTTAACCAGTTTTAAGTCCATTCAACAGTTACATAACATAGCATATAAAGCTTTAGACACTTGGCAATAAAACCACATACAAAATAGAACAAGAAGCAAAAACAGTTCCTTCAGAACAATAAACACTATAATCTAAAAGCACATTATGATGCTGCCCCAGAGCTGTGGGCTGAATCTTTATGTCCCCCACCCCCTGTAGTGCTATAGTCTGAACATTTTATGTCCTTTTCACATATTGAAATTCTTACCACCAAGTTGATGGTATCAGGAAGTAAAACCTTTGAGAAGTGATTAGGTATTTAGGATGGAGCTCTCATGAATGTCATTAGTGGCCTCAGAGAGCTCCTTCTTTTTGGCATGTGAAGTTAGAGCAACTGCTGTCTGTGATCTAGGTAGTGGGTACTTACAGGCCACTTAATTTACCAATTTCTTTATCTTGAACTTCCTAGCCTCCAGAACTGAATTCCTATTGTTTATAAGCCACTCAGTTTGTGGCATTTTGTTATAACAGCCAGTATGAACTAAGACATCCAGTGTTAGGTAACACCCCAACTTCCTTCAAGGTGATTTCACTCTATTATATACTGTCCAGTCCCTTTGACACAAAATAAAAACAAAAAACATTTATCCAGTGGAGCTACCCTATTCATGTTATGCATTCACTGTGCTTTTAAACACATTGGTTTTATAAGTTGGGTGATTCATCAAACCATTGTAGTGTTGCTTCTTGCCTGGTATCAGCATTATGATCAAAGATTACTTAGAACTGCTATAGATACTCCACATGCATATTTTTTTCCATAATGTGCTAAATATTTTCAGTCTATAAATCCATGGTGAGAGGTTATCAGACTTATCTTGTGTTTTTTTAAACCCATTAACCTTGGTTCCACTTGAGGATTTAATCTAATTACTCTGCTAATTTTTACAAGAATAAAATGGTTTCCTTTGAAACCACAAATATCAGGATCCTCCATACCACTGCATGCTTAAAGTAAGGTAGCAGGAAATTTACACGCGTTATAAACTAGTCCCTTCTTTCAAAAAGTACTTCATCAGGATGGATTGTGAGATTCTTCTCTTCATCTAATACAGCTTTAGAAAATTATTAAAATCTACAAAGTACCTATTCTAGGAAGCTGAATCAGACATACTGAATACATATTTTAATGCCATCACTGACTCTGGAGAAATTTTAAGTCCTGAACTAGGAAGCTGCTGTTTTGGAACCCTATCTTTCAGCACCTGAAGCATAGTCCACATTGTGAACAAGAAGAGTGCAGCTAGGAACCCACAGAAGACTAGGTAGAAGAGCAGGAGCAAACCTCTTTTCCTCTCTCTCACTAGTGGTCCATGAAGTACTGTCTCCTGCTTGGTGACAGGTCAGTGTGCCTCTGCTGCTGCCGCCAACACTCATGTCACTAACATTCATCTATAGCCCTCTCTTCTATAGACAATCACTATGGGATGGAGAGTCTCACTTCCCAGAACATTTACTAAGTCATGACTCAGAATGGGAACAGGCGATTCTAAGAAAATGGCACCTCAGGGCCCCTCTGGCACTTGGTGATGTGCCCCAAATGTTCTTCACTGGCCAGGAGGTCAAGGAACTTCCACTCAGCCTGATTTGGGTTGAAGAATTTCTCCTTCTTTGTTATAGTGGGTGTGGGGAAAATGAGATGACTGGTGGCAGCAGCAATTCATGGGCAGTTACCCAGGGGATGGAGGTTTCAAGGATTGTGGAGGCCATGGCCCTGCTCAGGCAACAGCAGCTGAGAGTGGGAAACAGGCCAAGGATGCCTGATCTCTCCAGCACACACTCAGTCAACTGCAGATGCTTGGATATCATATTGTAAATATACTCATGTATTTTATGTGTCATATCATAAATATTTTCTTAAATACTAAAAATGCCTAATAATGAATTTGTATCATTGAGCATAAAATTTTAATCTGCTAATTTAATGAGAAAATAAATATAAATAAAACCATTGTTTTATTTTGTGTTACCTTAGTTTCTCATGAAGCTTAAAAAATATATTTTGTCAATTGCCCTAACACTTCATTCTCTATTACAGCGTTAATACTGTTTTAATTACCGTTTGTACTTTTGCCAGGTCGAAGAAGAGTAAAGCTGTTTCTATATTTGTGATTATCCTTAAACATATTTTAGGGTAAAATTCACTTTTAGTTCTGTATATTTCTATGGGTTTTGATATGGGTTTTGAAATGCATAGAGTTATATGTCCACCACTGCAGTTCCACACAGAATAGTTCCATCACCCAAACTTTCCTGGTGCTAGTCCCATATAGACAACTTCTTACCACCTCCTACACCTCTGGAAACCATGGATTTCTTTTTTTCTCTGTAGTTTTGCTTTTTTTCAGATATTCATATAATCCTGCAGTGTGTAGCTTTTTGGAATCTGGTTTCCTGCTGGCACTTTAGCAAAAGGCATGTGAAATTTATCCATGTTGTTTTGAGAGTCATCGTTTATTCCATTTATTGATGAAGAATGTATGGGTGGTTTGGAAATTAATAGTGAAGTTGCTACAGACGTCTCTGTATAAGGTTTTGTGTGAACCTAAGTTTTCATTTCTTGTGAGTAGATAGCTAGGAATGAGACGATTGAGTCGCATGGTAGTCATGTTTTTTTAAGATGGCTTTATTAAGGTATAATTGATATGCAATAAGCTGAATGTATTACAGAGCACAATTTGATGTTTTGATGTATGCCCATAAAACTATCTCTACAATCAAACTAATGAATGTATCCATGGTCCCCAAAATTTTCTCCCACCTCTCCCCAATCCACTACTTGTTCTATTGTTTTTCCTTGGTCTGGCTTCTTTAACTCAGTATATTTATTTGAATTTATCCATTTTTATATATGTATCAATATTATGTTCCCTTTATATTGCTTAGAAGTAGTTCATTGTATGGGAATACTACAGTTTATTGATTCGTTCACTGTTGATAGACATTTTTATTGTGCCTCTGTTTTGCCTATTACCAATATAGTTGCTTATTTGTATATAAGTCTTTATATGGCTATATATTTTATTTTTCCATTTTTAGGCAAATAATAAATTGGAATGTCTGCATCATATTGTAGGTGTACGTTTAACTTTTTAAAAGAAACTGAGAGACCCTTTTTTAAGTGCTTACATTATTTTATGTTCCTATATTCCCATGAAAATTTCACTTCCTCTACATATTTGCTAAACTTGTTATTATTTGTCATTTTAATTTTAGCTTCCTCACAAGTGTGGAGTTGCAACTAATTGTATTTTAAATTTACATTTCCCTAATGACTAATTATATTGAACATATCAGACATAATTTAAGTGAGACTATATTGCTAAAGGAAATGTTTTCCAGGATTATACTATCTTCCTAAACTTGTGCAATCCTAACGTCAGCCTCAAAATGTATAAGGTGCAAAATTACAAGGAACAAGAGAGAAACTTCATGACCATCATTAAAGATTTCAATAAAATCTTCACTTCATTCAGTGCTTGTAGAAATATGTAGCAGTCTGTGTCCAGTCAGGAGACAGAAACCATACAACAGATTAAATAGTTTGGTATAAAGAATGAACTATAATGGAAAAGTAACTATAAGATATAAGGAAACTCTACGTGGTGCCCTATAGCAAAAAGAAAGTACCCAAGGAACCACAATCTTAACAGAGGTTGTTAAGTTTCATTGGGAAATGAATGGTTCATCTCATTGGTGAGTAAAAAAGCTCACTGATTTGGCTAGGTCAGAGCTGGTCTCCCAACCACTGGGCAACTAATAGCCCACCTCTTATGCAAGCTGGGGAGGAGGTGATCAGAAACCAGTGGACTGGATGCACAAAGGAAATCAAGGTGCTGGTATGGGTAGAAACTCTTCCAAGTTGTGGGGGGACCCCGGTTTCTGTGTGAAAAGACTCCTGAAAGGTTATCACAAGACCACTGCCTTGAGGTTGTAGAGAGATCAGGTTTCAGGCCTGTGGCTGGGGCTGTCTCCATTCGTTTTCCTCACACCTGTGTTGCTGACCCCAGCGGAGGCCTGAACTGGTAAGAGGGATTCTTCCTCCTGCAATGTGCTTCTAGCACCTTTCTCTGAGAAAGCTAAATATTGTTCTCACTTTAAAGGGAGAAATACTTAAAGAAGACCAAAGGTAGATAAAACCACAAAGATGAGGAAAAAACAGAGAAGAAAAACTGGAAATTCTAAAAATCAGAGCACCTCTCCTCCTCCAAAGGAACACAGCTCCTCACCAGCAACGGAACAAAGCTGGATGGAGAATGACTTTGATGACTTGAGAGAAGAAGGCTTCAGACGATCAAACTACTCCGAGCTAAAGGAGGAAGTTCGAACCAATGGCAAAGAAGTTAAAAACCTTGGAAAAAAACTAGATGAATGGCTAACTGGAATAACCAATGCAGAGAAGTCCTTAAAGGACCTGATGGAGCTGAAAACCATGACACTAGAACTATGTGATGAATGCACAAGCCTCAGTAGCTGATTCAATCAACTGGAAGAAAGGGATCAGTGATTGAAGATCAAATGAATGAAATGAAGCGAGAAGAGAAGTTTAGAGAAAAAAGAATAAAAAGAAAGAAACAAAGCCTCCAAGAAATATGGGACTATGGGAAAAGACCAAATCTACGTCTGATTGGTGTACCTGGAAGTGACGGGGAGAATGGAACCAAGTTGGAAAACACTCTGCAGGATATTATGCAGGAGAACTTCCCCAACCTAGCAAGACGGGCCAATATTCAAATTCAGGAAATACAGAGAACACCGCAAAGATACTACTCGAGAAGAGCAACTCCAAGACACATAATTGTCAGATTCAACAAAGTTGAAATGAAGGAAAAAATGTTAAGGGCAGCCAGAGAGAAAGCTCGGGTTACCCACAAAGGGAAGCCCATCAGACTAACAGCGGATCTCTCAGCAGAAACTCTACAAGCCAGAAGAGAGTGAGGGCCAATATTCAACATTCTTAAAGAAAATAATTTTCAACCCAGAATTTCATATCCAGACAAACTAAGCTTCATAAGTGAAGGAGAAATAAAATACTTTACAGACAAGCAAATGCTGAGAGATTTTGTCACCACCAGGCCTGCCCTAAAAGAGCTCCTGAAGGAAGCACTAAACATGGAAAGGAAAAACCAGTACCAGGCACTGCAAAAACATGCCACATTGTAAAGACCGTCAAGGCTAGGAAGAAACTGCATCAACTAACAAGCAAAATAACCAGCTAACATCATAATGACAGGATCAAATTCACACATAATAATAGTAACCTTAAATGTAAATGGGCTAAATGCTCCAATTAAAAGACACAGACTGGCAAATTATCAACAGAATATACTTTCTTTTCAGCACCACACCACACCTATTCCAAAATTGACCACATACTTGGAAGTAAAGCACTCCTCAGCAAATGTAAAAGAACAGAAATTATAACAAACTGTCTCTCAGACCACAGTGCAATCAAACTAGAACTCAGGATTAAGAAACTCACTCAAAACTGCTCAACTACATGGAAACTGAACAACCTGCTACTGAATGACTACTGGGTACATAATGAAATGAAGACAGAAATAAAGATATTCTTTGAAACCAACAAGAACAAAGACACAACATACCAGAATCTCTGGGACACATTCAAAGCAGTGTGTAGAGGGAAATTTATAGCACTAAATGCCCACAAGAGAAAGCAGGAAAGATCTAAAATTGACACCCTAACATCACAATTAAAAGAACTAGAGAAGCAAGAGCAAACACATTCAAAAGCTAGCAGAAGGCAAGAAATAACTAAGATCAGAGCAGAACTGAAGGAAATAGAGACACAAAAAATCCTTCAAAAAATCAATGAATCCAGGAGCTAGTTTTTTGAAAAGATCAATAAAGTTGATAGTCTGCTAGCAAGACTAATAAAGAAGAAAAGAGAGAAGAATCAAATAGACGCAGTAAAAAATGCTAAAGGGGATATCACCACCGATCCCACAGAAATACAAACTACCATCGGAGAATATTATAAACACCTCTATGCAAGTAAACTAGAAAATCTAGAAGAAATGGATAAATTCCTCAACACATACACCCTCCCAAGACTAAACCAGGAAGAAGCTGATTCTTTGAATAGACCAATAACAGGCTCTGAAATTGAGGCAATAATTAATAGATTACCAACCAATAAAAGTCCAGGACCCGATGGATTCACAGCCAAATTCTACCAGAGGTACAAGGAGAAGCTGGTACCATTCCTTCTGAAACTATTCCAATCAATAGAAAAAGAGGGAATCCTCCCTAACTCATTTTATGAGGCCAGGATCATCCTGATACCAAAGCCGGGCAGAGACACAACCAAAAAAGAGAATTTTAGACCAATATCCCTGATGAACATCGATGCAAAAATCCTCAATAAAATACTGGCAAACCGAACCTAGCAGCACATCAAAAAGCTTATCCACCATGATCAAGTGGGCTTCCTCCCTGGGATGCAAGGCTGGTTCAGCATACACAAATAAATAAACATAATCCAGCATATAAACAGAACCAAAGACAAAAACCACATGATTATCTCAATAGATGCAGAAAAGGCCTTTGACAAAATTCAACAACGCTTCATGCTAAAAACTCTCAATAAATTAGGTATTGATGGGACGTATCTCAAAATAATAAGAGTTATCTATGACAAACCCACAGCCAATATCATACTGAATGGGCAAAAACTGGAAGCATTCCCTTTGAAAACTGGCACAAGACAGGGATGCCCTCTCTCAACCACTCCTATTCAACATAGTGTTGGAAGTTCTGGCAAGGGTAATCAGGCAGGAGAAAGAAATAAAGGGTATTCAATTAGGAAAAGAGGAAGTCAAATTGTCCCTGCTTGCCATGATTGTATATCTAGAAAACCCCATCAACTCAGCCCAAAATCTCCTTAAGTTGATAGGCAACTTCAGCAAAATCTCAGGATACAAAATCAATGTACAAAAATCACAAGCATTCATTCTTATACACCAATAACAGACAAACAGAGAGCCAAATCATGAGTGAACTCCCATTCACAATTGCTTCAAAGAGAATAAACTACCTAGGAATCCAACTTACAAGGGATGTGAAGGACCTCTTCAAGGAGAACTACAAACCACTGCTCAATGAAATAAAAGAGGATACAAACAAATGGAAGAACATTCCATGCTCATGGGTAGGAAGAATCAATATCGTGAAAAAGGCCATACTGCCCAAGGTGATTTATAGATTGAATGTCATCCCCATCAAGCTACCAATGACTTTCTTCACAGAATTGGAAAAAACTACTTTAAAGTTCACATGGAACCAAAAAAGAGCCCACATTGCCAAGTCAATGCTAAGCCAAAAGAACAAAGCTGGAGGCATCACGCTACCTGACTTCAAACTATACTACAAGCCTACAGTAACCAAAACAGCATGATACTGGTACCAAAACAGAGATATAGACCAATGAAACAGAACAGAGCCCTCAGAAATAATGCCGCATATCTACCTTGCTTGAATGAGAATATCTGGTGAAACATATTAATTTCCATTGGAAGATGAACCTTGGCTATTTAATACTAAATCTTAAAAGCTGCAATTGGTCACTTAGATAAATTCATGGTACTCTTACAATTTGACAAAAGAAAAAGGTACTAACCACCTGTACCCTGATAACTTATGGAAAAAATAAATAATTAATTTAAAAAAGATTAGGATGTTCATGTGTCTGTGTCTGAGCGTGCTAGGGATAACTTGTGAGAAATTATGTACAGAGATGAAGTATACTTGGGGAGACACTTGGGAAAATTATGAAAAACTCTGACTGCACCTAGGAAAATCCATCATGACACTCTTACCTATTACCTAAAGAAATTAAATAGGCATGCAAATCAAGGCTATATATTACTTTGTAGAGTAAAACTACACAAAAAAGTTATGAGAATGTTAAATACAAAACTCATGTTATAGGTCTGTAGTTATAGTATAATCCATAATTTATTTTTATTTGCACTTAAAGTATATAACAGGATTTATTTAACCCTACACAATAAAATGCAAATTTATTCTTCTTAAAGCATCTCGTTATTTCTATAACTTTAAAAAGTTGGTAACTAAAGTATGGTTTACTTCCAATATAACAGATAAACTATTTTCTCTATGCTTCAACTCAAACCAGTTATGTCATTCTTTTTGCATTAGCTGGTTGATTGTTGGCACTTGTTTTTATTACTTAATTAGGACATTGTATTACCAATTAGATGAAATATTTTTGCTCCATGTAAAGATGGAGTTTATGTAGGTGGTATATGGTTTGCAGAGTTCTAGGCCATTCACTGGGAAGGAGTCTATGCACAGGAAAGTAAGAAGGTAAAACTATTCAGTGAAAGACAAATACAGGGTGAAATATATTTCCATTAATACTATAACACATTTATGGACAAAGTACTTTTGGCATGTCTCTCTACCAAATCCTGTGAATCATTCATAAGGAGCACAATAATTCAAGAAGTTTCAGTGTGGAAGAGAAATAATAGAGTTAGCTATCATAATAATATTTCTCTTCCACACTGGGAGTCTTACCTTATGTTTTGAGAGTCCCCAGCTAAATTGGGGTTCCATACCAGAGTGGCTAGCAATCCTGTCCTAATGAGAAATGAAAATGAGCTTGTTCTGGGTGTTTCCAGTGTGTCTTTATGGGATATGTCTTTTACCTGGTGAAAGGCTTAATGCCTAGTTGTCATGACCAGGGAGTTCCTCACACAGGAAATTTTATACTGGCAGATGCCCCTGCAGCTTTTGTCTGACCTATGTCTAGCTGATGTCTACCAGACCAGCACTCTGGAGGCTGGAAGCCTGATCTTGTGTTCTCCCAAGCATTCCAGGGAAAACTCAGCCTGGGCCAGCCCCTGATTCTTCAGGTGGGTGATGCAAATTCAATACATCACTGCAATAGAAAAAAAGTTCAATGATTTTTATTTAGCGATCAGGCAGGGAGAGTGCAATAAGTTGGGAGGGCAGTCCTTCATCTCAGTGTCATGTAGGACAGGAATGAAGAGTCAAGCAAAGGGATGGTGAGAAAGCCTGGCATTTAGCAGTACACCTGAGGGAACAGGGTATGGGTTACTTTAAGTTCACCAGAAAATGACTGAAGGGTCCATTTAAAGAAAGCTACAGGAAAGCAGGGAGCCCAGTTGGCCAGGTGGGAGAGATGCCTCTAGTTTTTATCTCTGGCCAACAGCTTGAACCATTTGAATGTACTGTAGAACTGGAAACTGTGTCAAGGGTAACTGAGCTCGGCTTCTGGTATGAGAAAGTGGAATTTGTATTCAAAATGTATGCCAAGCCAACATAATTCACTATACCTTGGGAGAAGATATAACGCATATGCAAGCAAAGTGCTACAGAAACATTAGGACATAGAAATTTCAACTTAAGCCTCTAGGAAGGCTTTTAGAGGTGGTAACATTTGTGTTGGAATAGACATCTGTGAAGGACACGAAAAAATGGATAAGGAATTGTTTATCAGCTTAATAAATGTTGAGTAGTCTGTTATTTTTTGCTAGAGAGCAGTGTATGGCATAGGTAAAAGCAGGTTCTATATTCTTGGCTCTCATGCTAAGGACATTCAATTTTATATATATATATGTGTGTATATATATATGTGTATATATATGTGTGTATATATGTGTATATATATGTGTGTATATATATGTATATATATGTGTGTATATATATGTGTATATATATGTGTGTATATATATATGTATATATATATGTGTGTGTATATATATGTATATATATATGTGTGTGTATATATATGTATATATATATATATATATATATGCTTAAGGAATGATAAGATGTTTCAAGTGGAAGAGTGAGGTCCAGGAGAAAGGTAGGTTTTCCCTTACAGTTAATTCAGACAAGTTTGAAGGAAAAGAGTTGAGTTGAGTTGGGAAATTGTGAGAGCTGAGCTTTGAGATGGCTATGTATAGTCACATTCAAAAACTGTCAGAAACAGATTGGAATATTGGAATGTGGGGGCGGCGGGGGGAACAGTACTGCAAAATTAGAGATCATAATACAGAGGAAATGACTGATGCCAAGGAGATGAATGGAATGCCGAAGAAAGGGAGATAACAAGGAGCAGAAATAGATTAATAAGGACATAAAGAGATAAAGAAGAGTTCAAGAAATGCAGAGGGAAAAGGAAAAAAAATTGGAATGCCAGAGGCTAAGACCTCTTGGAATCTACTTTTAAGGGGCAGTAGCATGGATAAAGGAAGCTAACATTAAAAATTATGAAAGGAAAACCAAGAGGCATTCTGTTTAAGAATTAGCTATCATTACCAGGTCTTTGGGGACATTTGATAAAGTAGTTTTCCTGACTGTGGCAGCAAAAGGCATAGTTAAGCATGTTAAAAGTCTGAGTAGTAAAAAAGATTTGGAGAGAAACATGTAGACACTACTACACAAAATTTCTTTTTTTAAAAAAAAGAAAAATTAAGAGAAAAAACAATCAAAGATAATAGAAGAGTTTAGGAGAGTTCTTTTTCTTATTTCTTTGATGAGTGAATCCGAGCAACTGTCAGTAGATGAAAAGATTAAATGAAAAGTTAAATGAAACAGGGAGAGACTAAAAAGGCAAGCCAAAGACAACTTAACACAGTAGCACAGTGGTTCTCAACTGGGAGTCATTTTTCACCTCCTCAAGTGGACATTTTGTAATGTTTGGAGACATTTTTGTTGGCATAACTGGGGGGAAAGTGTAGCTGGCATCTAATGGGTAATGCCAGAGATGCTCCTGAACACCCTACAGTAGTCACATGACAGTCTGTTTCAACAAAGTAATTCAACCCCAAATGTCAATAATGCCAAAGTTGGGAAACTCTGGCTCAACTGATGAATGAATGCCTCATAGCAGGTGAAAAGATTAGAATCATGAGCATATATTGAGGGAATTTCCAGTTGTAACATAGTGTCAATGGCATGAGTTTTATATTCAGATCTGAAACAGGATGTTGTAATGTGGCAAGACCTGGCCTTGGAGTCAAATACCAGGGTTCAGATTCTAGTTTAATGGCTCTCCAGCTATGGAACTTCAGGGAAACTGCTTATCATCTCCGTATCTCTGACTTCTTATTGTAAGATAGAATTAGTAAGTGCATTTACCATGCAGTGTTATGGGAAGATTCAATTACTATACATTAAGAGCTCAGAACAGTGCCTAACACTTTGATGCTTAGTAAATGTTAAATATTATTTTTATTATCTGATTTCAAATCCCCACTGAGATGTTCTGACCCTTACTAGATGTCTGACCACAGATTAGTAAACATGTCTAATCTTTGTTTTTCTCTTCTGCAGTTTAGTAACCCCTTTTCCAAAGGTCTGTTGTAAAGATCACCTGATAAAACATGTATACACAGTAGATGCTATCTAGCAGCGTCTGAACAAATGCAAGCTCTCTTTGCCCTTCATTTGTAAATTTTAAAATTATGATTCATCATTCACTATATTTAAATCTGCCTCAATTTTTAGCTTAATACATTACATTCATACAATAAACATTTTCGTTAGGTAGAGTTAATCATTTTATGTAATAAATACATGAACTTGAGCAAGGACACTTTTATTTTAGAAATGGGGGAACAAAATGAGTCACACATGGCATAAAGTGATTACATCATATTTCAGAATCCTCTTAGTTATTGCCTTCTTGTATATTATAGACACTGATTTGTTGTTACTAATGCTTTAAACAATTATAATGAGTCATCTTTTTGTTTGCCGTAGTTCCAGAGTTTACAATAATGTATATCCAAAATGTGGCCCAGTGGAATGCTTCTCTGAACCTTCTTCCAATAGAGTACACAATATGATTGTTTACTGTGGGGCTTCCCGGTGTGGATTGCAACTGCATTCATCTAAATGAGAGACTAGGTCTGTAGCCTAGAGACAAAGGAAAGACTCTGGCTTCTTGTATGAAATAAATTAGCAGAAAAAGATGTTCATGTTCTCACATGGGACTAGAATTAGATCATTACTCTCTCAGGCCTCTTACTATGACTGTTGTCAACAGTTAATTGTCAGAACTAATATGGTTTCCTAAAACAGCACTTCTTTAAAGTTTTTCCAGTTCAACTGAACTAGATTTATACAGTAGGGGTATGTCTTTACAGGGTGAAAAACATACGATGCAAATTTTTAGATATTTTCAAGAGCATGAGAGGTTTATAATCATTTTTACTTCTCTATCCAGAAATTTTTTTTAAACTTCATTTTCCAGCATTAATTATAAAGATGTTTTAAGAAGATCATGGAGAACTCTAGCAGGGAGAATGTAAGTGGGCTGAAATCTAATTCTGATAGGCAAAGAAAATGAAAAATTTAGGTTCCACTCTTGGATAATCAACAGAAAATAGGATTTAGATAATTCAGGTAAGCCATAATATGTGTTTTAAGAAATTATTGGATAACTAATTGACAAACTCAGTTGGAACTATAGGCCAGTATAATATACATTCAATAGTATCTGTTTAGCAGGAATTGCCTAATTGTAAATGACTCCTGCAGGAGCACGAAGGTAAATTTCTATTAATATAGGGTGTTTAATGTATTAAGATCATATGTTGCAATACAATTACTTTGATGGTAGAATGTCATGAGTTATTCTGCTTAAACTCTAAAGTTTTCTGTAAAGTAGGTATTTTTATACCTCCCATCTTTTTTAAGGTGTGGAATTAAAGCTCAGATAAAATAATTGGCCAAAAGTTAATCTGTGTGACTTTACATCATGTAATAATAATCAAGCCATGAATATCTCTTCAAAAGTTAAGAATGTTGTATAATTGATGATGTAAGATGACCACAAGACAAGCAAATGTAAACACTTTTTGTCAACCTATGAGGCTTGTGGAGCTGGACTCTAGGTCACTCCTCTAGTCTTGTTGTCATGAGTCAGCTCCTGGGTAAGCTCATTTCCTACTGTATAAAAGACAAGGACTATCCAAAAACTCAAGGGGTTCTAATTATACTGATTAAATTATTAAGCATTATTTAGACATTTACATAAGTTCTTTCCTATTATCCACCTATCCAGACATACTATTATGGCCTCTTCAAAATTTTTGCATTCAGCAAATGCACATTATATCTGAGATCTCAGAATCCCTCACCTTAAAAGTATTCTTAATTCAAATTCTGATTCCTTTCTATTTATCCTCCTTTAGAGTTGTTTCAGAACAAGTTTGCAGCTTGGAACCATGGATAAGTCCAATTCTTCAGTGGTGTCTGAATTTGTACTGTTGGGACTCTGTAGTTCTCAAAAACTCCAGCTTTTCTATTTTTGTTTCTTCTCTGTGTTGTATACAGTCATTGTGCTGGGAAATCTTCTCATTATCCTCACAGTGACTTCTGATACCAGCCTGCACTCCCCTATGTACTTTCTCTTGGGAAACCTTTCCTTTGTTGACATTTGTCAGGCTTCTTTTGCTACCCCTAAAATGATTGCAGATTTTCTGAGTGCACACGAGACCATATCTTTCAGTGGCTGCATAGCCCAAATTTTCTTTATTCACCTTTTTACTGGAGGGGAGATGGTGCTACTTGTTTCGATGGCCTATGACAGGTATGTAGCCATATGCAAACCCTTATACTATGTGGTCATCATGAGCCGAAGGACATGCACTGTCTTGGTAATGATCTCCTGGGCTGTGAGCTTGGTGCACACATTAAGCCAGTTATCATTTACTGTGAACCTGCCTTTTTGTGGACCTAATGTAGTAGACAGCTTTTTTTGTGATCTTCCTCGAGTCACCAAACTTGCCTGCCTGGACTCTTACATCATTGAAATACTAATTGTGGTCAATAGTGGAATTCTTTCCCTAAGCACTTTCTCTCTCTTGGTCAGCTCCTACATCATTATTCTTGTTACAGTTTGGCTCAAGTCTTCAGCTGCAATGGCAAAGGCATTTTCTACGCTGGCTTCCCATATTGCAGTAGTAATATTATTCTTTGGACCTTGCATCTTCATCTATGTGTGGCCCTTTACCATCTCTCCTTTGGATAAATTTCTTGCCATATTTTACACTGTTTTCACCCCCGTCCTAAACCCCATTATTTATACACTAAGGAATAGGGATATGAAGGCTGCCGTAAGGAAAATTGTGAACCATTACCTGAGGCCAAGGAGAATTTCTGAAATGTCACTAGTAGTGAGAACTTCCTTTCATTAAGACAAAACTCCTTCAAATTCCTCAGGTCAATACACTGTTTAATATTTTAATGTATTTTTGTGGTGTATCTCAATTGTGGGGAAAGTAGTGAAGAAGATAATATAGAGAACATTTAATGAATATTAACAAGTCTTTTTCTAGGTATCAAGTGAAAGTTAAATATAAAAACATGGAAAAATCTCTGTTTAGATTACTGGTTCTAGAAATAAAATATGGGCACTAGATGGATAATATGTATGCATTTACTGCTTTTGTTACGGGGTAAATGTAAATATCAAGAAAAAAATCAATGAGAACCTAATTCTCTGGTGGGCATACATTCAAACATTTGTCAGGTTTTAAGAGTTTTCTTAACAACATGCCTAAAACTTCTATGTGGATGAATAGTATTTAAGAATCTGAAACTGAATTTTGCCAACTTCAGGGAATAGCCAAACTACAATTTAATATAACTGCTTAAGTTCAAGTGGAGATTATTAGGTTATGAGACTCCCCCCCCCAAAAATCAATTATGCCTATCCCATACGGTTTTCAAATAGCTAAAATGCTTTAAAATATGGAATGATACATACTCAGAAGCTTCCATTTTAAACCTTTCATTTAAAGGGCTGCCTCTGATTGGCTAGATAATTCCAATTTCCTTTTAGATTATGAGTTGCAGAAAAGAGAGGAGAATCTAGAAAGCTGAACTATTTCAACACCAAGATTTTCGTTTGTGCCACTTCTCTTCTTGTTCCTACAGTGCAGCTGCCAGTGGCTTATGTTCAGGCACCCAGTGGTACTCATCCTCCAGCAAGTTTTATTGCCAGCCTTGGCCTTAAATTCTCTGATCCCCATCTTCACTTCACCTTCTGTGGACTAGATCTGGTCCAGTGCAACCCAGAGAACCTCTCTCCATCTAGGGGGCCTCACTCATATTCTCTCCAAAGAGTTCTGAAACTCAACCTTGGGCAGGGCATCACCCTTCCACATTTATTTCTTCTTTGGTTTCTCTCCTTTAGGCCTATGGTATTTTTTTTTTTCAAAGTAAACTGAAGACGATTCAGATTCAGATTTAATCAGTTTTTACATGTACTCTTTTTTTTTTTACTATTGCTTTATAGTATTATGAAATATCATTGCATAAATAGATTCATGTAGTCACAACAGCCACAATAAGGACATAGACCTCTTCCGTCACTTCAAAGAAACTTTCCTGTGCTGTCTCCCCTGTGATCTTAACCCTGGCAACCAATGATCTGTTCCCCATCACTCTATTTTATTTTTTCATTTCAAGAGTGTTGTAAAATTTATCAGCTGTTCAAATGGCCTTTGTAATAATTTTTAGAAAATTTAATGTGGTTGGATTTGTGAATCATTTTTGGTATCTTTTTTTGTGTGTATGTGTCTGATTTAAGAAATCCTTCTCTCTGTCAAGATCATAAAGACATTATTTAGATTTTCTTCTGTAAATTAAAACATATATTGCTTTTTATACTTAAGAATTTCATCGCTTTGTAACTCATTTTGTACATTTTGGGAGCTAGGCATCTATTTTTATATATTTGTAAATATGTAGAAATCAGACTTGGTGTCATTTATTTAATTGTTCATTATTTCCCTCAATTTGCAATACTACCTCTCTTACATTTTCAGCTTCAGTGTATGTATGGATTTGTTACTAGACTCTATTCTGTTTCGTTAATGCATGTGTTTAGCCCTGCACCCATATTACGCTGTTTTAATTTACTACAGTTTTAAAATAAATCTTGATGTCTGATAGATTAAGTTCTCTCATCTCTTATTTTTCAGTGTCTTTGTTAGTTTATCCCCTTTATGTTCTATAAACATTTTACAACCAGCTCGTCAGATTTCTTAAAATATTATTTCAGGATTTTGTTGTAATTGCATTGGATTCATGTGTTAATTGACATACAAAGATATTTATTATATTCATTGTATATAACATATTTATTAACTTATAGAGAATGACATCTTTTACAAATAAATGTTGAAAAAGAAAAAATATGTCAACAAAAAATTACAATTATTTATGTAAAAAATGTAACTTGCAAAACAACAAATACTCTAAGCTTATGTACAAATTTAAAGATGTGCATTTAGAGAAAATTATAAAATTTAACAAAAGGTAGTAATGAAGAGTGTATTAGTAAATCAAACTTAAATAAGTGAAGATAGACACTATATTAATAAATAGAAAAACAGTATGGTAAAAGATGTCAGTTCTCTCTTAGGGTATTTTTTTAGAGTTACTTTTTATTCTCCTTGTAGTAGCTAATTCCTATTACCAGTTGCTAATTCTTTATATTAAGTATTCTCTGTTCAAATTACTCATGTGGGTTCTGTCTCCTGACTAGACTCTGACAGATACAGATACTTTTAAGTATTTTGAAGGTATCGAAAAATCAGAAGCATCTCATCAAATATGTTAATGAGAGAAATCAGGAGCCAGTTGAATAAAAAAAAGTCAGTAGCTTCATCTATTTATGCACTAAAGTGAAATTCATCTATGACATGCTTGAAAATATAAAAAATGATAGGGCTGGGTGCGGTGGCTCACGCCTGTAATCCTAGCACTTTGGGAGGCCGAAGTGGGCGGATAACCTGAGGTCAGGAATTCAAGACCAGCCTGACCAACATAGAGAAAACCCCTCTCTACTAAAAATACAAAATTAGCCGGGCATGGTGGCACATGCCTATAGTCCCAGCTACTCGGGAGGCTGAGGCAGGAGAATCGCTTGAACTTGGGAGGCGGAGGTTGTGGTGAGCCGAGATCGCGCCATTGCACTCCAGCCTGGGCAACAAGAGCAAAACTCCGTATCAAAAAAAAAAAAAAAAAAAAAAAAAAAGATAGCATTTATAAAGTGAATGCTATCATTTGGTAAACTCAAATTTATTTCTTGACTTTTTAATAATCGCCATCCTGACTGGTGTGAGATGGTATTTCATTGTGGTTTTGATTTGCATTAGATGCTGGTGAAACTGTGGAGAAATAGGAATGCTTTTACACTGTTGGTGAGAGTGTAAATTAGTTCAATCATCGTGGAAGACGGTGTAGCTATTCCTCAAAGATCTAGAGCCAGAAATACCATTTGACCCAGCAAACCCATTACTGGTTATATACCCAAAGGAATATAAATCATTCTATTCTAAAGACACATGCACATGTATGTTTATTGCAGCACTATTTCCACAAATTTTTCAAATTACTCTAGTTCCAATAAAAACAAGGGACATTCCTAATGCTAAGAGCAATGAATTTCTAATTTAATTAATTCTTATTTAAGGGAAACTATTAAAGGCACATAGCATCGTATTTCGGTTAGGATTGTGATATTATGTACTGTAGAATCCCACCTTAAATTTTGTTTAAAATATAAAAAATAGAAAAATAAATAAAAAAATAAAGCAACTATTAATATAACTTGGTAATCAACTTTTTAATACACACATTTCAAAGTAATAGGATAGTATTAAAAATTCTTTTTTTTTCCTCTGGTTTACAGATCCTATAGACTTTCCCTGCACTGCTGACAAATTGACAGAGAAATATCATTAACTGAATAAAATGGCAGAAGAAGTGAACATTTTAGTAAATGTGGAAATAACTCTAGTCAATTGAAAAAGTGTAAAGGAAAGTGTCTTGAGTTGGCTGTCAAAAACTGGGATTTGAACATTGATTATATTACTATTTTTGACATTGAACAGATTACTTAGCTTTTGATCAAGTCACCAATCTCTTCAGTCTTTTAATTTTCAGCTATTTCTCTCAGAATAAAGAAAAGAAAAAAAAAACTACCTTTTTGGTTCACACAGGCTCTGTATTATATGGCTTCTTCTTCACGATAACCCATACAATGAGTTAATTAACATATTTCTCCCTGGCTAAGCCAAACTCTACCTTATTAGGGGATTTGTTTATGGTAGATGAATATATTCCTAAATTGCTTTTGATAATCTGAATATTTTAAAAAGTAAGAAGGGATGCTACCAAACCCAGGGCAGACTTTTATTTGTTTCCTGAGATCTCACAATTTAAGCTACTTCTGCTATGCTTATGAACTAAGTTGATGAGCAGTCCTTCTGACAAGGAACAGTCCTTCAGACAATGCCCAGCACAGAAGCTGTTCGAAAGAGCTGATGTGATGCCTCAGACTTTACAGAGAGACGGTGTCATGGCTCGTGGGGAGAGTACCCCAAAAGGCCAACGGGATAAAGGATGAAGAAGCTTTAGTTCCATTGACTAAATAGAGACAACTGGCAATAGTATGAGTCAAGTTAGTCACAGGACAAGGAGGAAAGTATCAGAGGTACACTTTCCAGGAATGCAGAGTAACAGAGTCCTCCAGGAAAAAACAGAGTAGGTGATTGCAAAGGCACTTCAGGGTGGTCTTTAGAGGAACATAAAGGTGGGGTGTGGGTGGAATGGATCTGTCAGCAGAGCCAAGATCCAGTATTTCACCATAGGTGTTTTACTTTTTAAACAAATCTACATTTCATCATAAATACTTTTCCATGGAGAAGATCCTTGCCATATTATATGTTGTATTTGCAATATCTTGAAATTCAAATAGATTTAACCTCATATTGAGTACATGAAGGATATAATAAAACTACCAACATGTCAACAAAAAGTTGTAGAAAACCTCTCGTCTTTGTCTTGTGATGGAGTTCTCACCCTTAAAAAGTCACATTTCTTACACCATAACTTTCTGAACATTTATAGTTTGTTCAGCTTTTTCAAACTCTTTTACTCTCTGTCATAATATTGTCCTGAGGGAACTTAATGGTCATGATAATCTATAGAACATCATTTTAGTCACACATTGAAGGCATGCACTGATTAGACCTGTGAGTAGGAAGTGACATACAAGAAGGTTAGCAATAACCCTTAGATATTTTCAGAATTCTGCTAAATCATTTAGGTGTTGAGTCCAATACGCTAGGGCAGGCTAGACTATCCTCTCATTACATAAAATACACATTATTTTGTTTTATATTCTTTACCACTGAGAAAGAGGCACAGTTCTCTCAAGATCATTGAATGTTATAGGCAGCATAAAAACTGCTTCATAAATACTACTTTAGATCAATTTTAGGTTGATTCATAGTATTTCCAGTTTTCAGTGGGTCCCCGTACTAACTCTGGTCTTCAGTGCAAACTGCCCAGCCATTCAGGCTATGTCGACCAGAAATCCAATGAAATGGAGATATCCATGATAAATAAGGACATTGTGTAGATTATTTACAAAAGTCAATTAGATAAATAACAATACTTTTAGGATTCCAGAAAAAAAGCTCTGCAGAAGCCAACTGCTTACTATTTAAAAATAGATCTTAGTATGCTGTTGGGTCTTATCAGGGACTAAGTACCTGACCATTGATTTCCAAGTGACTGCCTACATGAAAAGCACTGCTCATCATGAACTGTTATCAGATTTATTAAATCATAATTTCTAGCTGCCACAGCAGCAAGCCATCACACATTGGAAATGGCATGTGTAGGACCACGCTGAAGCAGGTATAAAGGCACTAGGAATTGGTATGAACAGATAGTCTAAATCCCTTATCAAGTATTTCTGTGGCATTAATATATTTTCTTAAGCTCAATATTATGGCCTCATGAGAGAGTTTCTACGGATGACTTCATTCTATGCCTTGGTGCAAGCCAAAAAATGGGACTGCTGCTGCATTACTACTCACTCAGATGACCTTCATGGACACTCAGGAGGAAGAATTCTCTCATTGGCCAGAGCCATAAACATTGCACTTAGTTATCAGATTTAGATGGAGAATTGGTCATAAGTAAAAATAAACATGAATTTGTGGGCTTTGAAAAATGGCTTTGCTAGCTTGTTAGGGGTCTTGAAGATCAAAATTGAAAATTGGAGGAAAGTAGTCTGGGAGGGAAGAATGAGGATGAACGTATGTGAGTGGGCTCTAAGTGTGTAGATTTTTGTACTTTACAACAATGCCTATCAGGGACCAAAAACATGGACTCTCTTTTATCAAGGTTAGTCTCATACCACTGCTACAGCTCCTGAATGCTTGGTCTGTTGGCAGAAGGGAGTCATGCTGCAACCTTGTTATGGTGCCATTCTGCAGAAAGACCACATCCATTTGGTGGCAAATCAACTGTATCACACCCCTTCCTCTGAAGGGGGGGTAGTGATTTGTCTTTATTGGAATTCATTCCTATTCCTGATGTGAGTTTTCCCTCTCTACCTGTAGTCCTTCTCCCCAGACACAATTCCAGGGCACACAGAGTGTTTGACATATGGATATAGGATTCCACAGAGATTGTCTCTGGAATTATAGACAAAAGTATTTACAGTGAAGAAACTGGAATTTATTGAATTTACAGTGAAGAGGTGTGACAATAGAGACATATCATGGATCCATTTTTCTGGGAAGCTTCCAGCCACAAACAAGATTGGAATGACCTTTAAAAGCCTCAGATAAAAGTCTGTTGTTGAGATTATACTCACATTTTTTGAGATGGTGAACTCCAAAATGTAATATATTTGTTGAAATGACAGTTAATTTGCAATTTTGTGTCACCAGTAGCTAAAATACTCACAATCAGATAACAAGGAATAGACAAGGCATAGATTGGACTCTCTCTGCATCATTCCCATTGATCCACTTATGGATTTTGTGGTTCCTGTCCCAACAATTCTAGGATTTACTATGATCTTGCTTATTTATTTATTTTATTTATTTATTTATTTATTGCTAGTGGTTTATTGAATGTCTTGCTTCTATGGCTAGAACTATACTTCAGTTATGGAAAGCTTTTAGCCAGGATCTCTTCAGCTATTGTTTTAGTCTTGTGCTCTCTTCTTCTGTGACTTCAATTATGTTTATCTTTCTCCAATGTGTCGCTAATTCATGTCTTGTCTTTGCCACCTTTGCCAATTTAACTGACAATAGAAAGCTTTTTTTTAAAATTCCTATTTGTTTATTTTACATTTCTCTAAATAATAAATAGGGTTTTTATTTTTAATTGGGCATATTTTTTGCCTCTTAAATTAAAATGTTACCTGTTTTCTACTTTAAGTATGTTTACTAAGTATAAAATGTATGTTTCTATTTAGATTTTCATTGACAAATAATTAACATATTTTCTCCCCAAATTACTCCAAATTATGTTGACATTTTTTCAATCTGTAAGGTAAAGATGTCTTATTATTGTCATAGAGTTGCAGAGTATTTCTGTTCTTTTGAACTCCTTGTGCATCTGCTCATTTTTCTACTTATTGATATTTCTTTATTTTAATTACTAATAATATTTTGATTTACAAGGAATTAGTCTCATTGGTCATATATGTTGCACATATTTTATAGTTTGCTTTTTTATTTAATGTTGATTGTGGGTTTTTTTGATATATCAAATCTAAAAATGATTAAGTCAATCAATTCTATCCATTACATAGCCATATATTTATGGCTTCTTTAACATCATGCTTTAGAGGCCTTACCAACTCCAAGATTATAAAAAAATCTTCACGTGCTTTTTTCTAATTTTTAAAACTTAATCTTTGATCCAATTAAAATTTATTTTGCTTTTATAACTGTATGCAGATAGAAATTTACTTTTTCCCATGAATTTCATTTATATAGTAATCTACATTTCTTTAAATTATTATAAATATTATTATATAGTTTATACATATATATTTGGTTATATTTCTGGATACTATTCTGTTTCATTTATTTTTTATATATAGATATATATAATTAAAATAATATAATATGTGCATTTTATACATATCACACTCTGTGTGTGTGTGTGTGTGTGTGTGTGTGTGTGTGTGTGTGTGTGTGCGTATGGGGGGAGAGAGAGAGAGACAGAGACAGAGAGCATGGACCAAAATATTTCACCTTGGAGCTTTTCTTATTTTTTTTGGTAAAGTTACTTCTGGTTATTTTTCTCTTGCAAATATTTCTTGTCTACTGTCACACAATTTATCTCCTAGTAATCTTTGTAGGCTATTTTAATAATGGTTATTTTATGCAATCAAAAGAAATGATTTCTAATCATCCTGAGCAAAATGGAATTATTAGGAGGATTTGGCATTATCTGCATATTTGATAGTACATTTAGAGAAGCAGCCTCATAAAATGAGCAGAACCATTAGAAGCCAGACAGCACGAAAAACAGTCAAGATTATGCTTGTCTGGTAAAAACAAATGCTTGTTGACACTGGGTCTTCCCTGAATCATTGCTGCTGAAATCTAACATTATTTTACTATTGTGATAGTCCCTTAACTGTCTGTTTGTCATTGTATATCTCCCTTAAGATGCTAAATTAGGCTTTATGCTTTTGAATTTTTCTTTGTAGTCTGGATATTTTAAAACTTTAATTCATAAGTGTGTCCATTGATTTGGTTTATAAAAGTTCGAACATAATTTTACAATCTTTAACTTTTTTTCCCTCAACATTATGTTTTTAACCATACATATTCATGTACAAAATATTATTTAACAATTTTAATTATTGAATGTATTTCATCACACTAAAATATTATATTTCCCCACTCTCAAATTTATATATATATATGTACTTAGGTTTTTTCCAGTATCTCTCCTTCAGCCAGTGCTGCAATATGTGCCATTGTGCTCAAATGCTTATATATGTGAATGTTTTACTAAGGTGTACACATGCACACAGGATAGATAGGAAGATAGAAACACTAAGTAATAGGGAATCTTACCTTCAATTTTTTTACTTAAAGATGACCACTTGAAACTTACATCAGAACCTGTGGAGATCTAGAAAACTTATATAAAATATAGTTGAAAAAGACTGTTGATGTATTTTGGGAAAGAAATTTATATAGGGAATAAATGAGAGCCTCTTTAAATATTTGAAGAAACATAATACTGAAGTGCTAATAGATTTACTCTTTAAATTACAAATGGTAGAAACAGTGGAGCACAGACTGAACTGTCTTATGAAGCAGTGGGCTCCTTGTGATTGGAGGAAACACCCTGAGGCGAGGTGATAATTTTTAAGATTGTGTGATTGTTTTATTAACAGAGAGTTAGGAGTTGAATACCTGAATACTTCCTTTGCTGACTGATACTCAGTTAAAATCAAGTAATCTTTTGCTTTCATATGTATACACTAGTTGGCGAACAAACAAACAAACCTTTTTTTCTTTTCCATTTCTGGAAAATTATTTTGTAAAACATAATTACTCCCACTGGAAAGTGACCTCAGATCTCTAAAGGGTGTTTTCTTGCTTCACCAATGAAATCAGTTTTCTAGAATGAGGTTGAAAGGCTTTATATTGTATTGCCTTAAGTTATTGTAATTGCTCGGTTGAGTGCAAGGTGATCAGAGCCCTCACTACATCAGGACAGGACCTGAGGACCTGAGAGGCTTCCTTCCATACGGCATAGTGTAGGGAACCAAGTTAAAATGCATCAAGTTAAGATTATATTACAAATATTTTCAGTATGAAGACTCATAGCAGAAAGTGGGAAATGGAAACAAACCAGAGGACACCAAACTGGGAAAATAAGGAAGAAGTGAAAGACTTGGACAACTTTTTCAAAGTGTAAGTATTATACATTCATTGTGAACATATTGTTGCACTGGAGAAATAATTAATGAGATCTCTTATAGATGCAAAAACAGCAACTAGAAGATAGCAAAGTGGAAGTTATTGCTGTCTCAGACAAATTGAAAACTCCCTCTGGAAGAAGAATATTCCTGTTCTCCACTTCTCTGTCTATATCATTCTTCCACTGCACTGCTTCTGGGCAACCCTGGTAAGAAGAGGATCAGAATCTGATAAACAGAGGAACATATGTTACAACCATTATCTGTCCCTTCTCTGACCCATTTATGCTTTCTGTTCAGTGACTCTGTAGCCATTAGTTTAACAAATGTTTATTGACTACCAAAATTTGCCTCAAATGAAGAAAAGTGTAGCTATACACAGTAGAGTAATGGTCAGTAGTATATCCTTTATTGTTTGCTTCTAGGCTTATAGGTAATCAAGTATTATACATTAAAATAAAAACAAGAAAAAATTATTCATGCTTATGATTTCAGAGTTCCATTGACACATTGTATAGTAGATATTAATGCAACAGCAACCCTTTCATATCCAACTTGGCTTTACACCAAGAATAGGGAAATTTTCTTATGGTGTATTTTGGGATCTGAAAACACTCCTATCTCTGAGGTATAGTGGCAATGACAGAATGAATGATTCAATAATGAAGAAGCTTCTGGGTGCTCTGTGGACTGCTGAAGGAATGCTAACTTTTATAAACTCCATGTGTTTCCATAACTGCCTCTGCACTTAGAATTTTAGAGATGAAACTAGCTTTAGAGATAATCCAGTTCTATCTTTTAAGTTCAGTCACACAGCCAGCAAGTAGCAAATGTTATTTGTCTATACTATTGGGTAACTACCTTAATTATTAAGAAGAAAATGAGATATAATGTTGAACCTGATCTGTTCTACTTGCATTTAAAAAATCATAGGAAGTTAGTTTGGAGAGGAATTTCTAGTTGTTTCCTATATTTTGAAAAATTAAGACTAAAAACCTTATCATTTATTAGATATTGAAAAGATATAATTTGTGGGAAATTTGGATATTTTCAAAAGTATATTTTTCAAAGATAAGATGATTTTTGAAAAAGGAATAATTCCACTAACATTATTTAACAATTTTTTGTTAATCATGTTTCATTCTCTTTCTTCTTCCTTCTCCTTCTCCTTTTCCTTTTTTCTTCCTCCTCCTCCTCCTCCTCCTCTTGCTCCTTCTCTTCTCCCTCTTTCTCCCCCTTTGTCTTCTTGAGCACCCTTTTTCATCTCTTTCAATCTCCACTCCCGTGTAAATGCCTATTACGTTCCACTCTGAAATGTAACAAGTGACATCGCCATTTCACATGTTAGAAAAGGAGTTGAGAAAAGTCAAGGAACTGTTCATTCCATTAGAAATTTTAGGAGCTGAGACTAAATCCAAGACTGTCCCACTTTAGAGCCCCACCACTGTTCTATCACTCATAAGATTTAGCTTTGTTTGTCCAAAAGCATCTCCTAGTCTACTGTAGGAGTCATTACTACAAGTATACAACTTACTAGTAGTATAAACTTGGGCAATTTACTTAGCCTAAGCTTCTCTGTGCCTGAGTTCCTTCAATTATAAAATGCATATTTGAATGGTAGCTACTTTGTAAGATTATTTTGAGCATTAAATGAGTACAAATGCATGCCATATGCTTAGGGGACTGCTTAAAACATAGAAAAATGTCATTTGTGATAAGATTTGCCACTTAAATGAATCACACAGTATTTTGCACATACATCTATTATAGCAAATATTAGAAAATGTGCTTTATATAAAAATAATAATATTTATAACACTTATAAATATATATTTATAGCACTTATAAATATTATTATTTTTATATAAAGCATGTATTCTAATATTTGCTGTAATAGATGTATGTACAAAATACTGTGTGATTCATTTAAGTGGCAAATCTTATCACAAATGACATTTCAATTATGGAGTTTTTTTACTGTAATTATAATGGTTCATTATTATTACAGTATAATGAACTGGTATATATTCTATACCAATAGAAGTATAATCTAAATTTATTTGCATGCTCTGTGTAAAGGATTTTTTTTTTGCTTAATAACCTATGAAAATAAATAATTTTTTATTCCATTAAATAACTGCATTTAATAGGCTTTCCACAATGAGTCAAATGCTATAAGCAGTTCCTCATGGTGTCAAATTTTATCTTTTTAAATTCATAACTATAGCTCTTTAGGAATTTTTTTACTCTTAGGAATGGGAATATCTTTCTTTTTCAATGTTTCTTTGCTTCCTCGTTTCCCCTGCTCATGTACACACATGATTAGAGATGCCAGCATTGCCCCAAATCTTCCACATGGAAATGAGATCCCATCATGGAAACTTGTAGTTAGGTCAGTTCATGCCTCGTTGATCTGTTTACATTCTTGAGTAACTTAGGTTTCTGCATTCTTTTTTTTTTGAGATGGAGTCTCACTCCATCACCCAGGCTGGAGTGCAGTGGAATGATCTTGGCTCACTGCAACCTCCACCCCTCAGGTTCAAGCGATTCTCCTGCCTCAGCCTCCCGAGTAGCTGGGACTACAAGTGTGTGCCACCACACTAATTTTGTATTTTTAGTAGAGACGGGGTTTCACCATGATTGCCAGGCAGGTCTTGAACTCCTGACCTCGTGATCTGCCCACCTCGGCCTCCCAAAGTGCTGGGATTACAGGCATGAGCCACCATGCCCGGCCTGCATTCTTCTTAAAACCAATTCAATTCTTCATAACCAATGCAAACACGGAAAGCCCTGAAAGTGTAGGATATAGTGCTCCAACATCCAGGTTAAAACTACATAATGAAAGCTTGAAAACAGTTTAAACACTTTTTAATTTGGTTTACCATTACCTATACAATTTTAACTTTTAAAATATAAAATATTTATTATTTTGGTCATGTCTAAATAACCTGGTTCTAACAAACCACTGAAGAACATGGAGGGGTGCAGAGCTTCAGTTAGTATAAGGACAAATAAATATCTGTTGTGTACTGTTGGATACACAGAGCTAAGGTCAAAAATGTTTCCTGAACCACTTCAGGAAGGGTGTGTAGGGTTTTCTCTGTGACCAAGTGGCCACATGTATTAAGCAAAATGTCAAAAAACATTTAAGAGCAAATTTACTTACTAGTTAACTTTTCTGAGAATGTCTTATGCCTTTGAAATGAACTATATGAGATATTTCTTAAAGGACCATTCCTGAAAGGTGTTAGAGATTTTGACAAATTCAAGTTTGTCAGGTGTGTATAGAAAGATAAAACACAGTCAGAAGAAAGAGACTGAAAACATGTTGTTGGTTATTGTTTCATTTATTGTTAATTGCTTTCTATGTGACAGAAGGTGAACTTTGATTAACTATTTGTTAAAAGGTTGAAAGGAAGTGTTCTTGACCTTCAGAGAAATTTTCAGAGTGTAACCATTGGCTCTTCCTTCTCTATTATAGCAAATTGTTTCTATCATTTTCTTTTCTTTTTTCTTCTTTTAACATTTTTTTTTTTTGAGACAGAGTTTCACTCTTGTTGCCCAGGCAGGAGTGCAGTGGTGTGATCTCGGCTCACTGCAACCTCCGCCTCCCAGGTTCAAGCAATTCTCCTGCCTCAGCCTCCCAAGTAGGGGGGAATACAGGTGCCCACCACCACGCCCGGCTAATTTTTTTGTATTTTTAGTAGAGACGGGGTTTCACCATGTTGGTCAGGCTGATCTTGAACTCCTGACCTCAGGTGATCCACCTGCCTTGGCCTCTCAAAGTGCTGGGATTACAGGCATGACCCACCGTGCCTGGCCGCTTCTTTTGTTTCTTAAAATACTTCCAAGAACATTATGACTCTCAGTTCCATTTAGTCTTGTGCTTAAGGCTAATTGCATTCACGATTTGCTCCTGATCTACCATTCGTTAATTTAATTTTTATTGTTTCTTAGCACACTCTCCAGCCAGGCCACTCAACTAACAGTTTCCTGAATGAAGTACATCTTTATATTTTTACCTTTGATTCTTTATTCATGTTATTCATTTCACTTGAAATAAAAGACTTTTCCTTCACTTTTGGCTAGCAAATTTCAAACTTTAGAGAAGTTTTAGCACAAATAGAAATTATTCGAGCTAAAACTTATCTTACCACTTTGGCATAATCTCTTTAATCTTATTAACATTTATACTATTCATGTATTTCACTTATACTTTCCTGTTTCTGATTTTATATTTTCATTTCTTTAGTATGTGTAGTTTTTTCTAATTATGACAGGGATTCATATCTAATCCTCTTTTTCACACTCTTTCAACTTTCATAGCAGTCATGGATGTTAAATATTAGTCAACTGAGTATTTACATACGTAAATATATGTAACCTAATTAAATTGACTATTTCTTTTGTTTAGAATTGACTATATTTCTTTTGTTTATAAACTAGAGGTATTGTAATGCCAATCATTGTGACATTTTTCTGATTTCTTTTTTTTAGGTAACTGAATATTGGATACATGGCTCACACAAATGAATCGATGGTGTCTGAGTTTGTACTTTTGGGACTCTCTAATTCCTGGGGACTTCAACTTTTCTTTTTTGCCATCTTCTCTATAGTCTATGTGACATCAGTGCTAGGCAATGTCTTAATTATTGTCATTATTTCTTTTGACTCCCATTTGAACTCTCCTATGTACTTCTTGCTCAGTAATCTTTCTTTCATTGATATCTGTCAGTCTAACTTTGCCACCCCCAAGATGCTTGTAGACTTTTTTATTGAGCGCAAGACTATCTCCTTTGAGGGTTGCATGGCCCAGATATTCGTTCTTCACAGTTTTGTTGGGAGTGAGATGATGTTGCTTGTAGCTATGGCATATGACAGATTTATAGCCATATGTAAGCCTCTGCACTACAGTACAATTATGAACCGGAGGCTCTGTGTAATTTTTGTGTCTATTTCCTGGGCGGTGGGCGTTCTTCATTCTGTGAGCCACTTGGCTTTTACAGTGGACCTGCCATTCTGTGGTCCCAATGAGGTGGATAGCTTCTTTTGTGACCTTCCCTTGGTGATAGAGCTGGCTTGCATGGATACATATGAAATGGAAATTATGACCCTAACGAACAGTGGCCTGATATCATTGAGCTGTTTCCTGGCTTTAATTATTTCCTACACCATCATTTTGATCGGTGTCCGATGCAGGTCCTCCAGTGGGTCATCTAAGGCTCTTTCTACATTAACTGCCCACATCACAGTGGTCATTCTTTTCTTCGGGCCTTGCATTTATTTCTATATATGGCCTTTTAGCAGACTTCCTGTGGACAAATTTCTTTCTGTGTTCTACACTGTTTGTACTCCCTTGTTGAACCCCATCATCTACTCTCTGAGGAATGAAGATGTTAAAGCAGCCATGTGGAAGCTGAGAAACCGTCATGTGAACTCCTGGAAAAACTAGGGATCATTACGAAGGAGCATAATCCTGAATTAGAATGAAGACCCTCCAGTGTATCATAGTGTCATGCCAACCATCTTTGCCAGACATATGGGTTATTGAGTTACAGAATTGGCTTTTTGTTTTAAGTGCAAGGGAATTGCATCAAGTCAGTCTCTGGTTCTATTTAAATATAATGTTAACTATTTTTTCATTGTTTATAATTCAAAAGTACAAATTGTCTTGAAAATATTTAGTAATATTTTAAAATATTTTATAAAGATTTAGAGATTCCAATGTGCATAAAATGTTATTCATGTTACTAAGCTTGTGATTCTCTTCAATTGAATACATCATAAATTTAGACCTGACAATCAAAATGTACAGTCATACTGAATTTCTGATATCTTTACCCAATTTATTCATAACATTACAACATACATTGACATAGTAGAAAAAGTATCACATTTTACAACATGGATTTCACCTTACTGTTATATATTTTTAGCTTTTCTTTATCTTATGTATTATTTTAGTAATTTATAATTTGGTTATTATATATTTGTGTATTTATAGTTTTCCCTATTTACTATTTTATTCCTATTTTTTTCTGTTTTCCTTTAGATTATTTGACATAAATTTTTGCTTTTTACAAAATTTTCTAGGTATTTGGTGCCATCAACAACATATATATATATGTGTGTGTGTATATATATATATAAAATATATATAATATATATAAAAAATATATAATATATATAAAAATATATAATATATATTTGTCAGAAGCCTACTTATTTTTAAAGTAGAATAAATTGGCTATAATGAATTCCACATTATTCACAGAAAATTTCAAATATCTTTGAAACTGTTTGCAAATATGGCAGATGTTGAATATTTAAGTTCAAAGAAAAAGTAAAGTATCTAACGCATACAAATGTACAGAATGACACAAATCATTTGCTACTGAAAATCCAAAGTGAAATTTGTTCTTTCATATTTGTTTGAAAACAGAAGAGAGAAAAGTAAAATTTATGTACCTCTAATACTAGTGATTAAAAGCATCTGTTAAGTATTGTTTCATTTTCCAGCTAAAAGTTTTCTTATGTACTTCTCCCTGAGATTTGCATTACGAAAAGTCCTTGTAATAGGAAGACTAATTGTATTCTATAATAACAATGAGATAAAGAACTACTTAATGGAAAATATAAAGCCTGTGATTGTCATCACTCTAGATTCCTATTTTAATTATAAGAGTTATGTTAGTGGCTATGTGTACAGATATTAACTCTGCATGCTAAATCCTAGTGGAAGTAAAATTTTAGATATAGGCACACAGTCCTGTTAAATCATCATATTATTTAGCTGGTTTTTTATTTTTTTGAGCTTCAGATTATTTTTGGTTAACTTCATTTGTACACTGTCAAACATAATGACCTGTTAAACTTGACTACCTGTTATATTTTTTATATGGTGCCAAAACATTTTGGACACACAATAAACATGAAAGCATTGATGATATTTTTGGTAGTATTATTTTCTCCTCACTACAGTGGAAGTGAAAAGGTGTTGAATGTATACTTCACCAATGAGGTCATTTCACTGCTCTAATTCTCATATGTAAAATAAAGTTGTTAAAAATAGCTATTTTGCAGGAACTATGTGACACAAGAGGATATAATGGAAATAAAGGCACTTTATGAAGCATGAAACATACAAATAGCTTTAGTGTTATTACTTTTGAAAAGGTAATTCTGCAGGCACCTGGATGAGTATGAATTCTGTGAAGGCAGCCTTTTGCTCCTTCTGCCTGTCAGGTAAACAAAACTGATGATGCTTGGGCGCACTCTTTGTTTTCCCTTATTAAAATGTGCAAGTCTAAATTTAGAATTTTGCAGTGATCATTTATTAGCACCAACTTAGAAACCAAATTAAATATATTCAATAACAAATAAATGTATGCTGTGTACAAAATACACTATTAGAATTATACAAATATTAATCCTTTCCATCAAAATCTTAGCATCAGATACGGCAGAAATTAATTAAACATGAATAATTAAAATACAATCTAGGTTTTGATGAATGTCATAGTGGAGAAAATGTACTATGGAAATGAGAAAGAAAATTGATTTCTTACTCCCGAAGTAAAAAAGACATGGAAAGAATAGATTTGGATTTCAATGTTTGGATGTTGTATTAGTTTCCTAGGGCAGCCATAACAAATTTCTACAAAATGGGTGGCTAAAAAAAAGATTTATTATGTCACAATTCTGGAGACTATATATATCACAATTAAAATATATTTCCTTTAAGATTGAGAATGAGACAGAAAATGTTATTATCATGATTTCTATTCAATGTGCTGAAGATTCCAGACAATTTGAGACAAAATAGCAATAAAGTATGTGCTTAGAAAAAACATATTTTTAGAAAAATATTTTTTCTGTATATATGTAGAAAATATTTTAAGCTATTAAAGTTAACTAGTGCATTTAGCAATGTTGTTTGATAATGGTTAATTTTTCCCAAATTGATCCATAGATTTAATGCAATCTCAATCAAATTTCTAATAATATATTTGAGCAAATTGACATGCTGATTCTAAAATTTATATGGAAATACAAAGAGGCAAGAATATCCAAAGATATTTTGAAGGAAGACATACATTACGTATATCAAGACTTTCTTCAAATTTGAAAGAAGACACAAGAAGTCTTCATATATGGTAGAGTATGTCGTCCATTGAAACTTCCTTGACTATTCTTGCCTCTTTGCATTTCCAAAGACATGAAATTAACCTAGATGCCCATAAATGGCAGACTGGATGAAGAAAACATGGTACATATACACAATGGAATACAATGCAGCCATAAAAAGAATGAGATCATGCCCTTTTCAGCAACAGAGATGAAGCTGAAGGCCATTATCCTAAGCAAAGTAACACAGAAACAAAAAACCAAATACCACATGTAGTCACAAGTGGGAGCTAAACACTGAGTATGAATGGACACAAAAAAGAAAATAATAGACACTGGGGCCTACTACAGAGAGAAAGGTGGGAGAAGAGGGAAAATCCAAAAACCACCTGTTGAGTACTATGGTTATTACCTGGGTAACAGAATTATCTGTATAACAAACATCTGTGACATGTAATTTACCTATAAAACAAACCTGCACATATGCCCGTGAAATAAAAATAAAAGTTAAACAAAAGACTACATATTGAAATCTTGTATTGGTAAAGAAAAAAGAAACATGTTAGTGAAACACACTAGAGATTCTGGGAACAAAAAGCAAGTACATAGTCACCTGATCTATGAGAAATAGGATAATGAAGAGAAGAAACAAAAATATGAAGCTTGGCAATTGTACTCTTACCTTTAACAAACAACAACAAAAAAGCTTGGCTCTAAATTCACAAAAATAATTCAAAATAATATATATTTCTATATAAATAAAAATAAAGCTTTTAGAATATGATATAGGAGAATGTTTTCATGACTTTTATATATGCAAGGATTTCTTAAATATGACACAAATAACTTTAAACTTAACAGAGTCTATATTGGACATACAAAGACTTGAAATTAAAGCTCTTAAAAGCAGACATCTGGTAAATCTATGATTGGTAATAGTGCGTGTGTGTGTGTGAGTGTGTGTGGAGAGAGAGAGAGAAAGAGAGCAGAGGGAGAGTGCACGCACATACAACAGCTCTGTGGCTTGGATGGTCTGGGCACTTGGAGGATATACAAAGTATGAACCTACATTTTAAGAACCCTCTACCAAACTGGGAAACAAGACTCATGCAAAGAAACAATAAAGTAATACAAGAAAAAAAAGAAAAAATGACAAACTAGACTTCATTAAAATACACTATCAATCACCATTAAAGACGAGAGTGAAAATGCAGGTCCTCACAGACACCAGAAGCTGGAAATGGCAAGAAACAGATTTTTCTCCAGAGTTTCTAAAAGGAGTGTGGCTCTGTTAACATCTTGATTTTGATCCAGTGATACTGATTTTGAATTTCTGTCCTCCATAACTAAGAGAAAATAAACTTCTTTTCTTATGAGCCACCAATTGTGTAGTAATTTGTTACTATAGGAAAGAAATACATATGGTAATTCATCAATTCATCAAACTATACATTCACTTATGATTTGTGATTTTTTTATGTTTCTGTTACACCTCAGTAAAGAGTTTGCTAAACATTAAATGCATAAAGAACAGGCTTAAATGAGGTATGAATTTCTTCAACAAATATTAATAAAGTTTTTATTCTATCCAGAATTTCTGCTAACTACTGGGAATTTAATGATGAGAAAAATGAAAAATATCCCAGTCCTAGTGGAAAAGGCAGGTTAAACAAATAGCTATAGAGTCTAAATTGCTTTGATAAAGACTTAAGAGCAGGTAAGAAAAATCTGAGGTCTGAAGTATGTTAGTAGACAAAGAAGAAACGTGAAGTTCTCCCTAGTACAGAAATCTACTTACAAAGGCAACTATCTGCAAAGGATGATGAGATAACCACTACACTGGAGAAATTAAAAGCTCAGATTATAGGAGACAGGGTAAATTAAAGGGAACTAAGTATCCATCAATTTTCTTACTTCCTTTTCTAGAGTTTAGAGCTGTTACTGGAAAACAGCTCCCCTTCCGGAACTATAATTCTTAGTTACCTTTCTTCTAAGTAAGTCCATATGTCCTATTCTTACCAATAAAATATCATATTCTTACCACAAAAAGAAATAATTTGACTAAGTTCGTAATAATTAAGTCTGCCTTAACTCTTTAGTCCTTTGTCTGCCAAGAGGATGCAGAAGACTCTGGGATCCTAAAGAAATCTTAAATCAAGAAGATGCAAGAGGAAGCGACGCCAACAATATAGCTGACTAGAAGTGCCTAACACTCAACCTCCTCCCCGGCCACCACACAAAAGGACCAAAACAACAAACAAATAACCACTTTTCAACTAAAATATATGAAGGAGAGCCCTGGAGTAAAACAGGGAAATGGCAGAGACCCTGTGGATCATGGAGACTCAGGATGGCCATATAAAAAAGGGAATGGAACACTCTGCCTTTACCATCTTGTCTCTCCTAGTGGGATGAGGTCAGAGCCAGGGCGGACTCTCCTTACAGAGAAAAGGTATGCAGGAGGCCCTCAGCAATACAAATTAAAATGTGGACACCCACAATCTTTGCTCATGGAGATCACTGTAGTCCTCACAGGTCCTAGGCCCAGCCTGAGGAGTTGCCTGGAGTTCACATGACTATGTTACTCCAAACAAGGAGCCCACATTGTGTCTCCTCCTGCCCTATTATCCAAGCTGCTGCTGTGTAATGGCATCTTGAGACTGAAGCCACTGCTAGGGTGCCTTCTCATTTGGGGGTCTATAGCCACTGTATCTTCCCATACCCTAGGCTTCACTGCCACTACACCACACCTACTAATGGCAGCACACCATTCTGCAGCTGAGCAGCTACAACTTCTAACCCCATGGAAACAAACTGCCAAGGAGGCACTCCATCTTTCCATCCCAGTGACTGCAGTATCTTGGCTCTGTCTACTCAGAGCCTAGGACCAACAGAACAGCTGTAACCTTAGTACCTGAGCCCATGTGGCACCCTGTTCCCCAAGGAACAGGCACTCATGCCCAGTGATTGTACCCAAGCTAACAGAGCAGCATCACAAACTCCTGCAGCCTAAGACATTTTCTTATGAGGAAATCCCCCCGTATGGGACATCATGGCTGTATCTTGCTGCTTTAGACTATCAGCATATTTCTCAGCATATTTCTTAACCTTGCAGGCCAGGAGAGAATGGAACAATATACTCAAAGTGCCGAGAGAAAAAAATAAAACTTCTAGTCAAGAACAGTATACTCATCAAAGTTATTCTTTTTTTTAAATTTTATTATTATTATACTTTAAGTTTTAGGGTACCAGAATCTACAACGAACTCAAATTTACAAGAAAAAAGCAAAAAACCCCATCAAAGAGTGGGCGAAGGATATGAACAGACACTTCTCAAAAGTTATTCTTTAAATATGAAGGAGAAGTAAAGTCTTTCCCAGACAAGCAAAAGCTGAGGGAATTCATCACCACTAGAACAGCCGTACAAGAAATGCTTAAAAGACGGTTTCAAAGGATGTTAATTGCCACCATGAGGTGAAAGGATGTTAATTACTACCATGAAAGTATTTAAACTCACGGGTAGAAGTAAACTCATAATTAAATTCAGAGTGCTACATTATTGTAGTGGTGTATACAGTATGAAGGTTAAAAGTCAAAATGGTCAACAATAACCATAGCTACAATAAGTTTTTAAGAAATAAGCCATACAAAAGATGTGAATTAAGACAACAAAATTATAAATTGGGTTGGAGGGTCAAAGTCTAGAATATTTGCAGGCAATCAAAGTTAAATTGTTATTAGCTTAAAATAAACCTTTAGAACTATAAGATTTTTTATGTAAGCCCCAGAGTAACAACAAAGAAAAAAGTTACAGCATATATGCAAATGAAAAAAAGAATGGAATAAAACCATGAAACCACAAAAGTAAACACAAGAGAGGAAGAAAGAAACAAAGACCTACAAAATAACCAGAAAACAATGAACAAAATGGCAATAGTAAATCCGTACCTATCAATATAACTTTCAATATAAATGTATTAAATTCTGTAATTAAAAGATGGCTGAATGCATTTTAAAAACATACAACTATATCTGCTTACAGGAGACTCACTTCACCTGTAAGGACACATACTGACTAAAAATAAAGAAGAAAAAATTATATGCCATGCAAATGGAAGTCAAAAGAGAGCAAGAGTAGCTATACTTAGATCAGATAAAATGGACTTTAAGTCAAAAACTGTAAAATGAGACAAAGATGGTCATGATATAATGATGAAGGGGTCAATTCAGTAAGGGGATATACAACTACAAATATATATGAATCTCAAACCAGAATACCCAGACATATAAAGCAAATACTATTAGATGTAAAGGGAGAGATAGACTCCAATGCAATAATAATAGAGGACTTCAATATCTCACTTTCGGCAAAGGACAGATCATCTAGACAAAAATTCAGCCAAAAAAACAACAAATACAAAGCGCACTCTAGATCATGTGGACCTACCAGATAGTCACAGAACATCCCACTCAACAGCTGAAGAGTATGCATTCTCCTCATCAGCACATGGAAGTGTCTTCAGGGTAGATCAGATGTTAGGCCACAAAACAAACCTCAGCAAATCTGCAAAAATCAAAATCAAGTATCTCTTTTGACCATGATGGAATAAAACTAGAAATCACTAACAGTAAAACTTTAGAAACCATTTAAATACATGTAAATTTAACAACATGCTCCTGTATAACAAATGGATTAATGAATAAGTTAAAAAGAAAATTCAAACACTTCATGAGACAAATGAAATTGGAAACACAGTATATGAAAACTTATGGAATACAGCAAAAGCAGTTCCAAGAGGGAAGTTTATAGCAATAAACACCTACACCATAAAAGACAAAAAATCTCAAATAAACAGTATAACATCATACCTCAAGGAACTAGAACAACAAGAACAAACACAAAATTAGTAGAAAAAAGAAATAAATGAGAGTGGATATAAGTGGAATAGTGACTAAAACAATACAGAAATCCTTGAACAGAAACAAACCTTTAGTTAGATTAACTTAGAAAAATGGAGGGAAAGTTCAAATAAAATCAGACATAAAAAAGTATACATTAAAACTGATGTAACAGCAATACAAAGGATTATAAGAGACTATTATGAACAACTACATGCCAACGTATACATATACAACCTACCAAAATTGAATTATGAAAAAGTAGAAAATCTGAAGAGACCAATAGTGAGTAACAACATAGAATCTATAATAAAAAGTCTCCCATCAAAGAAAACCTCCAGATATGATGGCTTCACTGCTGAAATCTACCAAACATTTAAAAGATGTTATCAATACTTTTCAAACTATTTCAAAATAATTGAAGATGAGAGAATTTGTCCAATCTCATTCTACAATGCTGGCATAACTCTGATACAAAAACCAGTCAAGGACACAACAAAATATGAACTACGGGACAATATCTCTGATAAAAATAGATGCAAAAATCCTTAAGAAAATACTAGCAAACCAAATTCAACAGCACATTAAAAAGAGCATTCACCATGATCAAATGGGATTCATTCTAGATAATACAACCTACATTATACAATAAATGTGATATATCACATTAACAGGATCAAGGACAAAAGCTAATCTATCACTTTGATAAACAGAAAAAGTATTTGACAATATTCAATGCTGTTTGATTAAAACTCTCAACAAAATGTACCTCAACACAATAAAGGCCAAAAATGACAAATTACGCTAACTGGAGAAAAGTTGAAAGCTTTTCCTCTAAGATCTGAAACAAGACACAGATGCCAATTTTCACCACTTTTATTCAACATAGTACTAAATTCCTAGCCAGAGAAAGTAGGCAAGAGAAATAAATAAAAGGGATCTAAATTGGAAAGAAGGAAGTCAAATTGTTTCTATTTGCAGTTGACATGATTTTATACATAGATTTTATATAAAGGTTCAACCAAAAAGCTCTAAGAAGTGATAAATAAATTCAGTAAAGTTGCAGGATACAGCATCAACCAAAAATATCGGTAGCATTTCTTTTTTTTAGTAACTTTTATTTTAAGCTCAGAGGTACATGTGCAAGTTTGTTACATAGATAAACTTGTGTCATGGGAGTTTATTGCACAAAATAATTTCATCACCCAAGTACTTATTTGTTCTATTGGCTGCAGGGTGACTATAGTTAATATTGCATATCTCAAAATAATTAGAGGAGAGGATTTTAAAAGTCCTTACCACAAACTAATGATCAATGTTTTAGATAATGAATATGCTGAATACCCTGATTCTATCATCACTGAATATATGCATGTATTGAAACATCACATTGTGCCCCATAAATATGTGCAATTATGTGACAATTAAAAGCAAAATAAAACTTCAAAAATAAAGATGGAAGAAACCTGGGTTGCTCAATCTCTGACAGGTGACCAGTCACCAACCATAACACTACTGAGCATAGTTACATGAGCAGATATATCATTTCATGTGGCTAAGTACCTAAAATTTTATGATATTTTGTTACATTAGCTAGAATTACTCAAACCAATCACAAAGAGAGTGAGATATAAGCCTGGGTAGAAAAATCAATTTTAGAATGATGTTGTAAGTCTTACTAAGAAATCTCAACTTTGCTAAAAGGACAATGGAAAGATTGAGGTATTTTAGGAGGTTTAATGTTATATATTTAGACTAAGCAATTTGATAGGTTACAGAAAATGCATTACAGATAAAAAATCTTAAAGATAATGAGATAAGTTGATGACACCTACTGCATCAATCCAGTGTGTAATGAGTATCATAATAAAACAGAATTGAACAGACTCAGAAATATTTAAAGTTTATACAGATAATGCCTATTACTTGACTACATTTGACGGTAAGGGAGAAACAAAATTGGTGCAAAATTTTCTTGCTTGAGGAGCTAGCAAGACAATACACAACTCCAGGAGTTCATTCATTTAAAAAATGTCTTTATTATTTGTCATATAAGGGAAAGATAAGTTGACTATTGTCCATAATGAATTTGAAGTGTGTATATAAAAACAAGTGGAGATTCTCAGTAGGTAATTGAATATATAGAAAAATATACAGAAAAAAACATGCTATTTAAAAAAATAACTACCTTTAGCACCTTCTCACAGGAGAATGACAAAATTCCCCCTAAAACCAGAAGCCATTTATTTAGTGAAATAGCTTGGTAGGTCACATTTTTGTAAGTGTTGAGCAAGAAGCGGATCCATTACAATGGGTCAAGAAGTGTATTAGCCAAGGTCACCGAAGAAAACACAAAACATATTTGGCAAAGATTTTCAATATAATATGAGAATCAACTATCCATAAAAATCTTGGCAGGATTAAATGAGGCATCCTAACACCAGAACCAGCAGGAAGCTTTATTACTCTTGGCCTGAAGAGACAAGAAGAGGGTTAGAAATTGTTGAGAGCTAGAGCCATAAAGGGACCTACAAGGTATAAATACTCAGGGATAGATTACTAGAAGAATTCTAGCGAAGTGGCAGGGAGGAGAAACAGAAGTAAAATCCAGACCTTTCTCTCCTTTTTCCCTCTAATCTCCTGCCAGCTCCTTTTATTCTCCAATCTCAATAAAGGCTAGAGGCAGAAAAGCCCAGATAATGTAGCCATGCTAGTGAGCCAACAGGGGCCTAGAATAGAAAAGGGTGGAGAATGAAACAAACAACTAAAGAAAACTTCAAGAGAAATCAATAGGAAATGATGACCTGGGGACAACTGACATGATGTAATAGCTGATTTCAAGAATTTAGGGTACAAATGGGAAGAGATGAGTTTATAGTTGGGAGATGATGTGTTAAGAAAGTTAGATACGGCCGGGCGCGGTGGCTCACGCCTGTAATCCCAGCACTTTGAGAGGCCGAGGCGGGCGGATCACGAGGTCAGGAGATCGAGACCATCCCGGCTAAAACGGTGAAACCCCGTCTCTACTAAAAATACAAAAAATTAGCCGGGCGTAGTGGCGGGCGCCTGTAGTCCTAGCTACTTGGGAGGCTGAGCCAGGAGAATGGCGTGAACCCAGGAGGCGGAGCTTGCAGTGAGCCGAGATCCCGCCACTGCACTCCAGCCTGGGCGACAGAGCGAGACTCCGTCTCAAAAAAAAAAAAAAAAAAAAAAAGAAAGTTAGATACTTAAGAGAGAAAGTTGAAGGAATTCATACTAATGGTAATGGATTTGGTTTACAAAGTAGGAAATGAGTTTATAGAGTACATATATACATATGCTAAGAGCCCATGTAAAGAAGAAAATCCAAATATCTTGTTCTAGGGTGTGAGAATGATGATCAAGGCTGTCTTCTGTGCTTTCTTTCCCTTATCATTACATAGGACCATAATGGTTAAATCTCTTCACTGTCCAACTGTACAAGAAGGGACCTAATTCTGAGCGGTCTATTTCAGTTCATTTATATGCAAATTATCCGGCATTAAAATTCAATTTAAAAAATTAGCTCAGCTCCTATTGTGCCACCAGGATGATTTAAATTCTGTCTTTTCTTAAAAGAAAAGGAGCAGAATATCTCTAAATCTTTGTGTTTCAAATATTTGGTTTCGGTTTTGGGTCTGGTTCTCAACACTGACCACTAGTGTTAACATACAGTTTATTACAGGAAACTTGTGTGAAATGTTCTATAACAATTGTCATAACAACACATAATGAAAAGAAAAAAATGCAACATCAACTAGGATGGGATGCCAATGTCAACAGTTCATTTTTACTCCTGGTATTACAACCCATATTTTCATTGTTTAAAAAAAAAATTCATGTTCCACATGAACCTAGCAGTACACTAGCAATATGACAACAATGTAGCCACTTATCTCAGCAAAACAAAAATTTTACTACTTTTCATGTGCCGTGCAGACTCATTTTTTTCAGAAACTGCTTATCATTTGTTTATTTATAATATTCAAGATACCCATTGGTGATAAGGAATGAAATGATAGCCAATTGTATTCATTAGATTTTGCTCCATATTAAGCCACCTCAAAATTTATTGAATTAAACTAGGAACCATTTTATATTTGTTCACAAACCAGGCGAGTACCTTTTCTGGTCTGGGCCAATACGTTTGACCTCTACTAGGATGTCTGGTAAGTCTGGGTGAGCTGGACAATCTATACTGACCACACTCATATGTCTGGTAGTTGCCAGGTTAGCAACATGAGCTGGTTTACTGTCAGCCAGGCCCCAAATTCTCTCCACATGGTTTCTCATCTGTCATCAGCTGGAGCTGACTTATACCTGAATGAGAGCTTGTTTTATATTATCAGGGGTTTTGTGAGGTAGTTATTATACACTTGGTGGCTTGAAATCTGCCATAGTGGGAGTATTTTTACCACAGACATTGGAAAATACTACAAATCAGAGCCTTCTCTTCCCCCTTTACCCCATGAACCAGCTCCTAAACATTTACCAGGACATCATTGCTTCTTGTCTTCCAAAAGACTGGCTTAGGCTCGATTCCATGGTGGCCTCAGTATTCCCATAGTAACAATAGAGGGCAGTCCCAATGCAAAATTCTCTTGTGCTATTATTCCTTTCGGCAGAACAAGACACATGGCCAAGTCCAGAGTCAGTGCAGAATACCACTCATCAATTTAAAAGAACCAACTATTGATTCACAGAGTAACTGGGGTGAATCTCAAAGGCATTATGTTGAGTAAAAGAAGCCAGTGTCAGTAAAAACATATGTATGACCCCATTATAACATTCTCATTTTTTAAAAAAAGAGTTTTATGGTATTTTTGAAAAGTAAAAAGTAACCACCACATGGCCACTTGTACACTCATTTATTCAGTGAATCAATAATATTCTGTGGGTATCTACTATTTGCTAGGTTCTGGGCCAGGTGTTGGGGAGATGATAGTGATCCTAAGACACTCAGTTTTTACCCACATGAGTCCCACAGTCTTGGAGTGGAGATGCAGAAAGGAGAGAGAAACAAAGACATGTAAGAAAATCAAATGAGCAAATTAAAAGTTTAATGAGTGTTATGAAGGTAGTAAATAATGTTGCGAGATGAGAAAAAACAAAGGAGTGAAGAGGGGGGAATGGTACTCAGAAAAAGCCTCTCTGTGCTCTGTGTAATGAATAACCTTCTATTTAGTTTCTGTGGGAAGGATATACAATAGAAGAGCCAAAAGAAACAATATTCAAGCAGACAAAAGAGAAATGGAAACTCCCTAAAGTGGAAAGGGATTGTGTGTTCCAGAAAATGAAAGCAGGAATTTAGTGAATGACCAATGAGTGAGACGAAATGAAGCTGAAGGTTAATATGTAAAATACAGGATAGGAAGGGCTCATTATGGATATTGGATTATATTTCTAGAGCAATGGGGACTATGATGGTCCCTTGGTGTCTACGGGGAATTGGTTCCAAGACCCCCGCAGATACCAAAACCCATGGATGCTTCAGTCCCTTGTATAAAGTGGTGTAGCATTTGCATATAACCTATGCACATTCTCCCGTATACTTTTAAATCATCTCTAAATTACTTATAATATCTAATACGATGTCTACATATCACTTCTTTTAAGTGAATTCAATGTAGTACTTGATGTGTTGCAAATTTCAGTTTTGATTTTGAAGATCTGTGGAATTGTTTTTTTCTAAATACTTTTGATCCGTGATTGATTGAATCCATAGACACAGAACCCACATATACAGAGGAATGACTGCATGTTTATCATTTTAAAGTTGTTTGACTTATTTATCTTATTTTTAAAGATTTATCTTATTTTTAAAGACTGCTCTGAGCATTCAGGAGAAATTGACTGGAAAAAAAAATCAGTGCAGAGAGTTGGAGATTATTAGAAGGCCTTTGAAACATTTAAGGAGAAAGAAAGGGATGGTTTAGACAAGGGAAATTGTAATAGAAAGCTTTGATGGATTGGGCATATTTTAGAGAAAGGTACAGCAGGACTGGAAGTGGGAGTGAGAAAATAGAAGAAGTGAAGTTTCTGGCTGAAACCACTGGGGCAATAGAAATGCCATTACCTGGGTTAAGGGAGACTAAAGGAGGACTAGATTTGGAAACAGAAGAATTGAAATGACTGTGAAAATTAAAGAGAAGATGTGAAGAAGAAACGTGATCTATCAGTCTGGGCTGATGACTGGGCTCCTCTCCTCAATTAAGCTCATCAAACTTCCTGGGCACTCACTCTGTGTCACAACATTTACTTTTGTCTTTGTCCCCTGCTCTTCTCTGTAGATTTCCTAAGTCCTTCTACAGCTCTAATGGGATATGTTTCCACAATATCCAAAAGCAAGCTATTTTTATATCTGGGCAGTTTTACCCACTTATGTCTAAGATTCTTTTCTGATTCTGTTATATGGTCAAGTACTGTGTAGTGATAATTAAAATATTGGATAATTTTGGCAAAATATTGTGTGGTATGGAATTTGAAAACCTTTGACATAAAAATTTTCAAGAAAAGGAAGAAATATAAGATTAGAGAAAGCAAAATTCTAATTTTCTTAGACCCATTGCCAGATTTATATTTCTTTGGATCTAATTTTCTTTAGGCCCTGTGCATGTGTGCTAGTGCTTACTGGCACAGTCACTTTAGATAAGGACAAAGAAAGCACATGGATAGAGGCAGAACATTAAATGAGGGCAAATATAGTTGTTGCAAACTTTGAGGTCACTACATTTCTCTCTCATGACATATGTTCTCATTTGCAATTATAGGCAAACAATTTAAAAGTTCTTACCATCTTGATATGGGGGAGAAGCAACCAAAATATTGTTAATAACTCCCATAGCAAGATGAATTCACTTAACAAAGTTCATTTTTTAATTGGCTTTCGCAATTCATGGGATTGGTTATCTGAGACTTTTGGGAGTGTCATGATATTTAAATAGTTCCTTTATAGGCTCCTGTGATTCTCTTTTTAAAATTATTTTTTAAAAAGTTTTGGAAGCATCTTCTCTTCACCCTGTTGTTACTTTCCTGAGATTTATCTCAAAATTGGTATGTGGAATTTAATCGCATCAAGCTTAAAAGCAACTGTACATGTTGCCATTCAGAGAGATAAAGGGATTCTGGGCTAAAGTTATTACCACAGTCAAGGCAACCTGTGTTTTTGAGCATGAGGACTTGGGGTTTGGGCGTGAGAGCCTAATATAAAACAAAACAGCGAATTATTGCTGTTTTGACTGATTATTGTCACTGCTAACACAAGCATGGGATTGAAGTAGCAAGATAAAAGTGAGCATGTTGATGTATAGTTCAGAAAGAGCAGAGAATATAATTGGGCACTACTTTGTTATCTTAGAGGTGGGAGGATCACTTGAGGCCAGGAGGTCCAGGCTGCCGTGAGCCATGATCACATAGTTGCACTACAGCCTGAGTGACAGCGCAAGACCCTGTCTCTTAAAATAATAATAATACTGATAAATTATTTTAGTGACCAGGTAGACATCCTTAGATAGATGTTTTCAGTAATCAGATCCTTAATTGAGCAATATGTAGCAGTTAAACATATGTTCTTTGCACATTCAAATCTTCAGACTACCAGTGTGCCTTGTGACACTAACTTTAGCACTAAATTGTAGCTGCTTCTAACACAAAGTTAGGATTATAGTAATATTTACTTTATAGCATTGTAAGGATAATAAGGTAATTATTGGTCACATATCACTGTAAGATAACTAAATCAATCTCGTCATACCCAAAAGCCTTTATTCAACTTAATTATCTACATAGTAAGAAGCCGGTTTCTTCCCATAAATGATTATCTTCATTACCAAACTATCTTCTTTCTCTTCTACAACTTTGATTGATTCTTTTCATGTCTGACATCTGTACCACTAAGACCTTTACATGTACCTATTTGTTAATCTGGGCTGTGCAATCTAGAGTTTGAGCCACAGAAGATTCTACAATTTGACCTCTTGCCTTATAACCTTTGCTTCTTCCTTCCTGTTTGACCAGAATGCTTTTAGTTAAAGCTCCTTGCTCAAATTAATTTCTGAGTCCAGAAAGTACTTCATACAAATTTCACATTTCTCCTTTAAATGGAAGTTTTATTTCACATTCGGTTTATCATTACCTTAGGCAGAGACCTGCAATTAATTTCCAAATCAGGTACTAAGGATGGGGTGTTAATCCCATTAGAGAAGTTTATTTCCAGTATAACCTGATGTCCAAGACAAGGCATTATTTAACTCTGTATTTGAAATCTGAAGTAGAGTTAATAATGAAACATCAAAGAATGTCTTCCCCTATTTCACAATGATATCCATTTGTAACCTAATTCTAGCTCTAGTTTACTGCATTTACTTTTTTTAAATAAGTTAGAGGTGAAGAATGCTAAAGGTTGGAAGTAGCTAACTGGTGAATGGAGAATTGTAAAGAACGCTATGTGGTTTTTCTTCAGTGTCTACTTTCCTTTTTGTCAGATTTGTATTCCAATGTTTTAATAAATGATAGGTTTATTCTAGAAAATAATGACTTTATTCTAATATTTCATTTTAATCTTATTTGGTCTTTTAAAGTCTCTTAGTTTGTTAATCTTCTCAGAAGCAAATATTTTTCTATTCAGATTGGCTTTACTTGTAAGAAAGTAAAACTATATTATGTAATTTTCAATTAGAATATACTTTATAGTTTACACAGCTCTTTGAAATGTGCACTATCACAAATAAGGACTCAAAAGTTTAGAGAATTCCAGTAAATTGCACAAGGACATTAATCCTATCTGTTTTGGGCATCATTATCTCTCTGGGCCTGCAGAGTTTTTGGCCCATAATCACCAAAGGTACTCAAGAAGTTGGAATGAATGAACAAACACTATCACAGAGTAAGTAGTGAAGCCAGAAATTAAACCCAGATCTGATCTCAAATTCTGTGTTCTTATATTAAGGCATCTTGAGGAAATTCACACTCTGCCTTTCCAAGAAGACTGACTAATCCACAACTGTTAATATGGAATATGATCATCTCTTACTATGGAAAAATATTTTTAGAATGATTTTAGAGAAATTCTGCCTGTACTTGTAGAACCAAGTTGCAGACAAACTGAAATGGTTTTAGACAATTTTGACTCAACACACATCAGTTTGCACATTTTTGTCAGGCTTTGTATACATATATCAGATACTTTAAAAGGCATCTGATTCTGTGAGGTAATACCAAAAAATCAATTACTAATTTTTATAGTTTTAATGATCTCAATATTTGAAAGTCATTCCATGAGTATCTGTCTCAACTAACTATTGACTATGACTGTAGACACACAGGGAGCTCCATGTAGCTTCGGGGATCTGGCTATGAATTTCATTTTCAAGGGCTCTTTTTTGAGAAAACAGATTGTTTCAATTTTATTTTGAATACAATTAGATAAAATTAGCATCATGCACTTAAAATTATAAAATTGTTTTCAAATTCTGTACATGGACATATATACATATGGATACAAATGTCAATACATAATTTGAAAAACAATTTTATATCCATATTTCGTTCTAGAAAAAAAACGAAAATGTTAGTATGTATCTATATGTTGAGACTAAATTTATGGTTCCCTAAAATTACAAACATGCCTAAGCCTATGAAGAGAATATTATTCAAAAAAGCCAATTTTGCATGTCAAGTCCATAATAAGGTTAAAAACTAAATTTTCATTTAATTAATTTCTAATAAACTTGCAAAATTACAATGATGTTTCCCAAGGGAATGTTTATTTTTCACAAATAAGGTATTGCATATACTTGCTATGTTATTGGTCTGAAGTGGAATTCCTCAAGGCTTGCTCCTCATTTTTCTTTAGTCTTTCTGAAATGTAACCTGCCTAGTGAGGCTGTTACTGATCACCTGGTTATAGTCCATATTCCTTTGTTCTGCTTTATTTGCTCCATGGCACTATTCCATAAATATTTTCCTTTGACAAAGGTAGTTATCTTCATTACCAAACTATCTTTTTTTCTCTTTTTGCTGTCTCTCAACTTCTCCCCTCTTAATTCATAAATATATATATCATGTCAGTTAGATGTCACTAACTGATATAATACATATTTTACTTATTTATTTTTAATTGCTTGTGCCAACACCACCCACCCCCACAGCTTTAGGATGCAAGTTACATGAGGATGGGACAGTTTTTATTATTTTTTTCTCCCATTGCTTTGTCTCCAGGGTCTATAAAACTGTGTGGTGCAGAAAAGACAATCTATAATTATTTGTTGAATGAATTAATTACATCAGAGATGCTATTCAATAGGCCTTGGAAAACTCTTCTGTTATTGTGATATTAGCTCAATTACAGAAAGAAGAGGCTGTGAAATCATTAGCAAAGGTAAGTAGTTCAAATATAAATTTAATTAGAAAATCTATTATGCTATCTGAAATTGCATTTAGTGTTGTGGGAAGTCAGCAACCCCAAACGGAGGGACTGGCTGAAGCCATGGCAGAAGAACGTGGATTGTGAAGATTTCATGGACATTTATTAGTTCCCCAAATTAATACTTTTATAATTTCTTATGCCTGTCTTTACTGCAATCTCTAAACATAAATTGTGAAGATTTCATGGACACTTATCACTTCCACAATCAATACCCTTGTGATTTCCTATGCCTGTCTTTACTTTAATCTCTTAATCCTGTCATCTCGTAAGCCGAGGAGGATGTATGTCGCCTCAGGACCCTGTGATAATTGCATTAACTGCACAAATCATAGAGCATGTGTGTTTGAACAATATGAAATCTGGGCACCTTGAAAAAATAACAGGATAACAGCAATGTTTAGGGAATAAGAGAGATAACCTTAAACTCTGACCGCCGGTGAGCCAGGGGGAACAGAGCCATATTTCTCTTCTTTCAAAAGCAAATGGGAGAAATATCGCTGAATTTTTTTTTTCAGCAAGGAACATCCCTGGGAAAGAGAATACGCCCCTGAGGGTGGGTCTCTGAAATGGCCCCCATGGGTGTGGCTGTTTTCTATGGTTGAAACTGTAGGGATGAAATAAACCCCAGTCTCCCATAGCACTCCCAGGCTTATTAGGAAGCGGAAATTCCTGCCTAATAAATTGTGGTCAGACCAGTTGCTCTCAAACCCTGTCTCCTGATAAGATGTTATCAATGACAATGGTGCCCGAAACTTCATTAGCAATTTTAATTTCACCCCAGTCCTGTCGTCCTGTGATCTCGCCCTGCCTCCATTTGCCTTGTGATATTCTATTACCTTGTGAAGTACGTGATCTCTGTGACCCACACCTATTCACACTCTCCCTCCCCTTTTGAAAGTCCCTAATAAAAACTTGCTGGTTTTGTGGTTTGTGGGGCATCACATAGCCTACCGACATGTGATGTCTCCCCCGGACACCCAGCTTTAAAATTTCTGTCTTTTGTACTCTGTCCCTTTATTTCTCAAACCGGTCAATGCTTAGGGAATATAGAAAAAGAACCTACGTGACTATCGGGGCAGGTTCTCAGATAATTTAGTCCCATCTTTGAAGAGCAGGTAGCCAATCATATTAAATAATATTAAATTTAGCTTCTGTAAAAGAGGAATCATATGGTAAGGGTAAAGAGTACAACTGTGATACTAAAAGAATCACTTTTGATTAAAGAGGATGTATGCTTCTGAGATTCTAGGAAGATACATCTGTCATTGCTAAATTATTTAACTCACTGTTGTATACTTTACATTTTTTGATACAGAAAAGCAAATGCAATATCTCACTCACACTAGTTCAATTGTTACAAATTAATTTCAATCTATTCTTATTGCTGCAGACACCTCAAATACATGGCCTCATGCCATTCCTTTATTTGTTGTCATTTATCAAAGTAACTGGACTGATTTCCATATCTTTACACCTGGCCTAAATTGCCTGTCCCTTCAAGATTCTGTAAATGGTGCTAGACTCCTCATTTTCAACTATTAATAATCTGAATGTGTAAGTACAGTATGTATGATTTTCAAAGTTCTATTAAGGTATTGCACATTTCTACAAAAACATTTTAGAATTCAATGGCAAATATTGCTGTCTCTCAATTTCTCTCTTTCTATATAGGTTTATCTGTTAGATAAAAACTCTCTCTCTCTCTGTCTCTCTCTCTCTCTCTCTCTATCCATCTATCTATCTTGCAAAGCATAAAGGCAAAAGTAAATAATAATTCATATAATTATCTAAGTGAGCCCAGGGAAAATATTAATTCCTAACAATCATGTGAATACTCTTTGTCTTATAGCCTCACCATTTTATTTTTATATTAGAATCAAAGCATCTATTTGATTTGCAAAATGGTAAAAAGCTTATTCTTAATCCATCTTAATTATCTTTTCTTCCCTCTAGATAACTTCAGCAGCTCAGATTCAGTTAATGGATGGAGTAATAAATCAGTGGTTACTGAATTCAATTTGTTGGGGCTGTCTAGCTCTTGGGAACTCCAAGTCTTCTTTTTCTTTATCTTCTCTGTGTTTTATGGAGCTGCAGTGTTGGGAAACATCCTTATCATCATCACAGTAATTATAGACTCTCATTTGCATTCCCCAATGTACTTTCTTCTTAGCAATCTCTCTTCCATCGATGTGTGTCAGGCTACATTTGCCACTCCCAAGATGATTGCAGACTTCCTCAACGAACACAAGACCACCACTTTCCAGGGATGCATGTCACAAATCTTTTTCTTGCATGTTTTTGGGGGTAGTGAGATGGTGCTTCTTGTTGCCATGGCCTATGATAGATACATTGCTATATGCAAACCTCTGCACTACATGACCATCATGAACCGGAGGGTGTGAACTGTTCTGGTGGGGGTTTCCTGGGCCATTGGCATCTCACACTCAGCCACCCACCTGGCATTCAAAGTCAATCTGCCTTTCTGTGGACCCAACAGGGTAGACAATTTTTTCTGTGACCTCCTCCTAGTGATCAAGCTTGCCTGCTTAGACACCTATGGTTTTGAGATACTGGTGCTCACTAACAGTGGTCTGCTCTCACTTATGTGTTTCCTCCTTTTGCTCATTTCTGACACTATCATCCTTGCTACTGTGCATCGCCAAGCCTCTGATGGGATGTCCAAGGCCCTTTCCACTCTGTCTGCCCACATTACTGTTGTGCTTCTCTTCTTTGGCCCATTAATATTCATCTATATTTGGCCCTTTGAAAGCTTCCCAATTGATAAATTTATCTCTGTGTTTTTTTACTGTCTTCACTCCTCTCCTTAACCCCATGATTTATACTCTGAGGAATAAAGATATAAAGGAAGCCATGAGGAAGCTAAGGAGATGACATGTGGGTTCCAAGCAGGGTTTTTAGACAACTACAAAGAAGTAATACAAATTCCTACTTTTGGGCTTTGAAATTAACATATGTGATTATTATTATTGTGTTTGTATCACAAATAGTTTTTTTACTAGACTAAATTAGAGGGCCTGAATATGGTGATCTGGAGTTGGCAAACACAGTGCAGAATCTTATGATGCCAGTTCCTATATTCTGTGTCTCACATCATCCTCCCTAAAGCTGCATCTACAAGTATTAAAACCCATAAGCAGTTTTTCCTCTTAAACAGGCACCATAAAAAATTATCTCTGAGAGGTAGAGGTAAGAGGATCACTCAAGCCCAGGAGGTCGAGGCTGCAGTGAGCCGAGATTGTGCCACTGTACTCCAGCCTGGGCAACACAGTGAGACCCTGTCAAAAAAAAATCTCTTGCAACATTTAAAAATCAGCTCTATATTAAAGAAGATTAGCTAGTTCATGTGATTCACTCTGGGTAACATAGAGAATAATTTAGCATTATTTGAGTTAAAACAGAATTTGCTTTGAAATAAAAGGCGATATGAAGATTCTAAAAAGTGCTGCTTTACCTCATCAGTTACAGTTCATAATTATTCTGGCTAATACCTTATTGTTATAAAGGTAAAATTTTATATTCACAAATAAGGCATTAATGCTTATCAAACATGTCTTTTGTCATACTTATTATTTGTGCTAGAATTTAAATATATAAAATGCTACAGTATCAATTACAGGACTATAAATATAACCAAGTTCATAGTTAAAATTACAAGACTACTCTTACACTCTCTGGAAGAAAGAGCAATTACAAACCTCATTATATCACTAATAATAACCTGTCATCAATTGACAATGACTGCAAGGTATCTGAATAGCCAGTGATTTTCTTTAGTTAATTTCATTTGGGAGTGTAATTTTCAAAGTAGTTGCAGAAAATATATATATTGCTAATTAGAAAATATATCACATGCTTCTCTTCTTCTCAAACTTTAATTGAAACTTCAGAAATTGCTCATCAAACGTTGGAAAGAATAAGAGAAAGAGGGTCATCGCATGATTGATTCAGTCTTTTATCAGCCACAGAATCTGGCACTGTCATCACTGCACCATATAATTCGAGCTTGAAGAGTTTATTCTGTTTATGATAGCTTTCAATTCAAACTTGTAATTTTTGAACTAAAGATGTGATTATGTGTTTTATTTTTATTACTTAAAATAGATTGTGAGTCCCTAAGGCAAATATTGTCCTATATTTTACCATAGTTGTTAATGTATCAAAAGTTTAACATGCAAGCACATGCAGCAAGTGTCATAAAAAGGATATGCTACCCAGAGCAATTGATATTCAGGTGATTTCTACACTTGGCTTTTTACAAATGTGGCATTTGGAGTGATGAGGTTGGAAGCCAGTGAAAAACTAGATTGTCCATCTCTAAGTCTTAGCTTATGTGGGTCATTGCACTCTGTAACAATCTGATCTTGTTTTTGCATTTAGTTTTCCACATGTGGAATTACTTCATTGGGTGCTACTTTACTAAACTGACATCGATTAAAGGTCTCTGTCAATAGAATTATAATGGGCAGTACCAGCTATCTAAGTAAAGAGGCAAAAGTCATAGGCCCTTGTTCCATAAAAGCTTTTAAGCTTATCAGGACAGCAATAAAATGTTTATTAACAGATAATAAAAGCAAGTAGAACATATAATAAAACACACACTGAATTTTTAGGTTAGTGCAAAAGTAATTGCAGTTTTCACAACTAAAAGTAGTTGCAAAAACCTCAATTTGTTTGCACCAACCTAATAATCCCAGTGTGTTAATGCTCAGTTTTGTCCAAAGCAACTCAATGCATGTGAGCAATTTTTAAAATTTAACTTATATCAGAATATGTGTACACATAAAAGAGATGAAGAAAGACCTTTGGCCTTGTAGAAGTGATTGTATATTAAAGAGCAGAAAATCACAGAAATGTATAATGAAAAAGGACTTGATCTTTATAAGGGTTGCAGAATTACATGGCCAGGAGAAGACATTTACTGGCAAACCACCAGAAAATCAGATAAGTGACATTAACTTAATGAATTGTGCCAGTTTAAGTTTTGACCCCATACTTACAGTCATACTAGAAACCCCAAATTGTTAATTGCAAGAAATTTGAAGAAGAAATTTGTCAAATTACATTAAAAAATGTTTGTGAAATTAATTAACCAAAGCATCATGATTAGAACAGAAGTCAGATTACTTGGGAGTGGTTTGATAAATCTGTGTTAAATTGAAAAGTTTTGGTTATTTGATTGGCATGTGTGAGATTACCAGACTCTGAAAGCTTGTTAGAAAAATATCTACCTTGGCCGGGCGCGGTGGCTCACGCCTGTAATCCCAGCACTTTGGGAGGCCGAGGCGGGTGGATCATGAAGTCAGGAGATCGAGACCATCCTGGCTAACAAGGTGAAACCCTGTCTCTACTAAAAATACAAAAAATTAGCCGGGTGCGGTGGCGGGCGCCTGTAGTCCCAGCTACTCGGGAGGCTGAGGCAGGAGAATGGCGTGAACCCGGGAAGCGGAGCTTGCAGTGAGCCGAGATTGCGCCACTGCAGTCCGCAGTCCGGCCTGGGCGACAGAGCGAGACTCCGTCTCAAAAAAAAAAAAAAAAAAAAAAAAAAGAAAAATATCTACCTTAACAATGTTGAGATAGTCACTGTTATCCATTATCTTAATTACTCCCACTGTTATTTATCCATGTAATTGGGGCTGAATATAGTCTTTCTTTAAGTGTGTTAATATCTCTTAACAGGTTAAAATCAAGACACATAGCCAAGACTCATACCAAGAGAACATTCGCATATGTTCTCTTACTCATTATATGTTTTTAGAATTTAACCTTCTCTCTCAGACTTATTTTATTACTTATAAAGTTTTGTGAGTCAAATGTTATGAGTAGAATATTTTTTAAAGATATACAAATAGAAAACAAAAGTAGCCAAAAATTTATCTAATAGATATAAAAATGGACCCCTATTAGATTAATAAAGAGTAAAACAAAAGGATATTACTGAATAAGATGGAAACTTTGAAAACATGGAAGCTCTATTTGGTCAAAAATTACTGAACAACTTTTAGAAAGCAATTTGCTGTATTTATCAAATTATGTCCATATTCATGAGCTGATAATTGTATTTCTAGGAGTCTATCTTGAATAATTTCTTCCCTAATTCTGTAATATAAAATTAAATGCATATATATATATGTATATTGGACATGATGAACTGTAGAAAATATAACCTCATGAAGAAATGGGTAAAGCAAGTCATAAGGAGAAAAGAAACTGTTGATTTTCTCAGTGCAAGAGTGTCATCTGAACACCTACTATCTACCCACAAAAATTGAAAATTAAAATTAAGAAATTAATAAAATGTCATCTGAAACAGACCGACATTGTTTCCTCTTTCTGAGAAAATGCTGCTCCACTCACATTAATGAGCTAGAATAATTCTGACTTCAAAATTTGAAAAGGGTCATATAAGAAGGAAAAATTATAGGCCAATCTCACTCAAAAACAAAAATACAAAATTCCTTTAAAAACAGAGCAATACAAATTCAGGAAAATGGAATAATAAAATAGTATCCATTTGAGATTACAAGCAATGCAATGTTTATGATGAACTGAATGAATGAACATTTGATTATAATTTAATACAATTCACTGTATTAACAGAATAAAAGAAAAACTGTATATATAATATATACATATATATATACAGTTACTTCAATAGGGGCAAAAATGTTTAAAAATAATAATTATTGTTGTAAAGAAAACTTTCATAAATGAGAATATAAAAAGTATATATGGCTGAAAAGTTTAATATCAGCCATGAGCACACAATGCTATCTAGGAATGACACTGTTATCTACTCCACTAATTTGAAATATCAACTCAGAAGGCAAAAATAATTTTAACATAAAAGCCAAAAATGTAAACATAAAGTAGAAGGAGGTGAGGTTCACAGCACATGAAGTGAGGAGGTGAGGTTCACAGCACATCTAATTCAAAAGGGCTTTAGAGGCCAACTAGTTGAGTGGTTATCAGATTTATCTGATCATCAAAATCCCTGGAAATTTTTTTTCTTTTCAACTTTTATTTTAGATACAGGGGATACATGTGTAGATTTGTTACAGGGGAATCTTGTGTGATGTTCACACATGTGATGAGATCCATACTCCAAACCTCACATACTGAGTATGGATCTCACAGGTAGTGAGCATAGTACCTGATAGGTGGTTTTTAAACCAAGCTTCCTTTTCACCCTCTAGTAGTCCACAGTGTCTACTGTTACCATATTTATATTTATATGAGCTCAATGTTTAACTCCTAGTTATAAGTAAGAACATGCAGTACTTGGTTTTCTGTTCCTGAGTTAATTTGCTTAGGATTATGGCCTTCAGCTCTATCCATGTTGCTGCAAACAACATGATTTTATTCTTTTTTATAGCTGCGAGGTATTCCATGGTGTATATTTACCATTTTTAAAAATCCAATCTATTATACCACTGATGGACACCTGGGTTGATTCCATGTCTTTGCTATTGTGAATAGGGCAGTGATGAACGTACAAGTCCATGTGTGTTTTTGTAGAATGATTTATTTTCTACTGAATATATATCCAGTAAAAGTGGTAAAAGAAAAAACACCCTACAAAATAGAGTGTTACGCCACCAAAAATGATAAAGTAAGGAGCTAAACTAAAATCTCTCTTCCATAAAGAAATGAAAAATTGACAAAAATGTACAGAGCCACTGTTTCCATGTCCTGGAGATTAAAGAAAGGCTTACAGCAACCCAGGGAACATTTATTAAAGAAAAGTAGTTTGGTTGTTAACAGTAAATACTAAAAAGAGCCCGTTAGGTTGAAGTAAAAGTCCTGGACAGGAACTTGAATACATATGAAGAAATAAAGAGGACTAATAAAGGTAAAGGCATATATAAATGTAAAATACATAAATATGGCCATTTTCACGATATTAATTCTTCCTACCCATGAGCATGGAATGTTCTTCCATTTGTTTGTATCCTCTTTTATTTCATTGAGCAGTGGTTTGTAGTTCTCCTTGAAGAGGTCCTTCACGTCCCTTGTAAGCTGGATTCCTAAGTAGTTGATTCTCTTTGAAGCAATTGTGAATGGGAGTTCACTCATGATTTGGCTCTCTGTCTGTCTGTTGTTGGTGTATTAGATTCAATGCCATCCCCATCAAGCTACCAATGACTTTCTTCACAGAATTGGAAAAAACTACTTTAAAGTTCATATGGAACCAAAAAAGAGCCCGCATCACCAAGTCAATCCTAAGCCAAAAGAACAAAGCTGGAGGCATCACACTACCTGACTTCAAACTATACTACAAGGCTACAGTAACCAAAACAGCATGGTACTGGTACCAAAACAGAGATAGAGATCAATGGAACAGAACAGAGCCCTCAGAAACAATGCCGCATATCTACAACTATCTGATCTTTGACAAACCTGATAAAAACAAGAAATGGGGAAAGGATTCCCTATTTAATAAATGCTGCTGGGAAGACTGGCTAGCCATACGTAGAAAGCTGAAACTGGATCCCTTCCTTACACCTTATACAAAAATTAATTCAAGATGGATTAAAGACTTAAATATTAGACCTAAAACCATAAAAACCCTAGAAGAAAACCTAGGCATTACCATTCAGGACATAGGCACGGGCAAGGACTTCATGTCTAAAACACCAAAAGCAATGGCAACAAAAGCCAAAATTGACAAATGGGATCTAATTAAATTCAAGAACTTCTGCACAGCAAAAGAAACTACCATCAGAGAGAACAGGCAACCTACAAAATGGGAGAAAATTTTCACAACCTACTCATCTGACAAAGGGCTAATATCCAGAATCTACGATGAACTCAAACAAATTTACAAGAAAAAAACAAACAACCCCATCAAAAAGTGGGCAAAGGATATGAACAGACATTTCTCAAAAGAAGACATTTATGCAGCCAAAAGACACATGAAAAAATGCTCACCATCACTGGCCATCAGAGAAATGCAAATCAAAACCACAATGAGATACCATCTCACACCAGTTAGAATGGCAATCATTAAAAAGTCAGGAAACAACAGGTGCTGGAGAGGATGTGGAGAAACAGGAACACTTTTACACTGTTGGTGGGACTGTAAACTAGTTCAACCATTGTGGAAGTCAGTGTGGTGATTCCTCAGGGATCTAGAACTAGAAATACCATTTGACCCAGCCATCCCATTACTGGGTATATACCCAAAGGACTATAAATCATGCTGCTATAAAGACACATGCACACGTATGTTTATTGCGGCACTATTCACAATAACAAAGACTTGGAACCAACCCAAATGTCCAACAATGATAGACTGGATTAAGAAAATGTGGCACATACACACCATGGAATACTCTGCAGCCATAAAAAATGATGAGTTCATGTCCTTTGTAGGGACATGGATGAAATTGGAAATCATCATTCTCAGTAAACTATCGCAAGGACAAAAAACCAAACACCACATGTTCTCACTCATAGGTGGGAATTGAAAAATGAGAACACATGGACACAGGAAGGGGAACATCACACTCTGGGGACTGTTGTGGGGTGGGGGTAGGGGGAGGGATAGCATTAGGAGATATACCTAATGCTAAATGATGAGTCAATGGGTGTGGCACACCAGCATGGCACATGTATACATATGTAACTAACCTGCACATTGTGCACATGTACCCTAAATCTTAAATTATAATAATAATAATAAAATAAAAATAAAAAGTCTTATAAAAAAATACATAAATATATATATTTTATTTGTAATACTTTTTTCTCTTACCTGATTTAGAAGATAACTTCAGAAAGAAACACCTACAAATCCACTTGTTGTTCAGCACAACATGTATAAAGATGTAATTTGTGTGATAATAACAGCCTGGAGAAAGGGGAAAAACAGAGCTATATGGAAGCAAAGTTTTAAAAATATTATTGAAATTAAATAGATATTAATCCAAACTTGATTGTTGTAAGTTAAGGTGATAATTGTAAGCCCCAGGGAAACCACTAATATGAGATAATTAAAACGGTATACCAGCAAACATATGTTTAACATGAAAGGAGACTATAATAAGAAATAGAGAAACATAAAAGATACAAGACATATAGAAACAAATAACAGAGTAGCAGATGCCCTACCTTATTATTAATGACTAAATGTAAATAGATTAAATACTTCAATTAAAAGGCAGATATAAGCAGAATGGATTGAAAGCTTGACTTATCTATATGATGCCTATAAAAAACTCACTTTTGATTCAAACATACAAATTGGTTGTCAGACGATTCATGAAAAAAATATATAGTATCCCAACAGCCATAAGCAAAAGAGTTGGAGTGTATATATCAACATCAGATAAAATGGACTTCATAACAAAACATCTTTATATATATATTTTTTATTATACTTTAAGTTTTAGGGTACATGTGCACAACGTACAGGTTAGTTACATATGTATACATGTGCCATGTTGGTGTGCTGCACCCATTAACTTGTCATTTAACATTAGGTATATCTCCTAATGCTATCCCTCCCCGCTTCCCCCACCCCACAACAGGCCCCGGTGTGTGATGTTCCCCACCCTGTGTCCAAGCGTTCTCATTGTTCAATTCCCACCTATGAGTGAGAACATGTGGTGTTTGGTTTTTTGTCCTTGCGATAGTTTAATAGAGAGAGAAGGACATTGTGTAATGATACAAGCATAAACCTATCAAGAAGATTAAACAATTTTGTACACATATGTTTATGTGTTTATTTATTTCATCAAATGGCAACAGAGTCCTAAAATACATAAAGAAAAACTTACGTAACTCAAGGGAGAAATAGAGAGTTTGACAGTAATAGACAAAAATTTTAATACTTTTTTTTTATTATACTTTAAGTTTTAGGGTACATGTGCACAATGTGCAGGTTAGTTACATATGTATACATGTGAAATTCTGGTGCGCTGCACCCACTAACTCGTCATCTAGCATTAGGTATATCTCCCAATGCTATCCCTCCCCCCTCCCCCCACCCCACAACAGTCCCCAGAGTGTGATGTTCCCCTTCCTGTGTCCATGTGTTCTCATTGTTCAATTCCCACCTATGAGTGAGAATATGCGGTGTTTGGTTTTTTCTTCTTGCGATAGTTTACTGAGAATGATGATTTCCAATTTCATCCATGTCCCTACAAAGGACATCAACTCACCAAAAAAATGTTAATACTTTTAAGTAGAGCACTAAGATAGAAGATCAGCAAGGAAATAAAAGACTTGAAAAACTCTGTAAGTCGCCTAGACTTAATGTATTTATAAAACACTCCACCAAACAACAATAGAATACATAGTTTCCTCAAGTGCACATAGAACATTCTCTAGGATAAACGATATATTAGGCCCTAAACCAAGTCTCACTAAATTTAAAAGGATTAAAATCATGCAAACTATGTTTTCTGATTACAATGGAATGAAATTAGAGATCAGTAACACAATAAAACTTGAAAAATAAACAAATAGTGGAAGTTCAACAACATATTCCTAATATCCATAGGACCAAAGAAAGAATTACAAGGGAAATTATAAAATGCTTTAAGATGAAAATGAAAATACAGCATACCAAAACATACCTAAATCTTTGTGACTTCGGATTAGGCAATAATTTCTCTGATTTGACACCTAAAACACAAGTAACCAAAGAAAAATAGATATTTAATTTTATCAAAATTAAAAACTGTTGAGGTTTAAGTGACACAATCTAGAAAGTTCAAAGAAAACTCACCAAATGAAAAAAATTGTGAACTTATGTCTGACATGGGTCTTGTATCCAGAATATGTAAAGAACTCTCAAAAATAACAACTAAAAAGACAAATAACCCACTTAAAAATGGGCAATGGATTTGAATAGACTTTTCTCCAAACAAGACATGCACATAACCGTAACCACATAATATTGCTCAACACCATTAGTCGTTAATAAAATGGAAATTTAAACTACAATGATATACCAATTCACAACCATTAGGATAGCTGAAAGTAATTTAAAAAATGGAAGATAACAAATGCTGTCAAAATTGTCAAGAAATTAAATTGCTTATCTATTGCTTGTAAGAATGTAAATTGGTGTAGCCACTCTGGAAATCTGTTTGGTAGTTCCCCAAAAAGTGAAACATATGCCCCAGAAATTCCAATTCTAGTCAGCGTTCATAGGTTTTTATTTCATTTCAGAGATATAAGATGTTTATCCAAAAACTTGTACACAAGTGTTCACAGCAGCAGTACTATTGACAATCAAAACTGGAAACAACCCAAATTCCCATCAACTGATGAATGAATAAACAAAATTTCTATATCCTTACAATGGAATATTACATAGCTATAAGAGGGAATACAGTATTGATACATGTCATAACATGGATGAAACTTAAAAACAATATGCCAAGTTAAGGAAGCCAGACACATTATTATTATGTCATATCACTTATTAGAAATGTCCCGAATAGACAATTCCAAAGAGTCAGAAAATAGTTTAATGGTATCCAAGGGCTGCATTTAGGGAGAATGGGAAGTAAATGCTAATGGTTATGGGGTTTCTTTTGGGGTTGTGGAAAATGTTTCAGAGATAGACAGTGGTGATAGCTGCATAACCTTGTTAACATGATAAAATTTACTGAATTGTACACTTTAAAAGGATAAATTTCAGGTAAATGAATTATAAATCATTTTAAAAGAGAAGTAAACAGTATTCATGAATTTTTTATTTAAAAAAACAGTATGAACTTCCACTTCCAGCCATGAGGTACTACTGGATTTAATTTCGCTTCATAATCAATAGGAAAACTGGATAAAATATATCACTACATTGTGTTTAAGCATTAGTCTACATGCAACACAAGACTAAGATCCTTGAGAGAATAAAACATAAGATTAATATTATGATCAACACATTTTCCTCCATGGAGGTACTTTCCACATCTCAGGGCAGCAAAGGTAATTCAAAGCAGAGCACAGTTGACTTCATGAGTTAGAATCCAGAAAACGGAGTTCAGAGAGTTGGCACTTAGAATCCAGAAAATGGAGTTCAGAGAGTTGGCGATGGCCAAAATCTACATCCAGGACAACAACAACAACAACAGAAAAATTACATAGAAAAAAACTCTCCAGAAGTTTCTATGGGGCCCACTTGAGTTGTTACTGAATAGTAAGCTGAGTACACAAAGGCTAAAGCGCGGTGGCTCATGCCTATAATCCTAGCACTTTGGGAGGCCGAGGCGGGTGGATCACCTGAGATCGGGAGTTTGAGACCAGCCTGACCAACATAAAGAAACCCCGTCTCTACTAAAAATACAAAATTAGCCAGGCTTGGTGGCAGTTGCCTGTAATCCCAGCTACGTGGGAGGCTGAAGCAGGAGAATGGGTTGAACCTGGGAGGCGAAGATTGCAGTGAGCCGAGATCACGCCATTGCACTCCAGCCTGGGCAACAAGAGTGAAAACTCCATCTCAATAAATAAATAAAATGAAATAAACCCAAGAACTTAGTCGATCCTGGGCAATGCCTTAAATATCAGATAATTCCTTAATACTAAGGCTAAAGTAGCTTAGAGAAGCCTACTCTAAACCCATCCTAAAATATTTAAAAATAAAATGACATAATTAGCCTAGCCCACAAGTAACTTTGCGACTGAACGAAGACTACTACTTTTGAATAGGAAAAGAAAGAATCCAGCACTCAGAAATATTTTTAGTGTCCATTAATAAATGTAATAAAGCATAAAAATATACATCATAATGAGTAGAATTGGAAACTGATTCAAATAAGCTCAGAAATTACCAAGATGTGGAAATTAGAATAAAATAACTTTAAGAGAGCTGTCATAAGTATGCTCAAGTATATAAATAAAAAATATAAACAGAATGAAGAGAGGAATGGAATATATTAACAACATCAAGATTTCATGAGGTGAAAAATGTTAGACACCACAAAGGAAATTATCAGTAAACTAGAAGACACAGCAATAGAAAATCTCTAAACCAAAGTACAGAGACAAAAATGTGAAAGGAAAAACTGAACAGTGTCACAGCAATATGCAAGAGAATGCCAACTGGCCTAACACGTATGTAACTGGAGTTCCAGAGGAAAGGATAAAATGGGGAACAAAATGTTCTGAATTTGATTGAAAGTTATAATAAAAAAAGTCAAGAAGTTCTACCAACCTCAAGCGAGATAAATCAAAAGAAAATCACAAGAAGACATATCACAATTCATATGGGAAACTTGTCATACAGAAAATATCTTACGGTAGCCATGGATAAAAGAACAACCATATACTGAAAAACCAGGATTTGGATAACTGAGTACTTATTATAAAACAGGATTAGAATTGTTAAAAAAAAAACAGAATGAAAACAACAGAGTCCACACAATCATTTAAGTATGAAAAATATCCTTCAAAATGAAAGTGAAATGAAGACTTTGTAAGTCAAACAAAAGCAAGACATATCATGGTTGATATAATTCTACTACAAAAATGGAAAGTAAAGGAAGTCCCAAATTAAAAAAAAGTAGCAAGGTAGTAGACATAAACCCAACATATCATTTACATTATATGTAAATAGTATAAGAAGTCTACTAAAAGGCAGACATTGCTAGAATGAACAATACAAGCAACAGCCAACTATTTGCTGCCTACCTTGAATCCACTTTAAATATAAAGACACAGACTACTTAAACATAAAAAGATGAACAAAGATATACAATACAATGCAAATAGTAATTATAAAGGAGCTAAAGCAGTCATATCAATATCTGACTCTGTAGATTTCAGAAGAAAAAATATAATCAAAAGTAAAGAGAAGCATGTCATATGATAACGGGCTTAATCAATCATGAATACATACCAATCCTAATCTTTTTGCACCTAATCTCAGAGTTTAAAATAGATAAAATCAAATATTTCTTCTTATCAAATCATATCTTCCACCTGACTTGAAAAATAACATAAACATAAAAACCTACAAAAAATGTTTATAGCAGTTTTATTCATAATCACCAAAAACAGAGAAAAAGCAACCAAGAGGTCCTTCAATATACAAATGGATACACAAACTGTGGTAGAAATACAATGGGATACTATTCCACATAAAAAAGAATGAGCTATTAATCCATGCAACAAGAAGAATGAATCTTGAATGTATATTGCTAAATGAAAGAAGACAGTTGAAAAGGCTACGTATTGTACAATTTCATTTGTCTCATGTTCCGGAAAAGGCACATCTGTAGGCATGGAAAACAGATGAATGGTTTCCAGGTGTTTGAGGAGGGGAAGTGGTTATCTGTAAAGGGGTGCACAGGGGAGTTTTGATCATGACACATCTAGACTGTATGGTACTAGAGTCTTGAGTTTTGTGTTATGAACCTAGAGTCCCACTAATGCTCAAATTCTTTATTTGAACTCAGAAGTATAAATGTTTGCAAAATTATTTGGAGTCTCTTTACTAGAATCTATAGATACAGCATTTCTATTGTATTAATAAAGCAGCTTTCACTTTTTTACTCTAGAATCCTTGCCCTAGAAACCAAGCACATGGCTTTTGTGAAGCTGTCAAAATGCCAAGGTGTTTGCCATGTAATATGCACAGTCACATGATGACTCCCCATCAATTTTTGACACTCCCAATAGTGCTTTTCTAAAGCTCTTCGGAAGCACAAAGAAGTAGCTAACAAAATTACTCATTGCTTTTTAAAAAAAGTGTTACATCTCTTACAGAACAAAGCATTTCCATTAGGCCTGCTGCTTCTTCCATTTGTGAGATCCTCAAGGTGATGCACTATAATTCTTGTGGGCAAACAAATTGTCTCACGTAATTATCCGTGATTAAGGTGATTTCTGCTATCACAATTCTCCTCTGGGTCTCTTGGTCACTACAGTCCAGTGATGTCAAATTCCTAATTAGCTTGTAATAATCGTGATGGCTTTTCTTGTATCAGTGTGCTGAGTATACTGATACTTCAGAGTGTAAAGGGTGAAGACTGAAGTCTGGAAAGACATGGATTCTCTATCTTTGTCCCTCATCCAATGGCTCCCGGTGAATTTTGTTTTCCTGGGTAGGTGCTGATATTTTAAGGCCAAGGACAGAGATTGAGTCAGAACACAGAACAGAGACCAGAGACAGTCAATTATCCTCCATATTGTTTTAAATTAATCTTTGAATATTCTGTGCCCATTTTACCTATTTACTGTTGTCCCAATACCTAACTCTGAAGAGCAATTGCTGCATTACTTTACTAAAACCAGGAGTTTTACCCTTTTGATTGGATATACTTTAATTTCAATATAATATTGTATAATTATTCTTATCTTTGAATTGACTTACTCATTTTGGATCATGTTTTTCAAAAACCGGAGACTGCATTTGGGAGAGGGAATTCTACTCTTTTTTGAGGAAACACAGAGCACCTGGGAGGGTATGTAATTTGCTTACAATTATAAAGTTATTTAGTGAAAGATAGAATTGGAAAATATATTTTCTATATCCTAGGCTAATATGTGTATTTAATTTTTAAAAATTACATATTCTTTTATCTCAATAACTTTTAGGATACAAGAGGTTTTTGGTTACATTGATAAATTATATAGTAGTGAAGTATAACATTTTTAATGTACCTATCACCCACAAACACAAGTAGTGTACATTGTACTCAATATGGCTAATACATTTTTGATAGTCCATAATGTCTTTGGACAGCTTCTATTGATTTGAACTTCAGGTTTTTAAAGCTTATAGTTTAGAATGGTCCTTGTTAATCTATGACTAGAAAGTAATAATATAAACCACTAATGAAATTCAACATTTCTTGCTGGATATATATTCTATTTGTGAACAAAAGCATATCCCATGTATAATTCCTTAAAATATACTTTAAAATATTACTACTATTATGGTAAATTCATTATATCACTACTGCACAAGATGTTTGATTTAGTTACATAATGATTATATGTATATATATATTACATCTGTGAGAAGCAAGTAAAAAGTCACCTACACTTTGAATCAAGGGAAAGTCAGATGAAAGGAAGAAAACCCAAAATTTTCCCTGATGAAATTTTTGATAAAATGATGCAATATTCCTACTACTTCAGAGTCTTTACAGATCCCAAATCATATAAAAATCACTATTATTGATGGTACTTCCTAAAACATTCTCCAGTTTTATAGATCCAGTGAGGCTGAATCCTTTGCAAAATTGTGAAGCAGAAGGTTTTGTTTTCAGCATTTCTTCTTTTCAGTCTACTCTTTTTCTCCTTTCAGATTTCTGACTGCTCCAAATGCTCCTCTAGTTGCCTAAGACTTAGATTAAGATACAGCATCCAGACCTGTCTCACCTCCTTGAAGACAACTCAGCTACAGAAACCCTGAATCCACTTCTGTCTTATTTAGAAGTAAATTCTTTACGACTTATCTCCTGAGGGATTGTTCTGTTTTCTTAGGAGATGTGGAAGTAACAACAAAATTATTCCCAAGCATTAATGCCTATAGATTACAGGATAGCTCCACACTTTCCATTTCACCTTAGGTAAGTGAAAGTGTTTTTTCAGCATCCTTCTGAAGACCATGAACCAGCATTTGTCTCCAATATAGTCTATAATAGAGAGACTGCTATTCCTCTGATCCACATTTGGAGTGGGAGGGTCAGAGGAACAGCAATATCAGCAAGTTTGTGAAAGATATCTATTTGAACTGGTAGAGTTTGGTGGCCCCTGTAAACGATACCTATTTATTTCACTTCATCTATAGTCATAATATCTGAGATAGAAATATTGAGGCAAGATTCATTTGACAGAATTTAAAATAGGAGGGAACTGAGGTTTGCCAAGCACAGCCCTGTATACATGCATTAATCCATCTTCAAATTTTCAAGAATTTTTTTTTAAAAAAAGGTCTTTACATAAACACATCTACTTATTGGAAACTCATTATTGTGTGAGTCAGACCACATAATGTAAAATTATGAGAAAATATTTACTTCTTCTGATCTAAAATAATACATTACTAAGAATGCATACATATACTTAGTCACTACAGTTGGTTAAAGAATTTTCATTTACATAATCTTTTAATAAATATTTTTAGTGTCTCTTTAAGGTTAATAGTCTCAAGATTTAATATTTGATGATAATAGTCCCTGAATGGCTAAAGGAACTGCTCAGTGTCACACAGTTACCCAATGATACAACATAGAACATTTTAAAATAATAGCTTTGTTTTCACTACAGTACAGTGATTTTATTGGGAACAAAAAGACAGTCCGTTTTATCTAATAGGGAATGTACTGGGGGTAAAGGGAAGTGAATTCATCAGCTTGTCTAAATAACAAAGGGTTATTAATATTAGCAAATGATTTTTAGGGAGATAAGTTATAAACCTAACTGCCTCATCACCAGTGCATAGCACAGTGTCTGGGGAAAAGCAGGTATTTAAATTTATATAAAGTAAATGAACTAAACATGAATGGATTTAGGTAAGAAACAGGTTCAGAGTTCATGTGTTCCACCAGTTTCATCTTATATACTAAGAAAGTTCTTGATTGAATCAATTTGCCCAATGTTTTTCTCCATGAAAAACAGGGTCTTTTCTTTTCTGAGCACCTGAAGAAGCCGATGAAAATGGAACAACAGAGTTCTGCAGAAGAGTCAGAAAAGCTATTGGGAGGATGATTCTTATGACTGTCTTTCACACAGTTGGATTATGTGTCTTAGCCTAAAGACACCAGGAAGTTTCTGTGCTCAGAAATGCCTCCTGATGCCCCTCTCTGCTGCAGCACCGGAGGGTCTCCGTAGGACACTCATTCCTTGTGCTTATGGCTTTGCTCTTTCTGATGGAGTACCTATGAACTCCTATTCACTGATTTTGTTAGATTTTACTTCCATTCATGCCTTAGGGATTCAATGCAGTATTTATGTCACAGGATTGAAGGGTCAGGACTTCTGGGAAGTGAGAAGAAAGAGAGATTTGTATAATTTTTTTCGGTAGCCTGCTTTACCTTCAAGCTCCACTTGTTAAACTCTTCCAAAAAGCCTAGAGCCATAGTTTTGATATAATCTGTGATAATACAAGAGTCCTCCCTTATCCATGGTTTTGTTTTCAGCAGTTTCAGTTACCTCAGGTCAACTGTGGTCCAAAAATATTAACCTATTTTGAGAGCGAGAGAAAGAAAAAAAAGAAACACATTCACATAAATGCTATTTCAGTATATTGTTATACTTTTTTATTTTATTGTTAGTTATTACTGTTCATCTCTCTCTGTGCCTAATTTATAAATTAAACTTTATCTTAGGTATGCATGTATAGGAAAAATATAGCTTATATAGGGTTCAGTACTATCAGTGGTTTCAAGCATCCACTGGGGTTCTTGGAACACATTATCTGCAAATAAGGGAGAAAATTTGTATTTTTGGGGGGAGAATTGGAGATTTGAAATACAGAGGTGACTCCAAATTTGGTTTCTGAGAGTTAAAATTATTTATCACGTGTTCTGTTCTTATAAATAAACCCTCCAATCTAACCCAAAGAGAGACTAAGCAATTTGCAGCTATGATCTAAGAAGACATTAATATCAAAAGTTGCAAGTGGTTAGAAATGATTAAAATAAAAGACATCCTCTCCCAAGACCTGATTAAGATGTAGAGAAAGATTCTTCAAAATCAGATAATGTAATGCTCCTTTAAAATTCACATTTTATTTTTTCCTATTTTCCATAAAACTTTTATAAGTTCTAAATAGCTTCTACAAATAAAAATAACAAAAGGAAGAAAGCTCTGATAACATAGAATATAGAGTAACTGAATAGAAAAGAAAAATCATTTTTTTCCTGGTCTGAATTCCTTAGTAATAAGTAATATAACTTATTAGTTATATTAGTATTTATAGTAAGCAATATAACTTATAAGTTTTTAAGCCACATCACATCAAATGAAATATCAATCATAGCTCAATAAAATGTCTATGGTTAGTAACACCAATGGCTAAGTTTAAAGAAGCTTCATACCTTCAGGGATTAATTGAAAGGAACCAGTGTGCTAGATTTCATGATAAAGTAGAACTCCATGAAGAGCTGAATCATAAAAGAGTTCCAATAATATTGGGGCCTTTCAATTTTGCCAGGGTTCTGTACTTTAGTTTATATAATTTTTAACTGTAGAGAAGAAATAAGGTATAATCACTTAAGGCAATGATTTCTCCTGTGAGCTCTCTTATGCAAATCTAATGCTGTCTCTCTTTCTCTCTTGTTTTAATTTTCATAATTATGCAACTTATGTATACAAAAGTGAAAAAAGCAAAAGTTCATATTTCAGTAAGTTTTCATAAAGTAAATACTCCCATGTAACTATCAACCACATCAAGAAAGAATATTACCAGCACTTCAGAAGCCCCTCCCATGACCACTTCCTGTCCCTTAAGGATAACTGCTAGGAGGTTTTTCTACACCTTAGTTTGCCATTTTTGAACTTCATTTAAATAGACCAATACAGTGTATACTCTTCCGTATCTAACTTTTTAAGTCATCAAGTTTGTGAAATTATCTTCCTCTGTGGCAGATGTTCAAAAAATTTTTATATCATTTACTTTAGAAAAAATTGGTTTAGATTTTGTCTCCGTAGATTTTTAGACTGATTTCTGTAGTGTCACAAAAACTTCAGATGCTCAAATTCATTTTTAGATTGTTGATTTTATTTCTTAAATTAATGTATTTAGATATCCCAGTTGGTTGAACATCTCCTTGACAACCCTCCCCTTTAACGCAATCTTCCATACTTAGCTGTACTAGCTGTATAACTTGTAATAACTCATGAAAACCCAGACACATACATAGCAATAGGAATTGGAATTCTGAAAAGTTTAAGTGTAATTGGAAAATCAAACCCATGCTCACTTCATTAACTGATCTCTGTTTCTCTCCTATTCAGGTAGCTGAAATTAAGTCCCTTCCAAAATCGATGAATGAGACAAATCATTCTCGGGTGACAGAATTTGTGTTGCTGGGACTGTCTAGTTCAAGGGAGCTCCAACCTTTCTTGTTTCTTACATTTTCACTACTTTATCTAGCAATTCTGTTGGGCAACTTTCTCATCATCCTCACTGTGACCTCAGATTCCCGCCTTCACACCCCCATGTACTTTCTGCTTGCAAACCTGTCATTTATAGACGTATGTGTTGCCTCTTTTGCTACCCCTAAAATGATTGCAGACTTTCTGGTTGAGCGCAAGACTATTTCTTTTGATGCCTGCCTGGCCCAGATTTTCTTTGTTCATCTCTTCACTGGCAGTGAAATGGTGCTCCTAGTTTCCATGGCCTATGACCGTTATGTTGCTATATGCAAACCTCTCCACTACATGACAGTCATGAGCCGTCGTGTATGTGTTGTGCTCGTCCTCATTTCATGGTTTGTGGGCTTCATCCATACTACCAGCCAGTTGGCATTCACTGTTAATCTGCCATTTTGTGGTCCTAATAAGGTAGACAGTTTTTTCTGTGACCTTCCTCTAGTGACCAAGTTAGCCTGCATAGACACTTATGTTGTCAGCTTACTAATAGTTGCAGATAGTGGCTTTCTTTCTCTGAGTTCCTTTCTCCTCTTGGTTGTCTCCTACACTGTAATACTTGTTACAGTTAGGAATCGCTCCTCTGCAAGCATGGCGAAGGCCCGCTCCACATTGACTGCTCACATCACTGTGGTCACTTTATTCTTTGGACCATGCATTTTCATCTATGTGTGGCCCTTCAGCAGTTACTCAGTTGACAAAGTCCTTGCTGTATTCTACACCATCTTCACGCTTATTTTAAACCCTGTAATCTACACGCTAAGAAACAAAGAAGTGAAGGCAGCTATGTCAAAACTGAAGAGTCGGTATCTGAAGCCTAGTCAGGTTTCTGTAGTCATAAGAAATGTTCTTTTCCTAGAAACAAAGTAAACTTATGAGACTGTTACCACTTTAGCCCTGTCTCCATACACTTACAAGTGGATTCACTGTAATCTTAAAGCAAATCAACTTGGCCTGTGGGAAAGCTCAGTTGATCGATTTGAAGCAAACTGTAATGATAATAAAAACTCATGAAATAAACTTTAGTGATTTTAAATATTCTTTCTCCATTGTATATTTTTTAATATCCTACTTTGTATTCTTTATTTTAAAATTTCTTAAGATACAGACTTTGATGACATTGAGAAAATGACATTACCTTATAAATGGTTAATATACTGTTGTCTCTCCCTTTGAAAACAGTACTACTCACACCAACTTTGGAGTAATGATAGGTGCATATCTCCAAGCCACAGATATAATAGATCTATTTATAAGTATATGATATGTGATATACAGTATGTGATAGATCTAGATACGAATGCATTTTATACTGCACTATATATCTGACAGCACATGAAGACACGTCTATGAATGGTGTGAAAGATACAGTAAAATGTAAAAGGGCATGACTACCCAGCAGAAGGCATTTACATTTCACACTTTCACAAAGCCTTCATCACAGTGGCTGTTTAATATATGTTGTTCATGAAAAACAACCACCTGAACAAATTTATTTACTGGTATGTTTTATATTGGCCTATGTCCACTTCTGTTTAGTACTGATAAAATAATCTGGGGGACCAGAGACGAGTTATAATTCTCTACCACTTATCTTCATGATAGTAGGAGTCTGAATCTTAGTATAAAATATTTTCCCCCTAGATTTTTATGATCTTATCTTCTTAGAGTATTTTTATATTAGTATTTGGTAGATATTATAACTTTTCTATGTGGACTTTTTAATTCAGTTGATATTTCATTTTTAAATTGCCCAGTGTAGGCTCTGAAAATGACAGAACCCTATTTCAAGACCTTAGAGTTCATCATAAATTTACCCCTCCTTGATCACTTACAAGACCAAGATTTTTGGGGATTCACCACTACAGGCTATTTTAGGCTTTTCCTCTTTTATAGCATTCAAGGCTATTTCTATATTTTTTTTACTGGGTTCTAGTCATAGTCTGATATAATGTTAACCGATTGTTTTCCAGACTCAGTCTTTACAGTCTCCTAAAGGGATTTAATAAGTCCTATTAGTGAAGGGAAAAAAAAGTTTCTGAGCCAAAGGATTCCGAGTTATTTAAGAAATAACAAAATGAAAATAAAACAAATGTGCATTAACATTTAAATATAAGAAAAAAATTAAATACAAAAAAGTGTAAGTAAAAAAAGTAAGTATAAAAAAGTAGTAAAACTTTTTACAATAATACAACACTTCCAAAATTTTACAATATTTTTGCATATTCTAATTTTATGCATAAAACAAATGATATATTGTGGTACCAGTACTAATTACAACTGAGTTAACATTGTACAACAAGAAATGTAGTAATAGTTTTACATCTTTTTAAGCTTTAAAATATCTCTAGGATATATTTATTCCTTTCATTTTACATATGATAAAAATAAGGTAAAGAAGCATTAAGAATATGGTGCAATATTATAAAGCTAGAAAATAGCAGAATGGATTTCCTACGCAGGTTTTGTGGTGTTTTGTTTTGTTTTTTTTTTGGTTTCTTTGACCCAGATGGCACACTTTTTAAGTGTATTGCTGCTTATAGTAATACATTTACTGTGTATTATAGTTGGAGTACAGTGTGCCCTGTCCAGAAAATATGATTTTCTGGTTATCCTCTCACACACATTTTCCTATTCCTAGTATGCAAAAAAGTTTCAGAATATTATGTTTTTCACTAAAGACGGTACCCAAGTTCCTTGCGAAGTTACTCAAACAACAAGAGCTCAGGCTGACTGGTACAGTTTTTCTGTAAACTGGACATTAAAATAAAAGCACAACGGGTTTTTCTTAAAGCACTAACCTGTTCTTTAACAAAAATTATAAAGGCTTAAAAAGAGTCTATAAAAATCTTACCTTATGGTCAGACATTAAAATTGGATAAATACACCTACAAGGTTTTATTAAAATTGAGTTTAACATTAATGGCACACATTAATATAATATAATATAATATAACATAACATTAATATAAAGGTGAAATTTAGCCTATCTGGTATAAAATCATACAGGAAGCATTGTCAAATATAAAGTGGTGTTTGGCTTTCTTTGGTCTAAAACCTAATAAAAATAGGTGCTAAAGAGAATTCAGAAGGAAAATGGATATTGCTAGACCAGAGAGAAATGTTATCCAAGTCCCTTATAAGGGAGATCTTGTTCCAACTGCATCAAGGGACCCATTGTGGGCCCCAAGCCATGTGTGACGCAGTCCTCAGAGTTTATGGGTGCATAGGAATTTATACCCTGGCCAAACAGGTTACAGACAGTTGCTTAGTAAAAGATTACCCCTTGGGGGAAGAAGTCCAGGCTTAAGGCCATTCCAAAGTATCCAGAATGATTACACACAGATGCCTCCAATTGGTCGTCTAAAATATTTATTAGTAATAGTAGATCACCTTACTCATTGGGTAGAAGCTATTCCCTTTTCAAGTACAACTGCTAATAATGTAGTCAAGGCATTAGTTGAAAATATTATACCCAGGTTTAAATTAATAGAAAACATTAATTCAGATAATGGGACTCATTTCACGGCACATGTCATTAAGAAATTATCCCAGGTACTGGATGTAACATGGGATTATCATACTCCCTGGCACCCATCTTCATTAGGGAAAGTAGAAAGGCCTATTACCCTGTTAAGAGTCTGAACTGCTCCCTGAAAAGACATAGGCCTATCCCCTTAAGAGATGCTTTATGGATCACCTTATCTACATTCTACTACTGATCTTCCTACATTTGAAACAAAAGATCAGTTTCTCAGAAATTATATACTTGGTTTATCTTCCATTTTATCTTCCCTCAGAACTAAAGGTCTTTTAGCACAGGTGCCACCTCTAGAGTTTCCAGTACACCAACATCAGCCTGGGGACCACGTCCCCATCAAAATTTGGAGAGAAGGAAAAGCTGGAACTGGCCTGGGAAGGACCTTACCTCATGCTCCTAACTACTGAAACTGCAGGCTGAATAGCAGAAAAAGGATGGGCCCATTACACCCGAGTCAAGAAAGCACCACCCCCTCCAGAGTCATGGGCCATAGTCCCAGGGGAAAACCCTACCAAACTAAAGCTAAGAAAAATTTAACTTTCTTTCATCTATTCTATGATTCCTTCTTTCCTCACTCTATTGCTGACCACCTAGTTATTAATGTAACCAAGTCCATTTCACCTCAAACTATTACATTTGATGCTTGCCTTGTTACATCCTGTGGAGACTTTTTAAGTCAAAGACAGATCTCCAGTTCAGAAAAGTACCTCTGCCCTTCCTGGCTTTTCTCAGACTGGACATTAGTGAATTGGGATCATTTAGTCTGGGAAGATTTCAACGAGGGCCCCAGCATCAGCTGGGAGTCTTGCCCCCCATAGACTGAGTTTTTATGCTGCAGTTGGTCCAACGTTCTGTGGACCACTAAAGAGAAAGAATGGGCTGCCTCAACCAGTAGTTGTAATTTCCTAAAGCCATACATTCATTTTACTAAAGGAACAGCTTCACCTAGCTGTCAGCTAAACCAGTGCAATCCAATACAGGTTATTATCCCAAACCCTCAAAGCTCTTCCCCTTCTCTAAGTCAGTTCTCTTCTTTAAGCCAGTTTTTATGGTATGGGGGATGAGGTTTCAGGAACAGACCCTTTCAGATACTTTGAAATATGTTTCATTGATCCCCCACCACCTACACCTTCCCCTAAGCCTTCTTCCAAAACCTCTCATAATGAAACGGTTGTTCCTCCTCCATCTAATGATAGGACCAAAGTAGACATTGTAGAAGTAAATGCTTAAAAACAAACTTTAGCAATAGAGACAGGATATCAAGATGCAAATGCCTGGTTTGAATGGATCAAATATTCCATCCGCAGGTTAAACAAAAGCAATTGTTATGCTTGAGCACACGGCAGGCCTAGATTGACCCCTTTCCACTAGGGTGGTCCTCCAGTGGGCCAGGCATGGGCTGCATGGTAGCTCTTTTCCAGGATTACACAGCCTGGGGTAACAAGCCATGTCAAGTTCTCTCTCTGCTGTATCCCGAAGTTCAACACTCTGCAGGTCAACCCCCGAAGGCCATCCAGCTTCCACCTACCCACATTAATTTCACTTCTTGTCTCTCATGACAGGGGGGAAACTTAGCATTTCTTGGAGACCTGAAAGGATGCAGTGAGCTTAAGACTTTCCAAGAGCTTACCAATCAGTCAGCCCTTGTTCATCCCCGAGCAGATGTATGGAGGTATTGTGGTGGACTCTCTGCCAAGTAACTGGAGTGGCACTTGTGCTCTAGTCCAGTTGGCTATCCCTTTCACCCTGGCATTTCATCAACTAGAAAGAGGAAAAATACAACATCGTAAAACAAGGGAAGCCCTTTATGGGTCTTCTGACTCTCACACTTATTTAGATGTAATTGGGGTCCCATGAGGAGTACCAGATAAATTTAAAGCCAGAGATCAAATAGCTGCAGGATTTGAGTCAATATTTTGGTGGGTGAAAATGAATAAAAACATAGATTGGATAAATTACATTTATTACAACCAACAGCGGTCTATTAACTGCACTAGAGATGCTGTTAAAGGAATAGCTGAGCAATTAGGGCCTACTAGCCAGATGGCTTGGGGAAATAGAATAGCCTTTGACATAATATTAGCAGAAAGAGGAGGAGTTTGCATCATGATTAAAACTCAATGTTGTACCTTCATCCCAAACAACACCACCCCTGATGGAAGTACAACAAAGGCATTGCAAGATCTAACTGCCCTGTCCAATGAGTTAGCCAAAAACTCAGGAGTGAATTATCCCTTCACAGGTGGCTAGAAAAAAGGTTCAGTAAATGGAAAGGAATCATAGCCTCAATTCTTACTTCTCTTGCAGCTGTAGTAGGTGTACTCATTCTTGTCAAGTGTTGTGTCATACCATGCATCCGTGGGCTAGTGCAAAGACTTATAGAAGCAGCATTTACTAAAACCTCCCTTAGCTCTCCTTCACCTTATTCAGATCAGCTTTTTCTTTTAGAGGATTAAGTCGAGCAGCAAAGCCAAGATATGTTAAAAAAAAAAAAAAAAAAAGTTTGAAGAGGAAATACTATGAAAACTGAAAGGGGGAAAATTGTAGGATATCATAAATTCCTCCTCAAAGGTTTTAGCCTGTAAATTGTTAAGTACAATGAGTTCTGAGACCCTCTCCAAAGAACCAATGTATCAATATGTTCAGCTCCCCATTCTTTCCTCTTCATTTTAAAGTTGAATTTCCTTGTTCTTTATGTCTCCTTGCCCCTAGTTTCAGTAAACAACCTCCTCCTACCCTCTATCACCTGCTCTGACCTTAGTCACCCTTGTTCACCTGCTCTGATCTTCATCATCCTTGGTCACCTGCTCTGTTCGGTCTTAGTCATCCTGAGTCACCTGTTCTGTAACTGTTCCCGCCAAACTACTCATCCTGCCACTCTGGCTCGTACCTCTGTTCTCTTTAAAATAGCCAATCTGAATTAGCTTAGATGTGCAGTCCAACCCTAGTCAATAGTGGAATGACACAGCAGCAGGGGCTACCTGTGTCAGGGATAAGAACCCCTTCCCCTCCCTTGTTCAGGTGTGCTCTCACCATTGCTCCATCCATGAGACACACCCTTCTATGGAAGTAAAATTGCCTTGCTGAGAAAATTCATGTTCAAGTGCTATTTCTTTTGCAGCACCAAAAATTTATTTCCAACACTCTCTTCTAGCTATTTTGTAATATACAGGCTACCACATATATGTGAATAGAATAGGAGATAATTGATCATATAGAATAGAGATTGGCAAATTTCTTCTGTAACAGGCCAGATATTAAATATTTAGACTTTATGAGGTGCATATAGTCTCTGTTGCATATTGTTCCTTACTGTTGCATTTTTTTCTTTTTTACATCCCTTTAAAAATATAAAAACTCTTCTTAGCTTGTGGGCCATACATACACAGACTATGACTGAGATTTGGCCCATGGAGCCATAATTTGCCAACCCTGGCTATAGATAATCAATTATAGTAGGGGACACAGAAAGCAAGTAAACAAGCAAGCAAACAATAAGTAAGTGTTAAACTAACATGAAAACATCACTACCTATAACATATAAATCACTCCCAAGGGATCCCCTGTAATACTATGGTGATCCTATCTACCCTCCTCCTCCCAGAGAACCACTGGCCTACTTTTTGTCACTTTAGATTAGTTTGAATTTTGTAGAGTTTTAGAAAATTGAAATCATACACTAAATACTAATTTTTAATCTGTTTTTCACCCTGTCTAATCATTTTTTCAATTCATACATGGTCGTTACAGGAAAGGTGTCTGGATCCAGGCTCCAAGAGAGGGTTCTTGGACCTCATGCAAGAGAGAATTCAGAGTACATAGAGTAAAGGGAAAGCAAGCTTATTAAGAAAGTAGAGGAATAAAAGAATGGCTACTCCATAGACATAGCCACCCCGAGGGCTGCTGGTTGCCCATTTTTATGGTTATTTCTTGAGTATATGCTAAACAAGGGGTGGATTATTCATGCCTCCCCTTTTTAGACCATATAAGGTAACCTCCTGATGTTGCCATGGCATTTGTAAAGTGTCATGGTGCTGGCAGAAGTGTAGTAGTGAGGACAACCAGAGGTCACTCTTGTCACCATCTTGATTTTGACGGGTTTTGGCTGACTTCTTTGCTGCAAACTGTTTTATCAGCAAGGTCTTTATGACTTGTATCTTGTGCCAACTTCCTATCTCATCCTGTGACTTAGAATGCCTTAACCTTCTGGAAATGCAGTCCAGTAGATCACAGCCTTATTTTACCTAGCTCCTGTTTAAGATGGAATTGCCCTGGTTCAAACACCTCTGACATTTCCCCCTCACTTTTATAAGAGAATCCTTAATACTAAGGGCTGCAAAGGGATGAAGATCCATCTTCTGAAACTTCTTCAGGCTGAATAGGGGTAATGATATTCCTGCCTAATTATTAGGGTCCCCTGTATTTGGGGTAGAGAGGGGCTCAGTCAGAAAGAATCAGTGTGGTGAGGGCCATTCCTAACTCTGAGTTCTGACAAAAGGTGATAACTGGGAGATTAATAAGTGTTTAATTTAAGGAAACATTGAATAAATTTATCCTACATTCCTACACAGAGAGTACAACAGCAATATATTCCACAAGAGTAAAGCAAAACAAGTAAAAATATCCAAAGTAAACTAAATTAGAAGGCTTTCCATGAACTGGGCAATTGTTGGAACCAAGCTAATATGAGATTACTAGCCAATTCCAATATGTGCCCAGAATTAGAAATATTGATTCAGATTTTTACATTATCCATCCCTCTTGCTTCTTCTGAACAGCAGTCAGAGATCACTGGTTGGCTTAGGAGGATTCTTGTTAAAGGCTGGCCAAGAACTTAGCTATCAAAGGTTGGCAATAAAAAAATGAATTTGATTTCAAGGTTGCAGGGATTCTTACCAAACTGACTTAACAGGATTTTTCACTGAAGCCTGGCTAGATAAGTCAAGAGAGTAGGGTGTTGTGTCAAAAGAGAACACGGGTGGCTATACTAATATCAGAAAAATTCGGCTTTAAATAAAAATGTTTGCAAGAGACATAGAAGGACATGATATACTGATGAAAGGTTAAATATAGTAAGAAGATACAACAATCATAAACACTTACAAACCATCAAAATATTTGAAGCAAAAACTGACATAATGGAAGGGAGAAATAAGCAATTCTACAATAACAGTTTAAGACTTCAATACCCTACTTTCAATATGGATAAAACAACCAGATAGAAGATAGGTAAGGAAAATAGAGGACTTAGAATAAACCAAATAGTTCTAACATATACAGAATATTTACTCAACAACAGCATACACATTCTTCTCAAGTGTATATGGGATATTTTCCAAGATAGAAAATATGTTAGGCCCAAATTAGGTCTCAGGAGATTTAAAAGATAGCTATCACAGAAAATATCTTTTCTGAACACAACTAAAGTTAGAAATCAATAACAGAAGTAAAACTGGAAAACTGACAAAATTGTGGAAATTAAATACACTCTTAAACCATCAATTAATTAAAGAAGAAACCACAGTGGAAATTAGAAAATATTTAGAGACTAATGAAAATGACAACACAACATACCAAAACTAATGGGATACAGCAAAAGCAGCACTAAGGAGAAAATTTATAGTGATAAATGTATACATTCTAAAAACAAAATGGTTTCTTTTTCAAGCTGATTAGGGAAATTACATGCCAGCTCTTCTCAGAAAGATCAAAGTTACCAGTGAATGAACAAGTTTTGAATGGAAAGTATAGAGAAGTGAGGACCTGTTGGAGTGCCCACGGGAAGAAGCTGCAGCACAGAAGAAGAATGCAGCAAGACTCTGGCTGATATCAACCTCTGAGCAACTCAGAGCTCAGCCAAAAGAGTAGGTGGAAGTTGCTTCTTTCTACACCCCTCTGAAGACCTGCCAAGTGCTAAACGGTTGGGGAGCCCCTTTGCTCTTGCTAGCCAGGGCAACACAATCAGTGATGATTAGAGAATTTCCTGAGAACACAGAACCAGTGGCCAGCTCACAAAGCCATACCCACTCTCGCCTTGGACCTGAACTGAGATGATGGGCACCATACGGGTTGTGCACCAGTGTGTCACTTTCCTTCCCAAGGATCCTCTGCCATTAAGTCACTGCACCACCAGACCACCTGAAAATATACTCCACAACCTGCTCTGACTTTGGCAAGCACAGGGGACCAGTGGGTGCCTGGGGTATTGTAGGTTCTCTGGAGATCTTACTCTCAGCACGGAGCCACCCTTTAAGGAGCCTGGGAGCACAGCCTGCCAAAGTACTCCCTGGGACAAAGGAAATACAGATGTGGCACCAACTGAGGAACGAGACAGCATCAATATGCAGGAATAATTATGAAGAAGAGGATCGTCTCCCACCTTTCATCCACTGTACACTGTTATGAATGCAGCAGCAGTTCTTCCTGCAAGAGCTGGTGAGTGTGCACTGAAAGAAAGTGATTCTTTGTGCTTTCAGCAGGTGTGGTGGATCCACCCCTGCTGAAAATGAGACTGTGTATGCTCTGGCTTTCACAAGGGGTGGGGTCCAACTCCCCCTTCCAACACAGAGTGGCAGCACCCTGACAACAGAGGATAGACTACAAAGTTGTGTGTCCTGTACTGGAGGAAGAGGTTCTACCCTGACCCTCATTATAGTGGTAGCCATCAGAGAGGCAGATCCATGGCCCACAAAGGCACTGTGCTCGGAACTAAAGGATGAAGATTTTACAAACAAGGTCATGAGACCTGTGACAGGGATATGATAGGGAAGTAGACTGCATTTCTGCTAGTTCAGGATGAAGAGCTGGTGCACCCCTCCATCTCTTTCCTGGAGGCTTCAGGGCACTCCATCATGATCTCTTCCTGCTACCCTCATCAGTGAAAATTCATCCACCATCCACTGGGCAGCAGCTTACCTGCCATATCATACTCCTAAGTGCTATATACTGGACTACAGACTGAACTGCACCATCAAATAAAAAATACATGGCTATACCAAACAATATCTGATAAAGCCACCACACAAAACGTATCCACAACCAACATGTAGAGCCTTGTCCCCCAAGAAAAGCATTCAGAAACTAAGCCAAAAGATAATACATAACATCCACCACAGTTACACCCTCAAAGGAAAAAAAATAAAGAGCCCCATCCAAACAATGCAAATTCAAAAATAAGAAGCAACACTTTCCTCAGATGAGAAAAATCAGCATAAGAACTCCAGCAGCACAAAAAATCACAGTGTTTCAACATCTCCAAAGGATTGTACTAGCTCCTTAGCACTGAAACCTAACCAGATTGAAATGTCTGAAATGACAGATTAAAAATTCTAAGTATGGGTTGTAAGGAAACTCAAGATTCAAGAGGATGTTGAAATCCAATAGAAAAAGAAAACAGTAAAATGATTCAGTATATGAAAGATGACATAGGTATATTAACAAAAACCCAAACAGAACTTCTGAAATTGGAAAATTTACTACAGGAATTTCAAAATACAATCAGAAGACTTAATTGCAGACTAGACAAGCAGAATAGAGAAAGCCAGAGCTCAAAGACCATGTTTCAAATTAACTCAGTCAGACAAAAATAGAGGGAAAGAATTTAAAAAATGAACAAAGTCTTCAAGAAGTATTATATGATATTATGTTAAACAACAAAAACCTATGACTTACTGGCATTCCTGAGAAAGAAGAAGAAAGAGTAAGCAAATTGGAAAACATATTTCAGGAAATAATTAAATAAAATTTCCCCAATCTTGTTAGAGACATTGCCATCCAGATATAAGAAATTATATATAAGAAATAAAAACTACTGAGAGATACTAAACAATATGACCATTCCCAAGGCAAATAGTCATCAGACTATTCATGATTCATGTGAAATAAAAAAAAAATCTCAAAGGAAGCTAGAGAAAAGGGCCAAATTACCCATAAAGGGAATACCATCAGACTAATGGTGGACATCTCAGCAGAAACCTTATAAGCCAGAAGAGATTGGGGGTCTATTTTTAACATTTTGAAAGAAAACATAAATGCCAACCAAGAATTATACATCCCACCAAACTAAACTTTATAAACAAAGAAGAACTAATGTCTTTTCTAGACAAGCAAATGCTAAGGGAATTTGTTACCACCAAATCAGTCCTACAAAAATTTTTAAAAGAGTTCTAAAAATGGAAATGAAAGAATGATACTTGTTATCATAAAAGCACACATAAGTATAAAGCTAACAGACCCTATAAAGCAACTACACAATCAAGATTACAAAGAAACTACCTAACGACACTACAACAGAACAAACTCTTACATAAAAATATTAACCTTGAATGTAAACAGCTTAATTGCTGAATTTAAAAGATAGAGTGGCAAATCGGATAAGAAAACAAGACACAACCTTCTGTTGCCTTCAAAAGACCCATCACACATGTAATGACACCAGTAGGCTCAAAGTAAAGTGATGAAGAAAGATCTATCACCCAAATGGAAAAAGGGCAGATGTCACTATTCTTTTTTTTTTTTTCTTTTTTCTGAGATGGAGTTTCACTCTTGTTGCATAGGCTGGAGTACAATGGCGCGATCTCAGCTCACTGCAACCTCCGCCTCCAGGGTTCAAGTGATTCTCCTGCCGTAGGCTCCCAAGTGGCTGGGATTACAGGTGCCCACCACCACACCCAGCTAATATTTTTGTGTGTTTTTAGTAGAGATGGGGTTTCACCATGTTGGCCAGGCTGGTCTCAAACTCCTGACTTCAGGTGATCCACTCACCTTGGCCTCCCAAAGTGCTGAGATTACAGGCATGAGCCACCGTGCCCGGCCATGTCACTATTCTTGTATCACATAAAACAGACTTTAAACCAATAATAGTAACAGAGACAAAGAAGGGCATTATATAATAATAAAGGACTCAATTCAATAAGAAGATTTAAGTATCCTGCATACATATGCATCCAACATCAGAGCACCCAGATTTATTAAAAAACTACTACTAGATGTAAGAAAAGATACAGATAGCCATGCAATAATGGTGGAGGACTTCCACAGACCACTGACAATATTAGACATACCATCAAGGCAGAAAACTCACAAAGAAATTCTTGACTTAAACTGTACACTTGACCAAATGGACTGAATAGACATCTACAGATACTTCACCCCAAAACCACAGAGTATGCATTCTTCTCATCTATGCAGGGAACATTCTTTAAGATTGGCCACATGCTCAGTTATAAAGTAAGTCTTAATAAATTCAAAAAAAAATCAAAATCATGCAAAGCATCTTCTCAGACAACAATGGAATAAAATTAGAAATCAATACCAAGAGAAAATCTCAAAACCACACAAATACATGGAAACTAAACAACCTGCTCCTGAATGACTGTCAGATAAACTAGGAAATTAAGGTAGAAATCAAAAAGTTCTTTGAAATAAATAAAATTTGAGACACAACATACTAAAACCTCTAAGGAGTAGTGAAAGCAGTGATACAAGGAAAGTTTATAGTGGTAAACTTCTACCATCAAGAAGACAGAGGCCGGGCACAGTAGCTCATGCCTGTAATCCTAGCACTTTGGGAGGCTGAGGCAGACAGATCACCTGAAGTTAAGAGTTCCAGAGCAGCTTGGTCAACATGGTGAAACCCCATCTCTACTAAAAAAAAAAATACACAAAGTAGCCTGGCATGGTGGCGGGCACCTGTAATCCCAGCTACTCAGGAGGCTGAAGCTGGAGAATCACTTGAACCCAGGAGGTGGAGGTTGCAGTGAGCAGAGATCGCACCATTGCATTCCAGCCTGGGTGAGAAGGGTAAAACTCCGTCTCAAAAAAAAAAAAAATAGAAGATAGAAAGATCACAAATAAATAACCTTTCCTTGCCTCTAAAGGGACTAGAAAAATATGAGCAAGCTAAACAAAGTTAGCAGAAAAAAAAACTAAGATCAGAACAGAAGTCAATAAAATTCAGACCACAGGAAAATACAAAGAATCAATAAAACAAAAAGTTGGTTATTTGAAAGGCTAAACAAGAATGATAGAGGATTAGCTAGGTTAATAAAGAAAAGAGAGAGAAGATCCAAATAAGCAAAATCAGAAATGACAAAGATGACATTACAACTGATACTACAGAAATACAAAGGATCCCCAGAGATTACTATGAACATCTTTATGTGCACAAATTAGAAAATCTAGAGGAAATTGATACATTCCTGGAAATACACAGTGTTATAAGATTGAACCAAGAAGAAATGGAAACCCATAACAGACCAATAATGAGTTACAAAATTGAATCAGAAAAAAAAAAAAATCCCTACCAACCAAGAAAATCTCTGGACCAGATGGATTCACAGCCAAATTCTACCAGACATAAAAAGAAGAGATGGTACTAATCCTAATAAAACTATTATCCCAAATTGAGGAGGAGATATTCCTACCTAACTCCTTCTATGAAACCAATATTATTCTGATACCAAAATCTGGCAAGGACACAACAAAAAAAAAAGGAAAAGAAAACTATAGACCAATGTCCCTGATGAACACAGATGCAAAACTGCTCAACAAAATGCTAGCAAACTGAATATAGCAGCACATCAAAAAGATAATTTATTATGATCAGCTGGGCTTTATTCCTGGAATATAAGGAGAGTTCAACATATGAAAATCAATAGAGGTGATTTACCATATAAAAAGAATTAAAAACAAAAACCATACGATCATCCTAATAGACACAAATAAAGCACTTGATAACATTCAACATCCTTTCATGCTAAAAATCCTCAACAAACTAGGCATCAAAGAAATGTAATAAGAGCTGCCTATCAGAAAAGGAGAGCCAACATTATATTGAACAGGCAAAAGTTGAAAGAATTTTCCCAAAACTTGAAATAAGACAAGGATTTCCACTCTCATGATTCCTATTTAGTAGAGTACTAAAAGCCCTAACCAGAACAAACAGGAAAGAGAAAGAAATGAAAGTCATCCAAATTAGAAAAAAAAAGTCAAATTATCTTTGTTCGCTGATTACAATTCTACACCTAGAAAACACTGAAGATTTCTCCAAAATAATCCTAGATCTGATAAACAACTTTAGTAAAGTTCAGTCAACATACAAAAATAAGTAGCATTTATAAACACCAATAACATTCAAGCTGAGAAACAAAGCAAGAACATAATTTCATTTACTATAAGAAAAAATAAAATACCTAGGAATATATTTAATCAAAGAGATGAAAGATTTTTGCAAGGAGAACTTCCAAACACTGATGAAAGAAATTATAATTGACACAAACAAATGGAAAAACATTGCGTGCTCATAAATTGGAAGAATCAATATAATTTAAATAGCCATACTGCCCAAAGCAATCAACAGATTTAACACAATTCCTATCAAATTAACAACATCATTTTTTTCAGAATTAGAAAAAACAATCTTAAAATTCATACAGAATCAAAAAGAGCCCAAATAGCCAATGCAATTCTAAGCAAAAAAACAAGGCTGAAGACATCACATTACCTGACTTTAAACTGTAATACAAGGCTCTAGTAACCAATACAGCCTGGTATTGGTAAAAAATAGACATGTAGATCATGAGAACAAAAGAGAGAACCCAGAAATAAAGCCTCACACCTATAACCAACTGATATTCATCAAACTTGACAAAAATTAACAATGGGGAAAGGACACCCTATTCAATAAATTGTGCTGAAATAACAGGCTAACCATATACAGAAGAATGAACCAGGACGAGTACCTCTAACAATATACAAAAATCAACTCAATGTGGATTAAATACTTAAATGTAAGACCTCAAAGTATAAAAATTCTAGGAGAAAGCCTAGGAAAATATCTTTGGGATATTGGCCTAGGCAAATAATTTATAACTCAGACCTCAAAAGCATATGCAACAAAAATAAAAATTGGCATCCCAGCACTTTGGGAGGCCAAGGCTGGTGGATCATCTGAGGTCACGAGTTCAAGACCAGCCTGGCCAACATAGTGAAACCCCATCTCTACTAAAAATACAAAAGTTAGCCAGGTGTGGTGGTGGCCGCCTATAGTCCCAGCTACCCAGGAGGCCGAGGCAGGAGAATCGCTTGAACTTGGGGTCGGAGGTTGCAGTGAGCCAAGATCAGGCCACTGCACTCCAGCCTGGACAACAAGAGCAAAACTCTGTCTCTAAATAAATAAACAAATGGCAATTGTGACTTAATTATACTAAAGAGCTTCTGTACAGCAAAAGAAACTATCAAGAGTAAAAAGAAAGTATACAAAATTGGATAAAATATTTGCAAACTATTCATCCAACAAAGGACTAATATGTAGAATCTATAAGGAAATTAAACAAATCAACAAGAAAAAAACAAAACCCATTAAAAACTGGGCAAATAAAGAGACATTTCTCAAAAAGAGGAATACAAGTAGTCAACAAACATGAAAAATGCTGAACACCATGAATCACCAGAGAAATACAGTACAAAACCACAATGAGATTTCATCTCACACCAGTCACAATTGCTATTATTAAAAAGTCAAGAAACAACAGGTGTTGGCAAGAATGCAAACGAAAGGGAGCACTTATACAATGTTGGTGGGAATGTAAATTAGTTCAGCCGCTGTGAAAAGCAGCATGTAGATTTCTCAAAGAACTAAAAACAGAAATATCATTTGACCCAGCATTAGATATCATTATTGGGTATCTACTCAAAAGAAAAGATACTGTTCTACCAAAAAGACACTTGCATTCCTATGTTTATCACAGCACTATTCACAACAGTAAAGTCAGAAAAGTCATAGTGTCACCCTAGGTGCCCATCAATGGTAGACTGGATAAAGAAGATGTACACATACACCACCGAATATTATGTAGCCATGAAAAAGAATAAAATCCTGCCCTTTGCTGCAACATGTGTATTAGTCCATTTTCATACTGCTGTAATGAATTACCTGAGACTGGGTAATTTATAAACAAAAGAGGTTTAATTGACTCACAGTTTCACATACCCTCAGGAGACTTACAATTATGGTGGAAGGTGAAGGAGAAGTAAGCCACATTTTACATGGCATCAGGAGAGAGAAAGACGGAGAGGGAAATTACCAAACACTTTTAAACCATCAGATCTCGCAAGAACTCACTCACTATCACAAGAACAGCATGGGGGAAACTTCCCCCATGAACACATCACCTCCCACCAGGCTTTCCCTTGACATGTGGGGATTACAATTCAAGATGTGATTTGGGTGAATCAGCAAAGTCATGGTATCAACCTAAGTGCCCATCAATGGTAGATTGAATAAAGAAAATGTTTATTGTCACTGAATATTATATAACCAAAAAAAGAATAAAATTATGCTCTTTGCTGCAACATGGATGCAGCTGGAGGTCATTATCCTAAGCTCATTAATACAGAAACAGAAAATTAAATACCACATGTTCTTACATATAAGTGAGAGATAAAAAATGGCCACACACAGAGATAAAGATGGAAATAATAGACACTGCATTCTCCAAAATGGAGAAAGGAGGGAGAGGAGCAGGATCGAAAAACTACCTATTGGATATTCAGCAATCTCATTACTATGTGTTTACCCTGTATTAGTCCATTCTCACACTGCTATGGAAGAAATACTTGAGAAATACCCGGGTAATTTATAAAGAAAAGAGATTTAATTGACTCACAGTTCTACATGGGGAGGCTTTAGAAAACTTACAATCATGGCGGAAGGCACTTCTTCACAGGGCAGAAGGAGAGAGAGTGAGTGCCAGCAGGGCAAATGCCAGATGCTTATCAAACCATCAGATATTGTGAGAACTCACTCATTATCACGAGAATAGTAGGGGGAAAACTGCTCCCATGATTCAATCGCTTCCCACCAGGTCCCTTCCATGACACATGGGGATTAGGGGAACTATAATTCAAGATGAGATTTGGGTAGGGACACAGCCAAACAATATCATTCTGCCCCTGGCCCCTCCCAAATCTCAGGTCCTTTTTACATTTCAAAACCAGTCATGACTTTCTAACAGTCTCCCAAAGTCTTAGCTCATTCCAGCATTAACTAGAAAGGCCAAGTCCAAAGTCTCATCTGAGACAAAGCAAATTCCTTTTACCTATGAGCCTGTAAAATCAAAAGCAAGTTAGTTACTTCCTAGATACAATGGGGGTACAGGCATTGGGTAAACAAACCCATTCAAAATGGGAGAAATTGGCCGACACAAAGGGGCTACAGGCCCCATGAAAGTCCAAAATCCAATAGTGCAGTCATTAAACCTTAAAGTTTCAAAATCATCTCCTTTGACTCCATGTCTCACATCCAGGTCATGCTGATGCAATAGGTGGGCTTCCGTGGTCTTGGGTAGCTCTGCCCCTGTGGCTTTGCAGGGTACAGACTTCCTCCCAGCTGCTTTCATGGTTTGGCGTTGAGTGTCTGTAACTTCCAGGTGCATGGTGCAAACTGTCAGTGGAGTTACCATCCTGGGGTCTGGAGGATGGTGGCCCTCTTCTCACAGCTCCATTAGGCAGTGACACAGTGGGGTCTCTGTGTGGGTGCTCCCACCTCACATTTCCCTTCTGCATTGTCCTAGCAGAGGTTCTCTGTGAGGGCCCCACCCCTGCAGCAAACTTAGGCCTGGACATTCAGGTATTTCCATACATCCTCTGAAATCTAGGGGGAGGTGCCCAAACCTTAGTTCTTGACTTCTGTGCACCCACAGGCTCAACACCACATGGAAGCCACCCAGGCTTGAGGCTTATACCCTCTGAACCAATAGCCTGAGCTGTACCTTGGACCCTTTTAGCCACAGCTGGAGCTGAAGCAGCTGGAATGCAGGACACCATGTCCTGAGGCTGCATAGAGCAGGGAGGCCCTGGGCCCAGCTCACAAAACAATTTTTCCCTGGTAGGCCTCTGGGCCTGTGGTGGGAGAGTCTTCTGGGAAGGTCTCTGACATGCCCTGGAGACATTTTCCCCATTGTCTTGGTGATTAACATTCAGCTCATCATAACTTATCCAAATTTATGCAGCTGAGTTGAATTTCTCTCCTATCACATAATCAGGCTGCAAATTTTCCAAACTTTTATGCTCTGCTTTTTCTTGAACATCTTGCTGCTTAGAAATTTCTTCAGCCAGATACCTTAAATAATCTCTCTCTAGTTCAATGTTTCGCAGATCTCTAGGGCAAGGATGAAGTGCCACCAGTCTCTTTGCTAAAGCATAGCAGGAGTCACCTTTATTCCACCTCCCAAAAAATTCCTAATCTCTATCTGAGACCACCTCAGCCTGGCTTTCATTGTCCGTATCACTATCAGCATGTTGGTCAAAGCCATTCAATATGTCTCTAATGTGAAAGGAAAATAAATCTTGGGGCCCCAAAATCACTAAGCTAAAGGAAAAAGTCAAGCTGGGAACTGCTTAGGGACAACCTGCCTCCCATTCTGTTTAAAGTCACCCCTCTGCTCACTGAAATAAATGCATATCTGATTGCCTCCTTTGGAGAGGCTAATCAGAAACTCAAAAGAATGCAACCATTTGTCTCTTATCTACCTATGACCTGGAAGCCCCCTCCCCATTTCCAGTCTTCTTGCCCTTACTTCGAGTTGTCCCACCTTTCCAGAACAAACCGATGTTCATTTTGTATATTTTGATTAATGTCTCATGTCTCCCTAAAATGTATAAAACCAAACTGTGCCCTGACCACCTTGGGCACATGTTGTTAGGACCTACTGACACACGGGCACACATCCTCAACTTTGGCAAAATAAACTTTCTAAATTAACTGGGACTTGTCTCAGACTTTTGGGGTTCATACTAGGAAGTTCCAAACTTTACCACATCTTCCTGTCTTCTGAGCCCTCCAAGGCTCTAGAAAGTTCCATACTTTCCAATATTTTTCTCTTTTCTTCTGAGCCCTCCAAACTCTTCCAACCTCTGCCTGTTACCTAGTTCCAAAGTTGCTTCCACATTTTTGGGTATTTTTATAGAAGCACTCCATGCCTGGTACCAATTTACTATATTAGTTCATTTTCACGGTGCTATGAAGAAATAACCAAGACTGGGTAATTTATAAAGAAAAGAGGTTTAATTGACTCACAGTTCCACATGGCTGGGGAGACCTCAGGAAAACAGTCATGGTGGAAGGCACCTACCTCTTCACAGGGTGGCAGGAGAGAGAATGAGTACCAGTAGGGGAAATGTTAGATGCTTAGAAAACCATGAGATCTCAGGAGAACTCACTCACAGTCATGAGAACAGCATGGGGAAAACCGTTCCCATGATTCAATCACTCCCCACTGGGTCTCTTCCATGACACATGGGGGTTATGGGAACTCTAATTCAAGATGTGATTTGTTTGAGGACCCAGCCAAACCATATCATACCCAAAAGAATATAAATCATTCTACAATAAAGGCACATGCAAACATATGTTCATCACAGCATTATTCACAGCAAGGACATGGAATCAACCTAGATGTCCATCAATGGTGGATTGAAAGAAGGAAATGGGGTACATATGCACCATTGAAAACTATAAAGCCATAAGAAAGAATGAAGTCATGTCCTTTGCAGCAACATGGATGGAGCTTGAAGCCATTATCCTAAATGAATTAATGTAGGAACAGAAAGCCAAAATCTGCACATTCTCACCTATAAATAGGAGCTAAACATTGAGTACACATGGACACACAGAACAGAAATATAGACACTGGGCTTTACTTGAAGGTGGAGGGTGGGAGGAGAATGAGGATTAAAAAACTGCCTATATGGTTCTATACTCATTACCTGGGTGACAAAATAATCAGTCTACTGAACCCCCATGACATCCAATTTACCCATGTAATAAAGATGCACATATAACCCCAAACCCAAAATAAATGTTGGAAGGAAATTAAAACTACCTATTGGAGATTATGTTTACTATTTGGGTGGTGGTTTTTACAGAAGCCCAAACCCCAGCATTACACAATATATCCATGTAACAAACCTGTATATGTACTCCTTGAATCTAAAATTTAAAAATATTACATTAAAAAATAAAAGCTAGAAAGTTTTCAAATCAACAACTTAACTTTACAACTTAAAGAACTTGAAAAAAATAAAACAAACTACACCTGAACCTAGCAGGAAGCAGGAAATAATAAAAAGTAGAGATAACTGAAATAGAGAACATAAAACAATAGAAAAATTCAATGGAATCAAAAGTTGGTTATTTGAAAAGACAACAAAATTGGCAAACTTTAGCTAGATGAACTAACAAAAACAGAGAGAAATCTCAAATTACTAAAACCAGACATAAAAATGAGAACAGTACATTACTACCAACTCTAGGGAAACAAAAAGGATTATAAAAGAGTACTATGAATAATTGCATGCCAATAAAATGAATAACCTAGACAAAATGTACAAATTTCTAGGAGTACAAGACCCAGGAAGACTTAATAATGAAAAAATAAAAACTACGAAAATATCTATAACTAGTAAGGAGATTGAATTAGTGATCAAAGTCTCCCAACAAAGAGAAGACTGGACATTGTGGCTTCACTAGTGAATTTTACTAACATTTAAGGAAGAATTATTTTGCACCCATTCTCTTCAAAATTTTTTCAAAACATTTAAGAGGAGGGAATACTTCCTCCTCTTATTCTATGAGACCAGTATCACCTTGATACCAAAGCCAGACAAAAAAAACTACAGGAAAAGAAAACAATAGGCCAATGTCACTTCTGAACATTGTTGCAAAATTCTCAACAAAATACTAGCAAACTGAACTCAATAGCACATTAAAAAGATTATATACTATGACCAAGTGGTATTTATTCCTACGATACAAAGATGTTTTAACACAAAAAAAATCAATGTAATATATCACATTGCATTAACAGATGAAGGGGGAAAACAATTGATACAGAAAATCATCTGAAAAAATTCAACATCTTTTCATGACAAAAGCACTTAACACTAGGAATAGAAGGAAACTACCTCAATACCAATTAACAGGATACAAAAGTTATCACATAACAATTGTATTTCTATACACTAACAATGAACAGCCAAAAAAGAAAATTAAGAATATATATTATATATCTCTTTATATAGAGAGACAGAGAAAGAGAGAGGGAGATGAGAAAGATGAGAGAGAGAGAGAGAGGGAGAGAGAGGGAGAGAGAGAGGAGATGTATTAGGGGAAATTGGCTCACTGATTATGAAAGCTGAGAATTCCTCCACCTGGACCCTCAGCTTCTTGGAAGGTACCTGTTCACATTGAGGGAGGATATTCCCTACTCAGTCCCCTGACTCTCACAGCAATCTCCTACATAAACTCCTTTACAGACACACCTTGGGCAGCCCAATCATTCTAGTCAAGTGCCAAACCATCTGGATTTCCATTCCAGCAGAAGGAGGACAGGTTCAGTGCCTACTGAAGCATTGAGAATAACTAATACAATGATTGAGACTAAATAATGCTTTATCAAATATCTGGGTATAGAAATACAACTGTATTAATTGTGGTTAATTTGCATACCCTTGATAAGTAATGATGCTGAACTTCATTAGTGATATCATTTAGTAAACAGAAGTTCTTAATTTTCATGAAGCCTAGTGTGGTAGTTGATTTTTAGTTACAAATGGACTGCATGAGAACTTCTGTTTACTAAATGATATCACTAACAAAGTGAAAAGGTAAGCCGCAGATAATATTAGATAATTGTAATACATATATCAACAAAGGAGTTGTTTATATCATATATAACAGATTCCTATAGTTCAGTAAGAAAATGCAAGTGACTCAACAATTGAGAAAACAAATTGAATGGACACCTCATGAAAAAGATTTTCAAATAGAAAATAAACATATGAGATGTTCAGCATCATTACTTATCAAGGATATGCAAATTAACCACAATTAGTACCCAGCAGAGTAACTAAATTATTTTTCTTTTTAAAGGTAGATGTTGAGGAGAATATGGAGCGATGTAAACTCTGTTACAACAGTGGTGGTATTGTAAATTGATACAACTGTATCTGAAGAATGTTTTATAGTTTCTTATCAAATTAGATATACATCTACTTTAGGATTGAAAAGTTACACTCCTAGTGTACATCCATCAGAAATGAATACAATGTCCATCAAAATATGTACAGGAATGTTCATAAAAGCTTTTTTTGTATTAGCCAAAAATGAGAAACTACCCAAATATCCAGCAACAGTACAATGTATAAACAGTCGTATGCTTAAATAATGGAAGAAATAATAAAGATTGTTAGTAATAAAAATGTATAATGACACACGCAATAACTAGAATAAATTTCAGTCATAATGTCAAATCAAAGTAATCAACACACATAGAAAGGGTATATATTTTATAATCCCATTTATACAAAGTTCAAACACAGGCAAAATTAATCAAAGGCGATAGAGGTTATAAAAGAGGTTAGCTTTAGGCGTTTTGTTGGGAGGAGTGAGGAAGTCATCTGAGGCATTGTTAATGTTCTGTCTCCATCTGGTTGGAAGTTTACATAAGCAAAAATTCAATCAGCTGTAAATTTAGGTTTGCAATAAATGTTTCAAACATTTGTATTGTTTAATATTTTTGAAGTCTAGAGAACTTTCATACATTAATAAAGAAAATATGATAAACATTCAGAAATTAAAGTGATGAACATGCAATTTTTAGAATTAAAATATGTGTGACTAATAAAAATCTGAAAAGATGTTCATCCACAGTGCTGCTGAGGCAAATGCAAACTAAAATGTACTATCATTATTATACATCATATTTGAAAAATTATCATTAAAATTGAAGAATGATATTATCTAGTGTAGGAAAGAATATGAAAATAGCATCACATACATGGCTCATGGAAGTATACATTACTACAGTTTTTTGGGGGAGAAATACCTGTCCACATTTGTCTCAGAAATTTTACTTTCAGCCTCTGTCTCTTACATATACTGAATAGCAGTCTGAAGAAATATGAACAAATTGTTCACTGTAGAATCTTTTATTATAATGATAAAATAGATGATCTACAACCCCATTGATAGAATATTTTATTATAACATACCATATTTGATGGTTTTATTATCATATATCAGTTAAAAATAATTAGAACTATAGCCAGGAGTGGTGGCATGGGCCTGTAATCCCAGCTACTCAGGAGGCTGAGGCAGGAGAATTGCTTGAACCTGGGAGGTGGAGGTTGCAGTGAGCCAAGATGGGGCCACTGCACTCCAGCCTGGGGGACAGAGAAAGACTCCATCTAAAAAAAATTAGTAATAATAATTAGAGCTGAATATAGCACACGAAATCACATCCACGGTATATTACTGTATTGAGGAAAGCCTTTCTCGCTCTTTCTCTTCCCTCTCTTCCCCTCTCAGTGGTATAGAGGCAGAAAAAGAACAAAGTGGAAACTTTTATATTTACTTAAGACATTTTTGTAATATTAAACAAAATTAAATTAAATCTAACGTCAATAATTCTGATTAGAAAAGGTACTCCAGATAAAGCAGTACAAGCAAAGGTGTACTGGTAGAAGAAATGCAAGGCCCTTCAAGCCAAATTTTCCTTAATGTTTCATCACCCTTTCCACTAACCTCAGCCATGTGGGCCAGGGGGACCCTTACCTCTCTATAAAATCCAGCTGACATTATTACAACTCTCAGATCTTCTTTTCCTCTTCTATTAATTGCTTTCTACCCTCACATCCCATATATTTTTATGTTTCATAATTTCTGAAAAAGGATTGATTAAAAATTTTTAATGATTTCCTTTGTGATTTGACTGTGAGTAGCTGAATCTTGAAATCCCTAAACATCAAAATTTCGTAATGGTGGCCAGTGTAACCAGGGGTTTTCATCTTAATTCATTAATTTTCTTGGTCTATAATATCTAGGATGGTTGTATACTGTTAATGTGCCAGGAGTCCATGACTGCAGGACCTAAGAATTTACAGACAAGAAGGTATGTAATTTGACTTAAAATCTATTATACTGACAGCCTTTCTTCATGCTCCTGTCATCAGGGCCTACCTGCAGAAGTAGTATTCAATGCTAATTGTGCTCTTTTTCAATATAATATTGTCTATGCAATGTTATATTGTGTAAATCAAACAATGCATTTTTAAAAGGTTTTAAGAGTATATGGCTAGCAAAATTAACAATCTTTGCTTCTGAGAATTGGGAAGATAATTATTTTCTTCATGTTTTTCATGATTCTGAAAGTGAGATTATTTGATGTTATATCTAGACAACTTTTACTCTCAAAACAAGTTAAATGGATTATAATTAAGAGAAATTATTACCTGAAATGTTAAGTAATAATTAAGTTGCAGAAAGAGAAAAAATCCATTTTTTGGATTTTTGTATATAAGAATAAAATGTCATAAACCCTACAGATATGCATAGGAACTCTCAGTAGGTAAGAAGAAAGTCTCAATTGTTAAGGTGAATTTTTATAAATATTTTATTGCCTTTACATGTAGTCTAGTGTCTTATATAATTTAACTTTTCTGTATATATAGATTGTATCATATTTTAAGTATAGTTTTGTGTCCTGTTTTTTCTTTTATTATGTGACCATTTTCTAAAGTTAATAAATATTTTTTAAACACCAGTTCAACAAACTAATATTTAAATTTGGAAGTTTTACCTCATAGTGTCTTGATATTTTTAACTCTTACATATAATTGATGTAATCTTTATATTTACATCATTGCCTTAAATAAGGAATATGTAAATTTTATTATTTTTAAGCTAACTTTTGTTTAGTTTAAAATTATTTTTTTAATATTTTTATCCTCGTCGATTTGCCTAAATGAAAGTATACCGTTTATAGATTTAACAGTGGCATAAACTAAAATAAGGTGAATAAAATTCAATATTTAAACTATAAATTGCTATCTAACTATTATGTCTTAAGTCTTCAAAATGTTGCTCTGTGTATGGCACAACTTAACTATAGAATTTGAGTGAATAACAGCTATCACAAAACACCAAAAACACCCCTCCCCGCAGTTCTCCGTGGACCATCACCCATTTCAACTCATACAGTAGCATGTTCCAGCTATTGTTTATGTAAATGGAAAAAATATACACAACATACAAATTGCTATTTTTATCTCAGAGAAATAGTTGATTTTTATTTGATTTGATAGACTAGTCAAAGGAGAGTCATTTCAATGCATGAATAACCATTTTATAATTATATTTAGATCATTATAAGCATAATGTGTACCTATATGCCCACAGGTATGATTTAAGATAAGAAATATATCATTTACAATAATAAACTGGAAATAAGTGTATTATAGAATATGGTAAGCTGAAGAGGCATATCAAAGAAAATATACTAAGAGGTCATTGAACTAGCAATAATCCCAAGTGGAATGTGATCTTTCCTGTAGCTATGTGCACAGGTTAGAGTCCTACAAGAGTTTTCTTGATGGCAAAGGGTACAGGGATTCCCTTTTCTCAAATAAAAGCTCTACAGATCTAATGTCCATTTACTGGAATCTGAAATTCTACCTTTGATTTTATTTTTTCCCCAAATATTCTTATTAAAAAAAAATTTCAGAAAAATATAACATTTCTTGAGACTGAATGTGGAAAAGGAGAGAGAAGTAATGTGTTGAATGTTGGAAGACAGAAATGCATCATGTGGAAGTTAGTAGCTTGGAGCCAGGTAACTTCATGTTCTAATCAACCTTGGCCATGTCATCAGTGTCTTGAGGTTGCAGCTGGTGAAATAATATACATTTATATTAGGTAAGGAGAAAATAATTTCTTCCAGCTAATTAATCAGGATGTATCTTAGAGGATGAAAAATCTCTCTTTTGAAATGAGCAGAGTCTTGTATTTGATATGAATTACCTCATTCATTTTAAATGTCACTAATGCCCTATTGTTTAATCTCTTTGATCTAGGTAGAGCCAGGTCAAATGGATAAAAACCAAACAGAAGTGATGAGAGAATTTTTCTTGTCAGGGTTCTCACAGACACCATCTATTGAAGCAGGGCTATTTGTACTATTTCTTTTCTTCTATATGTCCATTTGGGTTGGCAATGTCCTCATCATGGTCACAGTAGCATCTGATAAATACCTGAATTCATCACCCATGTATTTCCTTCTTGGCAACCTCTCATTTCTGGACCTATGTTATTCAACAGTAACGACCCCTAAGCTTCTGGCTGACTTCTTTAATCATGAAAAACTCATTTCCTATGACCAATGCATTGTGCAACTCTTCTTCCTGCATTTTGTAGGGGCAGCTGAGATGTTCCTGCTCACAGTGATGGCGTACGATCGCTATGTTGCAATCTGTCGCCCGCTGCACTACACCACTGTCATGAGTCAGGGGTTATGCTGTGTGTTGGTTGCTGCCTCCTGGATGGGAGGATTTGTGCACTCCACTGTCCAGACCATTCTCACTGTCCATCTACCCTTTTGTGGGCCAAATCAGGTGGAAAACTTTTTTTGTGATGTTCCCCCTGTCATCAAACTTGCTTGTGCTGACACTTTTGTCATTGAATTGCTCATGGTATCTAACAGTGGGTTGATCTCCACCATCTCCTTTGTGGTGCTGATTTCCTCCTACACCACTATCCTAGTCAAGATTCGCTCCAAGGAAGGAAGGCGAAAGGCACTCTCCACGTGTGCCTCTCACCTCATGGTGGTAACACTGTTTTTTGGACCCTGTATTTTCATCTACGCTCGTCCTTTCTCTACATTTTCTGTGGACAAGATGGTGTCTGTACTCTACAATGTTATTACCCCAATGCTAAACCCCCTCATCTACACACTTCGGAACAAAGAGGTAAAGTCAGCCATGCAGAAGCTCTGGGTCAGAAATGGGCTTACTTGGAAAAAGCAGGAGACATGAGACATTGATATGAATTTTTGAAAGTAGAAAATCTGAGGTTAAAATAATAACTTTTCAAATAATGAGTTAGAAGGTGGTTGCCTAGTTTTTAAATTTATTTCATTAAATCAAAATAGCCCTATTATTGACTTTATCATTCAACTGTACACTATAACTAATCTGTTTACTTTTTTATTCAATCAAATCTGATTTTTCTATCAGATTGTCTTTTTCCTCTTATGTATTCACCTCATCAAATTTTATTCCATCCAGTATTTCCATTTAGTTTGTCATTTGGCACTGGTACAAACCACTTTTTCTAAGCCTTCACTGCCTTCTCTACCTTGCTTTATTTGTTTTTCTTCAATTTTAACTTATTACAACTACAGATGGTCCCTGAGTTATGATGATTCACCTTATAATTTTTTGTCTTTAAGATGGTGTACAAACCATACTTTGATTACTCATGTAACCATTTTGTTTTTCACTTTCCGCACAGCATTCCATAAATTACATTCAACTCTTTATTATTATAAAATTTGCTTTGTGTTAGATGATTTTGTCTAACTGTAGACCAGTGTCAATGTTCTGGGCATGTTTGAGGGAGGCTAGGCTAAGCTATCATGTTCAGTAGGTTAGGTTTATTAAATACATTCTTGACTTACAGTATTTTCAACTTACGGTGGGTTTATTCAGACATAAGCCCATCATAAGTTGAGGAGCATCTGTAGATATCTGCAGTCAATTTACAGGTATTTCTTTCTGTACATATTTAAGAGATATCAGTTAGATGTATTAGAGTGAATTCAATTTATGACTATATAACAACAAGCTAATGGAATATATTAGTTTCATCACCTTATCACATGTAGTAGAGAAAGCAGTTGCCTAATATTGTGGGTTCAAATATCCCTCTTTGAATCACAATTCATGTAAACCTCAAAATTTTTTTACGCCTTGAAGCCCGCATTTCCTCATACATAGCATGCATAAAATGATGTGTACCTCTCAGTGCTGATGTGAAGACGAAAAATGAAAACAGACATGAATATGTCTACTATGGTGCCTGCCTCATACATAACACAGTTCAAAAATAATTTATTCATTAAAGATGATTTTTTCAATGATATAGGGTATAGAAGGTTAAGTTCTACACTGGCTGACTTACCACATTGCAACAACAGTTTGATCTGCCAGTTTGTGCAGGATACTCGAAAGTGTATATAAATGAGTTCATGACATTTTCACATTTGTCAATTATTGGAAAGTTTATTTTATATTACTGTCATCATCATCAACAATAAACCCCTCGACATTAGTTGTATCCTTAAGTTGTATTAAGACAAATTCATAGGCCTGTTTACTGTTTACCAAATCTTTATAACTAAAGATAAAAAATTAAATCGACATTCAAGTTTACAACAAACTGAACAAAAATAAAATATAAAATACAAATGAACCGTGAAGTATTTTCATTCTTACAGCTTTTTTAGTCTTTGGATTTTAAAGCAATCATAGTAACAAATCTGTGTGACAAAGACAGAAGCCAAAGAGGTTTGGTAAATTTATTACTGACTGAGCTTTTATCTTTATTATCTTTATACTCCCCAAACTAACTTAAATACCTAAAATAAATAAAATGGGACAAAAATGTGTTAAATAAATGCAGGAGGCTTCTATATTTTTTCTCATCAATGTGGCATTGACAACAAAAGAAATATTTTAGAGAGGTTTTCTTATTTCATACTTAGTAAAAATAACTTGTAAAATTTTCATTGAGACATAGAAACACTTTCAGAGATGTTAAAGATGCAAGAATTCATCAAACTTGTATTTTATTTTATAAATTATTGGATATATGTGCAGAACGTGCAGGTTTGTTACACAGGTATACATGTGCCATGGTGTTTTGTTGCACCTATCAACCCATCATCTAGGTTTTAAGCCCCGCAGGCATTAGGTATTTGTCCTAATGCACTCCTTCCCCTTTCCCCTCACCCCCCGACAGGCCCTGGTGTGTGGTTTTCTCCTCCCTGTGTCCATGTGTTCTCACTGTTCAGCTCCCACTTATAAGTGGGAACATGTGGTGTTTGGTTTTCTGTTCCTGACTTAGTTAGCTGAGGATAATGGTTTCTGGCTCCATCCATGTCCCTGCAAAGAACATGATCTCGTTCCTTTTTATGGCTGCATAGTATTCCATAGTGTATATGCAACACATTTTCTTTGTCCAGTCTATCATTGATTGGCATTTGGGTTCATTCCATGTCTTTGCTATTGTGAATAGTGCTGCAATGAACATATGTGTGCATGTATCTTTATAATAGAATGACTTGTATTTTGGGGGGTATATACCCAGTAATGGGATTGCTGGGTCAAATGGTATTTCTGGTTCTAGGTCTTTGAGGAATCACTGCACTATCTTCCACAATGGTTGAACTAAACAAATTTTAAAAATGTATAGGAACACATCTAATGATTGATACATTTACATCTAAAATCCAATATACAATGTTCCTGTTCAAATAAAACATGAAGCTCAGATTTTTTAAAAAAAAAAATTACTAATTTTGACAGTGTGGGGTCAGCTTATAATGAAATAACAATCCCTAAAATATTATTCACTTAACACAACAAATATTTATTTTATATTCATGCAACAATAATAACATGGGATGCATGTCAGTCATTGATCTCTGCTTATTGTAGTCACCAACAGATTCATGCTGATGAAGGATTTACCTCAACATGTAATTTCATTACTGCTTGGGTAGGAAAACAGCCACATGGTGAATCTCACCCTGGCTCTTGAATCTTCTCATATTGCATTGACCAAATGTATTATACCAATAAGTTTAATAATTTGAAAAACATGGAAAAACTTCTTTAAAATATGACTATTCAAGGCACTCTGCAGAAGACTTGGAAAATCTATAATGGGCTGGGATTTATTAAAAATATATTAAATCTGTTCTTAAATTCCTTCCCACAAAGAAAACTCACATTAGCGAATTCTTTAAACACACAAGAAAAACATAGCACCAATGTTGTACAAACTCTTCCTGTAAGTAAATAAATAGAGAATACTTTTTATTTCTTTTTGTCACCAGCATGTCTTAAATTTCAAAATCTGACCATAATGTCATAATAATAATAAATTAATTATAAATTAATATCACCTATGAACATAAATGTAATGATCATTTAAATAATTAGCAAATTGTATCTATTGATATGTAGAAAGATAATACAATATGAACCACTTGTCTTACTCCAGATTTGTAAGACTAGTTGAAAATTAAAAAATCAATCCATGTAATTAACTATGTTTACAAATTGATAGATGTAGTAAATTATTGCAAAGTTCAATACCAATTTATTAAAAAAGATATCAAATTTGTAAACTACTAATCACAAGTAAACTTATGCTAGGGAATCCTTAATCTGATAAAGAGTATCCACAAAATAATTCTAAAATAAATATTATGCTCACTGTTGAAATATTAAAGACTTTCACCTTGAAACTAAGAAACAAATAATACTTGATATTGTCACCATAATTCAACATTATTCTGGAGGCTTAGGCAGTGTAATGAGACAAGAAAAAAAATAGAATGGTATAAGAAATGGAGAGGAAGGAATCACATATTCATTATTAACAAATGTCACAGTATGTGTATATAGATAATTGAAGAGAATGTACAGAAAGTCAAATTAATAAATGAAGTTAGCATAATCACTGAATATGACAAAGTCAATAGTCTGAAAATAAATTGTAGACTCCCAGTTCTGGGGTAAAATGGAATAGATATACTTTCCCCTATTCATGCTACTATGCACAACCAAAAACTCTGGATATTATATAATGCAAACATTAAAAAAAAGAAGAAACTCTGAAAGATCGAGGCAGCAAATTAGGTAGAAACTTCAAGACCCAATACATGGCATGATAATTTCCCTTTTTGCAATTTTTATTTCTTTTAATTTGCCTCATATAAGTCCAATTGGGTGTTGGAGAAACCAGCAGCCCAGAAACACCAACAGATGCAGACATAAATAGCCCCCCAAGCCCCCCAGCCAAAAAAAAAAAAGCCCACTATCTTTAACCAGAGGACAAGAAAAGGAGAAGCCTGGAAAGATAGAAAACTTCAAGACAATAACTGCTCTCCATCCACAAAAGGCCACAAATAAATGATGGCCTATCTTCCCCCAAAATAAAGTAAGGAGTCCAGATTTCTAACCTTTCTGGTAGTAATAACCTTCTTCCCATTGGTGTCATTAGAGACCACGTGAAGAGCCGGTAATTCTACTCCATCAAGTGAGGTAAATTTCTCCTCACTGCCAAGGTGATATCAAAGAAGGTTGAGTTGGAAGCCAAGCTGCCAAAACCTTCCAGCAGTAAAGAGTACCCCCTCACCACAGTGTCAGTTGAGGTCATACAGGGAGTAATAAGAAGATGACCTTTTCCCTGACAGCCAGCAGAGACCTAGTAAGGAGATTGGACCCTCACCTCTGCCCAGCAGTAATGAAGCACCCTGCTGGGCCTTCTCTATAGAATCAACAGAGGCCAAGAAGGGAATCTAATTTCTACTTCCATTTTGCAGATGGCACAGTGCCAGATGAAGCCTGCTGAAACAAAAGATTTAAATAGTATCCAGAGTCTCATTACATTGAAATATCTAAGATTAATTTAAAAAACAGAAACAGAAACTCTCACCATACAAACCAGAAAAATCTCAGCTCGAATGAAAAAATAGTGAATAGATGCCAATTCTAAGATAAAACAGATACTAAAATTATCATAAAATTCTTCAATGAGAAATTACAAGCATGTTTGAAGAAAATACAAAATAAAAAGTCTCAGGAAATAAATAGAAGACATAAAAAAGAAACAAATGGAAGTGGAGGTTTTATTATAGAACTGAAAAATGCCATAACAGAAAGAAAGAAAAAGAGAGGGAGACAGAAGGAAGGGAGGTAGGGAGGGAGGAAAAGAAGGAAGGAGGGAGGGAGGGAGGGAGGGAGGGAGGAAGGGAGGGAGGGAGGGAGGGAGGAAGGAAGGAAGGGAGGGAGGGAGGGAGGGAGGGAGGAAGGGAGGGAGGGAGGGAGGGAGGGAGGAAGGGAGGGAGGGAGGGAGGGAGGAAAAGAAGGAAGGAAGGAGGGAGGGAGGGAGGGAGGGAGGGAGGGAGGGAGGGAAGGAGGGAGGAAAGGAGGGAGGGAGGGAGGGAGGGAGGGAGGAATGGAGGGAAGGAAAAAGGAAGAAGAAATACAGAACAGCAAGGAAGAAGGACACCTCAATGAATGGAATTAAAAGCATACTTGGGAGGACAGAGGGAAGAAGCAGTAAACTTGAAGACAAAACAATAAACATTAAAAATGTTGAGAATCCTAGAACACCAAAAGAAAAAAAAATAAAAAGAAAAATATGTGTAAATACAATAGCCTTTATTTCTCCTGAGTTTTCCAAATTGAATTTGACAGTTAAAGCAAACATTATTGCATTGTTTATTGTTGTACCCAATGTACATAAATAGTTAAGACAATTTTGTATTTAAAGTATGGGAGGATAAAGAGACTGAAAGAATAAGATTTCTATACTATACTTGAACTGGTAAACTGGTTACATAATGTAATACCTAGAATGACCACCAAGAAACCTGTAGAAAGAGATACACCAAAAACTCTATAGATAGATCAAAATAAAATTCTAAAAAAATATTACAGTCACCCACAGGATAGTAGGGAAAATAGAACAAATTAAAAATGAGGGAAGAAACCAAAATCAAAAATAAAATAGGTGACTTAATCCTAACATATCAATATTACTTTAGATATAAATGGTTTAAATTCACCAATTTCAAGACAGAGATTCGCAAAGTAGAAAAAATTGACCTTTTACATGCTATCTATAAGAAACTCAATTCAAATATAACGACACAAGTGTGTGAAAATAAAAAGATGAAATACGATGCACCATGCAGACATTAATCAAAAAGATGTTAGAGTAACTGTTTTAATATCAGGTATATTCAGAGCAAAGAAAATTACCAGGGACAGAGTAAGATATAACACAATGATAAAAGGGACAAGCCATAGCAATTCTAAATATGAATGTACCAAACAAGTGAGTTACAAATTATGTGAAATGAAAACTGATAAGACTGAAAGAATAGACAAATCTACAATTATAATTAGATACTTCAACATGCCTCTTTACACAATTAATAGAAATAGTTCCTTAAGTATATAGAAGAATTCAACAACACTAACAACCAACATGACCTAATTGACATTTGTAGGACACTCCATCAATGACATGAGAATGCACATCCCTTTCAAACACCCACAGAACCTTTATCAAGATAGGTTATATCCTGAAACATAACACAACAACCTAAATGTCCATTAATGATAGACTGGATAAAGAAATGTGGTACATGTACACCATGGAATACTATGTAGCCATAAAAAAGTAAGAGATCATGTCCTTTGCAGGGACATGGATGGAGCTGGAGGCCATTATCCTTGGCAAATACAGTTACAGAAAACCAAATACCACATGTTCTCTAAGTGGAAGCTAAATGAAGAGAACAAGTGGACACATAAAGAGGAACAACAGACATTGGGTCCTATGGGAGGATGAAGGGTAGGAAGAGTGAGGGGATCAGGAAAAATAACTAATGGGTACTAGGATTAATACCTGTGTGATGAAATAATCTATACAACAAACCCCCTTGACACAAGTTTACCTATGTAACAAACCTGCACATGTACCCCTGAACTTAAAATAAAAGTAAAAAACAATATTAAAATTGTATGACATTTGCCACAAGCCATCAAAATAAAACTGTACAGCTTTGAAAACAAACTAAAAAAATGTAAAATAATTGAAATCATATGGAAGATGTTCTCTAGCTGTGATTCATTCAGACAACAAAGCAAGAATAGAAAGATAAGAAAATCTCCAAACACTTGGAAACAATCCAAATCACTTATAAATAAGACATGGTCATAGAAACAAAATTCAAATGAAATAAAAAATACATTGAACTGAATTAAAATGAAAATATAATATACCAAAATTCAGAGGACAAAGCAAAAGGAATACTGAGAGGAAAATTTATACCACTAAGTGCTGATATTATTATTCTTTTTTGATATTGTTCCATGTATCATTGTTTTAGTGCTTTTCTTTTGGTTACATTTCATTTTTGCATTTCCAGTGTATAGAAATACAATTGACTTTCAAAAGCTTTTTATTTTAAAACATCGAGCCACAGAATGTTGCAAAATATAACGTAGGCATACCATTCCTAGATAGAACATCAGATTCTAGATATTGGAAACTGGGAAGAAAAGGTTGCTAAAATGAAATCTTAGAGTTGCAGAAGTTAGTCACCACCTTGTGCATGATCCACAGGTCACTCATGATGGTGGGAGTCACAAAAGCCAATGTTTGGGGATACATTTTCTTTAAAAGTCTCTTTGACTTCATCCTCTTCAAACTGCATCTGAGTTCAAACAGGAAGAGATAAAAGTGAAAAAATAGTTTGCCCGTTTATAGGAAAGACATTTTACTTCATATGAAAACCCTTAGGCCGAGTGCCCTGGCTCACGCCTGTAATTCCAGCACTTTGGGAGGCTGAGTCGGGCGGATCACGAGGTCAGGAGATCGAGACCATCCTGGGTAACACGGTGAAACCCCATCTCTACCCAAAAATACAAAACAATTAGCCGGGCATGGTGGTGGGCGCCTGTAGTCCCAGCTACTTGGGAGGCTGAGGCAGGAGAATGGCATGAACCCGGAAGGTGGAGCTTGCAGAAAGCCGAGATCATGCCACACTGCACTCCAGCCTGGGTGACAGAACAAGACTCTGTCTCAAAAAAAAAAGAAAAGAAAAGAAAAGAAAACCCTTAAATTTGGAGCTCTCCTATGAAAATTTAGCATTTAAAATGACTTACATTAGTAAGAGTCTTCAGACAAAATAATTTGATTTTAACATTGTTTTAATATTCATGTTGAAGAAAAGCATGAATATATCAAAGAGAATTAGGAGAGGAAGCAGCAAATATCTTAATGATTGCAGTTAGAGACAAGGAGGGATATTTAAGATTCCTTCAATTTCACAGAAACTTATCATTGACCTCGTCTTATAACCATCAATAATGTATTTTAGGAGGTTGCGTTTTTTAAAAATCAGTATATCCTAATGATGTATTTCTAGGATGATTAATTATGAAAATGCATCCTGGTCCACTAATAAGAGTCTTATATGTTAAGAAAACCTTTCCAACCTTTCCTTAATAGCATTTACTCCTGCAGATAACATCAGCAATTATTCAGTGGTTCTAAGTCATAACAGTGAATGAGAATCACCTGAGGCAGTTTATAGTAAATAGCAGATTTCTGGGATTGGTTCCTAAAGTTCAAATTCAGCGGGCCAATTATGGAACCACATTATTTGCATTTTAAAACATTCACTGTAATACGTATTTAACTTACCTCATTTCAAAATCAGAAAATGAGTTTTGTAAATGCTTCCTCAAAATTCAGGAAGGTTCCTCTAATTTGAAATCTGTGGCTTCCTACGAACTGACGGTGACAAGTTCTCTGCAAATGCACATTGTTTATGAAAAACAAAAATTGGTGACTTCTCTCAAATTTCACTAACCTATCAATAGCCATGTTTACACAGTCCAGACTACTAGTTAAACCCCAGGAATGTCTGCGCTTAGAGAGTGCAGTGATCCACATTTATCTTTATGGATCTGGACAAAGCAATGTGGAGAGTTGAGCAGAGATTAGGAATGGAGCATGAGCCATTGGATAGTTCTGAGAAGTCAGAAACACCTTATGGGATCTGGTGTATATTTGGGCATTTACAAGATGACGATTCCTATGCTAAACACACACACGCTGACTGTATATATATATTTATATATGCATACACACAGTATATATACATACTATATATCATATATATTTATAGTGCATAAAACATATACACACTATATATTATAGATATATTTTAATATATAATTATATATATATAATTTAATAAGAAAGAATCCTAGAAAATCAGAGAAAAGTTGAAGGAATAAAGGCTTCCTAACAATCAGGATTGGATTAGGTTTCTCTTTGATGGGCCCTGGGAGGATATCCTGTTTATTTCTATCATAGTTTTCATTTTGCCTCATATTTTGTGATTGTCTGTATACTTGTCTTTATTTCACTAATTGAAAAGATCCAAGTGTCTGGTAATGTATGTTCTTAAATGCTCTATCTTCACTCCTAGATCATTGTCCGGAATCTGAAATGTAGGTACTTGAAAAGCATATAATAATTGAATAAATAAATATATAGATAGTATTTGTTATATTTTGATTAAAAAATTATGTCCAAAGTCTGCAACAAGTCAGTGATCAGTATTACATCAATAACAACAAAGAAAATTAATTCTAAGGCAGATGTTGATTTCTCTTTAAGCTTTTGTTAATGTTCACATATATAGGTGTAATTGATTGTAAAAATTGAGTATGTTCAAAGTCTATAAAATAAAAAAAAGAGTACTATAATAGGCAAGGGGACTTTATCTTAAGGCAGAAATTGTTTTTCTTCTATGTTGTTTTATATTTATGCATATGTTTGGATTGCAATTACGGGGCAAGTCGTAAGTACCCAGAAGCATGCCTTCCTGGATTGAATATAATATCCAAAGTCATTGGAAGCTCCATTCAATTGCTTAACTAACTCAGTCATTACCCAATTTTCTCCTTTGGTTTGATATCTCAGAGGCAACCTAGGAGAAAATTGCTTGAGTTCCCTGCACATTAATTTAGTAAAAATCAAATTTAACTCTTGTTTATAATTGTCTTCTTAAGATCCATGGACATGTAAAAATTCAGCATAACATCTGAATCTGTGGCATTCAAACGCACACTTCCTAATAAATGATGCCCCAGGAGACAGAATCAAATCAGAAAGAGATGCAGTGTTTATTGAAAATCTACGTTGGGTGAAAATGTGTTAATTTAATAATCCAATACATATTAAATGTAACACAATAGTTTATGTTTACATTATAAAATATTGAGCCGTAAAATATGGATTTTTCGATGTTAAAATGAATTTCTGTAATGAAAATCACTGGAATGTATTCATTTTTTAAATAAAAGCGTTCAGTATAATACACATCTACTAGGAAAAGCATATTTTTAAAATCAATAGGATCTTGAAATGGTGCTGTCTTTTTCCTCCTTTCAAGCTTCCAAAATTAGGACAAATATTTGCTGGGCATTATTTAATTCCAGGCTTGCCTCCCTGTGCCAAATGTCTCCTGCTTTGAATGATGCAATTTCCAGTATTGAGCTATGATTAGAAAATAAAAATTCCTTTTCATATTAACTTTTGGGGCAGAATAAACTAGTAAGATAAATCTGGTTTTAGAAAATGCAGAGTTCATTCCAAAATATATGTGTGGAGTTGAAGATACATATACATACGTGTGTATGTGTGTGCGTGTGTATATACACACATATATACATCTTCACAGATATATATACCATTTTATCTTATTTTACAAACATAATCATACACAGATACATACATTACATATATACATATGTACATACATGTATGTATATATATTTGTAATAAAATACATGTATGTATATATAAAATACATAATATACATACATATATGTATGTATATATTTGTAATATAAAATAAAATGATATACTTTTGTTGAAATTAACTATTTCTCTGTATAAATGATATATATATCATTTCTCTGAATATATAATAATATATCGTTTCTCTGAATAAATAAATGACATGTATATCATTTTATTTTACATTACATATATACATGTATGTACGTATATATATTTTAAGCTTTGTATATATATACAAAAATATATATACATATATACTTACATGTATATATATTTGTAATATAAATACATACATTATGTATATATGTAATACATTATATATACATATTTGTAGTATAAAATAAAATGATATATTTTTTCTTGAAATAAACTGTTTCTCTGTAATATAACACATTACAAATTATATCAATGTAGTGTCAGAATGAAATCTTTGAGCAGAATTATATTAAAGAAATTATATCTGCTGAATGAATAGAAACATCTAACACTATGGAAGGCTGGATTTCATTGAAAAGTCACCCGTCGGTTTTGCAGTTTCTTCATAGCTGCTTTCATCTCCTCATTTCTCAATGTGTAGATAATGGGGTTCAGGAGTGGAGTAAAAATGGTATAAAACACAGACAGCAGCTTGTCCACAGAGAACCTACTGAAAGGCCGCACATAAACAAAAATGCAAGGGCCAAAGAACAGCGTCACTACCATGATATGTGCAGAGCAAGTGGAGAGTGCTTTGGATGTGCTACCGGCAGCACGCTGTCTGATAGCGAGGAGGATCACGGTGTAGGAGATCAGGAGGAGCAGAAAACAGCTCAAGGAAAGCAACCCACTGTCTGAGATCATAATTATACCCAAGACATAGGTGTCCATGCAGGCAAGTTTGATCACCAGAGGGAGGTCACAGAAGAAGCTGTCTACCTCATTGGGGCCACAGTAAGGCAAATTTACAGTGAAAGCCACTTGACTGATGGAGTGCACAAATCCAACGACCCATGAAGCCAGCACCAGCCTGATGCAAGTCTGCCAACTCATCAAAGTCATGTAATGCAAGGGTTTGCATATGGCCACATATCTGTCATAGGCCATGGAAACCAGGAGCACCATCTCAGCCCCACCAGTAAAGTGCAAGAAGAAGATTTGAGCCATACATCCTCCAAAGGAGATGAGTTTTTGATCACTAAGGAAATCCCTGATCATCTTGGGAGTGGCAAATGAGGCCAGCCACATGTCCAGGAAAGCTAGGTTCCCCAGCAGGAAGTACATAGGGGAGGAGTGCAGGCAGGGATCAGAAATTACAGTGACCAAAATGAGAAGGTTACCCAGCATAATGGCCACATAGACCCCAAAGAAAAATATAAAGAAAAAATTTTGAAGATGTCGTGAAGTGCAGAGTCCATGCAACACAAATTCTGACACCAAGGAATAGTTCTGTGGGTCCATTGCCTCAGGTTTCAGACTTTGTTTGTAATCTAAATAAAGAAAAAAATCCTGTCATTTGCAGCAACACCTCAAGGACATTGTATTAAGTGAAATAAGCCAGGCACAGAAAGACAAATATCAAATGATGTCACTTAATATGTGGAATCTAAAAAAGTCAAACTTACAGAAATAGAAAGTAAAATGGTGGTTACCAGAGGCTGGGAAGGAGAAGGGTGAGGGATAAGTTCGTCAAAGAACAAAGTTTCAATTAGACAGAAGGAAAAAATTCAAGTGATCTATTGTACATCATTGCGATTATAGCTAATAGCAATATATTATACACTTGAAAATCACTAAGAGAGTAGGTTTTGCATTGTCATCACAGAAAATAAGTATGTGATTTAGCCATTCCACAATGTTTACATATATGAAAACATCATGTTGTACATTATAAACATATATAATTTTCATTTATCAATTAGAAAGAAAGAGAGAGGGAGGGGAAGGAAGAAAAGAAGTAAGTGAAAATGCCTGTCAACTGCCTGGCACATGAAAGTGATCAACTAAGTGTTATCTATGTATAATTTTTAACTTGCAAGTGATACTCTAAAATATAGACTGTTATATACTAACAAGCATGTATATTTGCCTTTTTCAAACTTCAGTGATTCCTGAGGGGCAGTTAGACATTCTGGAAGACTTCTGCATAGGTGAGAGTTGTAGGAACTTTTTTTTTCCTTCTTTCCATGGCCTTTGTCCATATAAAAACATGGATCAATCAAGTGCAGTAGGTGAACCAAAATTCCTTAGGAGGATTGAGAATATGAAGATTTTTTCAGGGATTCTATCTTCTCACCATCTCTGTCGATATCATTGCCCAATGGGTAATTAATTATTGTTAAGCACTAAATATTGAAATTAAAGCTTCACTTAAAAATAATGTCAACACGTAAGACATGGGAAACTGAATGTACATTATTAAGTGTCTCTTCCTCTTCCTCTCTCTCCATTTACACACACAAACACAAAACTAAACCTAGCAAAGGCATGTTGATAGGTAGATGTATCTATGTATATAAATATGATTAACGTGTCTTTCTCCTGAATCCAAGAGAAGGAAATTTTGTTCCTCAATGACAAAATTTAAAGGAGAAAAATTACTTTAAGCTAAAACGCATGTTTTGGATATAACGACTATGGGCGGGGGGTGATGTATAAATACAGATGAGCTCCCAAATCATGTACCCAACTTATGTATGTTGCTTAGTAATTTTATAAAAGTCTCATTTATTGTGTTATATGTGGGTTGTAGAATGGCTTTTCTGATATTCTCAGATAATATCTCTGAGGAAAATTTGATCTAAATAATGGCTCGTTTACATAAAGTTTTAATCTAAAGTGTTAATCTGTGCTATCAGGGAGGACAGCCTATAATTGCAAAACGTGGGACTCTTTCCTCTTTCTTGCCCTTCATCAATAACCTGGATATGTATAATTTGCAAGTTTACAGATAGCACAAATCTGACACGATTTACTTACAGACTTATAGAATATTTCAATATGCTGGAAATATGGGCCGTAATCAGCAAACTAGAGAGAAAAGGTGAAAGGAGGAAGAGAGAAGAGTGTAGACTGATAATCAGCCTAACAGAGACATAGAGTATTATATTATTAATATATTTCTTCATAATCACGCTTTTAATTTGTTGTAATTATAATTCATTTTTTCTTAAAAAATGAATAAAAATATTTATGGTAAAATGTGTTGTAATGCTTTTGATTAAATGAGCGAAAAAGTAGATCTTCTTCAAGGCATTTGCATCTTATTTTCCAGTTAAATTTCAACTCAAGAAATTGCTTCCTATAGAGCCATAATGTTGAGATTTCTTCCATATTTAATCTGCTTGGAATATTTCCTTTTTTTTCCCAACCACTTTATTAAGGTACAATTTATATAATATAAAATCATCTATTTAAAATATTTAGTCAATCATTTTTTAATTATTTTACCAACTTGGTTATCTCCATAATACTTCCTTTGGAATTTTGAAAATCTCAGTCCCTTCCAGGACCTCTCTTGGCAGTAGTCAGGCTATCTTCTTCCTTATTCATTTACTCACTTACACACTCACTCATTCAGACTGTATCTATAAGACACTAACACAGTTCTTCATCTCACTTTATTTGGTATAAAAACCAATCAATACAAGAAGAAATAAATCACTTAACCTAGGTTTTATTTAGTTTCTTCACCCCACAGATTTTTATTTTTGCTCTTATCATTTTTAAATTAATTGTATTTGGGATAAAAAGCCTATTTGATTAGATACATAAATCTATCTATAAATGAATTAGATCATTTATAGATTTATTATTTATAAACTTTCTCCGAGATGATTTAGAATGACTTTCTTTTAAAAATATTTTAAATTATTATGTGGAAGCTGAGCAAAATAAACTGATGGAGATAGTATAAAAATGGTTACTAGACAATGGGAAGGGTAGTGGGGAGAGTGGGAAAATAAAGGGAGGATGATTAATGAGTAAGAAAATGCAGTTAGGATGACTTTCACTGAAAAAGATATTTCCAAGACCTCTCAACAAAGACCAGAGCATAAAACCTATGCAATCATTTTTGAGGGTGTTTTCACCATTACACATGATTGACTAATAAGTTCATCACGTTATTTTAAAACGTAGCTCTGAGTTTTCAGATGAAATGGAACAGGATGCATAGGTCCCATAATTAGTTTTTTTTATGAGCAATAAACTGGAGTCTCACTCTCCTCACTGAGAGGAAAATATTGTATAAAGCTTTTAATAAGGGGTATCACATAGAATCCTTCATGAGAAATTACAAAAAAGATGCAGGACTCTCCTTCATTTAATGTTGTTCCTTTATAAAATTGAAGAATGTAACATAAAAGAAGAGTCTTGTAAGGCTTCTACAGGGAAATAAAGTAACTTATTCTAGTTGTGAAATAGTCTAATAATGAGAATTTGATATAGTAATAGATTTTTAGAATCTAAAGGGATTAATAATTACCATATCTTCTTTAGTCCACCCAAATAGCACCCATCTCAACCAGACTGTTGTCAAGATAATGAAAATTCAAAATTGCTTTGCTTCTCCTTGAATTTCTATAAAAACATTACATTAAATCATTTAATTGCAACACTTTTTTTGACAATTAGATGCTACCCATCTTTAGTCTGAAATTTTAAGTCTGAAGCCAAAATCCCCAACGGGTAGAAGGGACATAATCACAAAGCAATAATTCTTAGGAAGTTTAGTCAGATTCCTCTGACACCCATTCTAGCACATATATCACAGGTCATAGAGCTATACTTTTATTGATATTCTTTTCCTTTTTATGTCCCTGAAAAATTTCGCTTGTAAATCTAAAACATAATTGTATTTAATATACTTTTTAATAAAGATTAAGTGAACAGAAAGTTGAAATAATCAGATGGAAAACTCGGGAAACAAACATAAAGGAACTCAATTTGCTATTGAATCAAAGTTGTTCTACAGTTAGATACTGGTGATAGTTGTACAACTCTGTAAATACACTAAAAACCATTGAATTGAACATGTAAAATGAGTGAACTTTATGATATATAAATTATACCTCAACAATGTTTTTAAAATGGATATTAAAAGATGTTGTAATAAATAATCTCGATTAAAGTTCTAATTTCTGAGAACTCTTTATGATGTGTAAATCATCTAAAAGCAAATAAATACTAAGTTTGTAATCAGAAAAAAATGACATTGATTTTGTATACAAACCAATGGTGTTTTTAAATTAAAATATAAATCCAAATAATAATGAAAAAATTTAACTTCAACTTGCAAGTTATTATGATGTAATCCAACGATTTAATATATAAAATAATATAACAATTAGTCTGTATTTGACTTATATCTCATGCATGTTCATATTTATTACAAAAGTTCTTTACTAACCTGGAGTTAAGATGCTCAGTGCTGATACTGCAGCTCACCCAATTTATATTTTACATCTATTATACTTGAATGGAGCTATTGAAAACACATATTTTATCCCAGAGATGATTTAATCATCTTCTTCTGCATCTTAAAAACAATTCAGGAAAAGCATTATTTTAAAGTTAGAGAACTTCAGATTTGAGTCTTCCTTGGAGTTAAGTTATAAATATACCCTGTCACCCACCAATTAAGAATCCTTTAATTATGGGCCATTTGTGACCAATGACCATAACAAAGGCTTGGGAATAAATCATCTGAGGGTGGAAATTTGCAGTAATGAATCACGTTCATTTCTCCAGGTGACAAAAGAAAAATAATTATGGATCTGCCAGATTATATTAGCATAGCTGCATTTATTTTAGTAATTCAAGCAGAATTATATATACCATTATCCAGTTAATCAAGTATAAAATGACAAATTTATCTCTAAATAATCAAATTAACAAGTTACACTCTAAAATTATGCTGAAAATTTGCCAACTCTGCACATTATATAACTTTGATCAAGCATTACACTTTGAAAAAGATTTACTCATACAAGGAGCATCAGATTTATATGTGCCAAAATATTTGCCTTCTCTAGATTGGTACGGTCAGGCATGATGAAATCTCCAGGTGTGTGGGTTACTTTGTTCATCATTTATTATTGATAGCCTACTTACTTCCCCAAATCATTCAAGGTTAATGCAGGATTCTTCTACTAATGGGTCCACGCTGAAGACAAATATTCCAAAACATTCTGATAAATGGTCATCACATTTACAACTATTCACATGACATTTACTTCCATATTAGGTATATAAGTTCTACCAAATTTATGAGAAATTTGACTACCAAGGCAGCCTCTGAGTATAGTAAAAAGTCTCAAGTGGCACATTGGCATTAGATAATTGCGTTTCACTTAAAATGAGTTGCAAAATCTAAGTTCTGTTTCTGTCTTTTAAACACACAGATAATGATTACTAAAGAAAGTCTGCAGAAGCAGTCTATTAGCTTCAGTGTGATTTGTTTCTGAAATGCAGTCATTAGGTGGTACAGATATATTGTGTAAAATAAAGAATTATAGAGAAGTTTTTGACAACCAGATTAAGTGAATACTGGATTTGGAGGTAAGGAAAGATTTACTAAATGTGGTGGCTTTATTTATGATACAACATAGAGGGCATTTTTGGATAACATTAACATTTAAAATGGTGAGCCTTGAGTAAAGTGGACTGCTCTCCATAATGCGGGCGGAGCTCCTCCAGTAAGTTGAAGGCCTGCATAGAACAAAAGGACCAGCCTTTCAAAGCAAGGGAGAATTCCCCATCAGACCACCAGACTGCCTCAGACCTTCATCTGTGTCATCAGCTCTCCTGGGTCTCCAGCCGGCAGGCCTACACTGCAGATTTGGGAAAACTTTTTGATAGACACTTTGGAAACATAGACCAGGCCCATTAAAAAATGCTAGTAGATCTTGACCTAGTCATTTCTATGTTAAAATATGTCCATAATAACATTACAGATTAATAGATCAAGAATTATTAAGCAATTTACTGATTTATAGATCAAGAATTATTAAGCAATTTACTGATTTATAGATCAAGAATTATTAAGCAATTTAAATTTGCCAGAATAATTAAAATCAATTAAAGTATATCTGTGTGATAGAAGATAATAACACATGAAAAAGTGTGTTTTCAACAAACGAAGAAGGGTTCATGGTGTTTTGTTACGGCCAAAAAAAGAGGACAGCTAACTATACATACAGTATAAATCCTTAGGTTGCATCAATGAATAAAATAGGTAAGAATTACTTTCCTCTTGACACTTACAATCTAGCAGAAAACACAAACACATAAATACAAATAAATGACTCATCTATGATAAGCACTAAGGAAAAAAAGTAAGCAGAGTAAGGCATATTGAGAATGCCAGAAGAAGGATTGCTTCAATTGCCTACAGTGGCAAATTGTTTGGTAATGTGCTGTTTATTGGTTCTCTTCTTCCCTTGTCCCACTTCCTCACTCTACCAGAAAACTACCAGATTTTCTTAGGATCGCTTTTGCCCAGTAAAAGTATTTGCACTCCATTCCTGATCTCAGAGACTTCTGGATGAATACAAGGTAGGACAGTTAATACTAGACCTGCTTCTGTAGAACAGATTCTCAGAATGAGATTTTGAAATTAAATCGCTCACTAGCCCAATGCAACAGTCCCTCATTGTTGATGGTAGGTAAGATCATGAGAATCTCTGGCACACTGTATATCACAACTACTAGACTCTCACTTGTGATGATTTAAGTTGGGTTAGAGACCTAGATTTGATAGCAGGACAATGCTACTTTATAAAAATAAGGAGTTGGCTGGTTATTTCTAATTGGCATCGAAGTGCTTGCAGAAGAAAATAACAGGCTAAGGTCAGTCAACTATCAACTCAGGCCACAGTATAAAAATATAGAAGGCCCCATGACAGTACACAAAGTGATCTCTATTGTCTAGAGTCTAGGGGCAGCCAGTGCTGTAAATCAGGATGGATACTAATTGTGAGAATAGTGAAGTTACAAAGAAAGCTGAATTCACAACTCTGGAAACTCTTTTATGCTAAGGTCTAATAAGAAAAATGTTAGAATCTAATATCTGATATAAGAATATCTTCCTTTGAACATGTTGGGCCAGCAGAAGTGGCTTCCTCCTTCTTACTGGAAAGTAGCACGTTCACTTTCCCTGGAAAAAAGTCAAAGGCTCTAACTAAGGTGTATGTGCTGCAAAATAATACACCTTCATCTTAAGATCAGTCCCACCTACCTTCACTGCTTCCAGGTAAATAACTAGAGTATAGGTACATAATGTGAGACTGGGGAAATACTAACCCTACTCTCAGATAAAAGAGAAATAACCAACAGGACTTCATGAACTGACTAATATGCACTGGAAGAATGAATGAATGTTGAAGTTTGGAACAATGTGTGGGGGCAGAGTGTGGGATAGATAAGGGAGAATTTATTGACATGGAAGTACTTTTCTATAAGTCAGGATTTTATACCTTTGAAACTTGGACAGAATGATGATCCATTCTATCCAAGGTAGAAATGCTGGAACTGCCTTGGCATATCTTAAATGAAAGGCTCAAAAGTCTAAGTAAGCTTGGCAAAATCAAATGGATTTAGCTTATAATACTAGTGCACCGACCGACTGACAAGGTTACAAGGGAAGGTCTAGAGGGTCTTTCACTAAAGCTTAAAGCATGGACTCCCTACTGTCAGTCACAACAGTAGGAGCCTGGAATTTAAGAGGATGGGTAGCAGTCATTAGCCATCAGAGGCAACTATAGTAATTTTGACAGTGTGCAACAAGTATGTAACAAAAAGCTTAGATCTTAACCCGCAGGTGTCTGTTATGATAACTAGATGGAGCAAGAGCTGTAGGCACCCAACAGAATTATTTCTTGACTCACATCACCCAAGGAGGAAAAAGGAAATCAAGAAGTGGTAAGCAAAATATTGGTAAAAGCCACCATAATGGAATAAAAACAATCTATTACCCAGTTTCTAAAAACGAGTGAGTAATCAGATCTAGCATCGATCAATTCAAGAAGAGGCCAGGTCCACTTGAAGAAGAGCTCCACGCTACAGTAAATGTATACAAAAACAATTCCCCCAATCATTCTTCAGAATTATGCCCATTTACTAGAGTAACTGAACAGCAGATAAAGGGAAATATTCAGATATTTGAGGTCTAGAGTCTGAGACAGTACTCATATCTGGGAAACAAAAATCCCATTATGGTCCCTGTTAGAGTAAATCATACAGATACTAGGTGATGAATGAAGTCTGCTCCAGTGGGTCTATTTGTGTAATTTCCCTGGCTCCTGATGCATAATTAGAATGGATATACTAAGTAGCTGATAGAATTTTCACATTGGTTCCTTGGCCTATAGAATATGAGCATTAAAATAGAAAACACTAAGCAGAAGTCTCTGAAACTGCAACACCTACAACCATAAGACTAATTAGAAGTAATATGACATCCCTGATAGAAGGACAGATTATTGCCATTTTAGAAAGCTTTAGTTTACCAGTCTGATATTGCAAAAAGGAAAGCAAACAACCAAGCAACAAAGAAGAAAAAACAGAGGTGAGAGGAAGGGGAGAATGAAGGAAGGAAAGAAAAGAAAATTTTTTAAAAAATATGTCAAAAAATGGAGTAAGGTAAATATAACCAGTTGGTAGTTCCAAATGCAACGATTGTGCTGAATATAGTATATTTACTAGAATTCACTGATACAGGCTCTAGTAATTGTGTAGCCATTAATCTGACAAATGTGTTCTCAATTCTTATCAGGGAAAACAGTCATAAGTAATTTTAACTCACTTTGAAATGACAGCACTATACATGCATGATCTTATCCCAGTAGAATGTTAATTCTCCTGTCATAATACTGTCGGAAGAGATTTTGACCATCTGGACATCTCGCCAAATGCCAAACTTTTCTACTGTATTGATGACTTATTAATGGTAATAGTGGGGAGTAGTAACTAGACGTTACTACTGATTAGTAGTCACTAATGTTTCCTGATAAGACACCTGCATCCAGGGGAGATATTAATGTGTCTCCCACATTAATGGCATTTTTAGGCATCCAGTTGTCTGAGTACTCCAAAACATAGCCTTGGGAATTCTCCTCCAACCAGTTTATCAGGTAACACAGAAGGTTGCCTTTTTTTTTTTCAAACAACTGTATTGAGATATATTTAACCTATCACAAAATCATCCATTTCAAGTAAACAACTCAATGATTATTAGTAACTGTACTGAGTGATGCCACTACCACCAAACCTCAGTTTTAGAATATTTTCATCTCCCAAGTAAGATCCTTCAAGCTCATAATAGTTAATGCCTACTCTCTATCTGGCTCAAAACAACCACTAGTTTACTTTCTGTCTCTATAAATTTGCAATTTTTAGATATTTAATATAATATAAATTATATAATATCAGATCTCTCAGTGGCTTTTTTTCACTTAGAATAGTGTATTAGAGGTTCATCCATGAGGTAGCATGTGTCAATACTTTATTTCTTTTTATTGCTGAATACCACTTTTTGTCTATCCATAAGCAATTGATGGACATTTAGGTTGTTTTCAGGTTGGGGCTATAATGAATAATGCTGTTATGAGCATATGTGCCCAAGTATTTATGATGACATATATTTTCATTTATCTTCTGTGAAATTGATGGTTCATATGACAGTTTTACTTTTAACTTTTTGAGAAAGTGACAAATTGTTTTCCAAAGTGACTGTATCATTTTACATTCCCAGCAGCAATTCATGAGAATTGTAACTTCCCTATATTCTTACCAGCATTTGTTATTGTCTATCTTATTTTGAACAGTCATTGTAGAAAGTATGAAATGGTATCTTATTGTGGTTTTAATTTTCATTTTCCTAATAAATAATGATGTTGAAAATCTTTTTATGTGCTAACTTACATGTTTTCCTTGGTGAAATATTTGTTCAATACATTTTTTAAAAATTATTTTTAATTGACAAATAATTTGTATGAGACTTTATCTATATATACATTGTATATATAGATGTATATATAAATCTATATATATGTATGTATGTAAAGAGCCAATCAAGTTAATTAATATATGTACCACCTCACAGACTTATCCTTTTTTTGTGATGAGACATTAAAAATCTATTCTTTTAGCAATTTTAAAACATAGGATACAAAGCCAGGTGTGGTGGCTTGTAACTGTAATCAGCTACCTGGGAGGCTGAGGCAGGAGGATAGCTTAATGTCAGGAGCTTGAGGCCAGCCTGGACAAGGAGTCTCTAAATTTTCTTTTTTCTAATCAAGCAGTTGTAGTGTTGCACACCAATAGTCCCAGCTACCCAGGAGGCTGAAGTAGGAGAATTGCTTAGGGCCAGGAGATCCAGGATGCCTGGGCAACAGAGCAAGATCCCATCTCTCCCTCTCTCTCCCTCCTCTCTCTCTAGATACATATATCTAGGAATGTGTATATACCTTCAATACATTATTATTAAATGTGGTCACCATACATTGCAATAGATCACTAAAAGTTGCTCCTCCAGTCTGAGATTTTGTACCCTTTGATCAATATCTTTCCTTTCTCCATCCCTCCAACTACCCCCAACCTCTGGTAACCACCTTTCTAACACTCTGTTTCTATGAGGTCAACTTTTTCAGATTCCACAGATAAGTGAGGTCATACAGTATTTTTCTGTGGCTGACTTATTTCACTTGGCATGTTGTTCTCCAGTTTCATTCATGTTGTCTCAATGGAAAGAATTTCCTCCTCTTTTAAAGGCTATGTAGTATTCTGTTGTGTATATATATACATATACACGCACAAACATATGTAAATGTATGTATATATATATCACTTTTTATTGTTTTGGAACATACTTATATTTTTATATTTATTATTGTATAATACTTGTACATTTTTTGGGGTACATGTTACATTTTGATACGTGTATATAATGTGTAGTGATCAAATCAGGGTGATTGGGATATCCATCACCTCAAACATTTTTCTTTTCCTTGTTTTGGGAACATGACAATTCTCTTCTAGCTATTTGAAAATATATGATATTATTGTAAACTATAATTTTCCTGCTGTACTATAGAATGTTAGAGCTTATTCCTTTTGTCAAACTATATTTTTGTCCATTAACCAATTCCTCTTTATTCTCTCTTCCCTCTTCCCTTCCCAGCCTTTTTAAAATTATTTAATATTTATTTATTTTTAAAAAAATTATTCTTTAAGTTATATGGTACATGTGCACAACATGCAGGTTTGTTGCATATGCACACATGTGCCATCTTGGCTTGCGGCACCCATCAACTAGTCATTTACATTAGGTATTTCTCCTAATGCTATCCCTCCCCAAGACCCCCACCCCCTGACAGGCCCCAGTGTGTGATACTCCCCACCCTGTGTCCATGTGTTCTCATTGTTCAATTCCCACCTATGAGTGAGAACATGTGGTGTTTGGTTTTCTGTCCTTGTGATAGTTTGCTGAGAATGATGGTTTCCAGCTTCATCCATGTCCCTGCAAAGGACATGAACTCATCCTTTTTTATGGCTGCATAGTATTTCATGGTGTATATGTAACGTATTTTCTTAATCCTGTCTATCATTGATGGGCATTTGGTTTGGTTCCAAGTCCTTGCTATTGTAAATAGTGCAGTAAACATGTGTGTGTATGTGTCTTTATAGTAGAATGATGCATAATCTTTTGGGTGTATACCCAGTAATGGGGTTGCTGGGTCAAATGGTATTTCTAGTTCTCTCAGAGTAACTATTCAGGAGAGGAATTTCCTAGCAGTATTGTATGCATATATTTATTTTAATTAAATAATTCCAAATTTCTTTCCAAACTGGTTTGCCTCCTATCAACTGTATGAGAAGTCATGTATTTCCACTTTCTTGCCATCAATTTGCATCGTCTAACTCGCTACTTTTTGTCAAATTTATGGCTCACATTTAGATTTAGCTGTAATTATATTATAATAGAAGAAATCAGCTTTGTCTGTTGCATTAGTTTTCTAGGGCTGCCATCACAAATTACCACAAACATTGTGGCTTAAAACAACAAAAATGTATTCTCTCACAGATCTACAGAACAGAAGTCTGAAATTAAGGTGTCAGCAGGCCCATCCTCCCTCTGAAGGCTTTAGGGATGAAACCTTCCCTGCCTCCTCCAGCCTCTGAAAGCCCAGGTGTTCCTTGGTTTGTGGCAGCACAACTCCAATCTCTGGAGTTGTGCTTTATCTCTGGGCCTTTTCCTCTGTGTGTGTGTCCTTTCCTGTCTCTTTTAGACACTCATTGCAGTTTGTGTCCACACTAATTAGTATGATCTCATTTTGGTCCTTACCTTAATTATTTCTGCAAAACTCTATTTTATTTTATTTTTTTTTTGAGACAGAGTCTCGCTCTGTCACCCAGGCTGGAGTGCAGTGGTGCGATCTGGGCTCACTGTAAGCTCTGCCTCCCAGGTTCACGCCATTCTCCTGCCTCAGCCTCCCGAATAGCTGGGACTGCAGGTGCACGCCACCACGCCCAGCTAATTTTTTTGTATTTTTAGTAGAGAAGGGGTTTCACTGTATTAGCTAGGATGGTCTCAATCTCCTGACCTTGTGATCTGCCTGCCTTGGCCTCCGAAAGTGCTGGGATTACAGGCGTGAGCCACCGCGCCTGACCTGAAAAACTCTATTTCTAAATTAGGTCATATTCTGAGATTTTTGTTAGATGTGAATTTTGGGAGCCACTATTACCCGCTATATTTCCATTTAGATTTTCTATGGATGTGCTTGTATATTATGTACTGTTTTGTGTTTGTGTTTTGTGTTTGAGTCCTTTCAATCAATGCTATTTGCTAATTTTATCACATGGATGCATGTAATCATTTTCAAAACCCCACTAGGTGTGAGAAGGTGAATTTTACAGTTGTAGGAATGTACATTCCTTTTCTTTGTCTTGAGTTTATAAGAGCAATAAATTAGTCTTTGCATATTCACCCAGGGATTCTTCTCCACAAACTCTTACATTGCATGCTGTTTCTAGATTTGGGGAAGAAGGTTATTTACAAATGTGGTGTCCAGAACCTACTGTTTGAGGTAGCATAGTGTTATGAAAAGGTGCGTAGACTACAAAAACAGACTGGATTTCAATTTCACTTCTTTTGCTTGCTAATTATGGAAACTTGGGTAAGTTAGGAACCATTCCCCTATACCCTAGTTCTCTTATACATAACATGGGATTAAGACTGAGATGCTCAAAGACTGCAATTACAGTCTATTTGCTTAGTTTTTCATCAGATTCTTCATTTTTTATAAAAAGAACAACATTTTGGGTGCAGACTGAAGAATTGCTTTTGACTACTCTTTCTTTGGTAGCCTGAAACACAGTTTCTATTTTTCTCTAGACATTTCAATCTATCTGACCAATTATGCTTAATGTAAAATCTCTTGGAAGAATAACTCTGAGCAAATTGTTACACTTTGCAAATTAGATTGTAAGAGGTATTATACATTTTTAGTTCCTCCTGAAATTTGGAAGAATAACTTATACTTTTAGTGAAGTTAAAGACTTTGAATTTTGAATCTATGGTAGGCAATACATTTTAAACTATGAACAATTGTTTTGATATCCAGGTCATTTCTTGTTACTATCTGCCTTGCCACTTTCAGAAGAATTTAATTTCTAATGGTGACTTAATGGGTTGTGATGTCCACTGGAATTCTGAACTTGGCTGATGGGTTCCAGTGGAAGGAAATATCTCAAAGTAATGTTCAAATTTGCCTGTGAAAAAGGCTATTTTGGGTAATGGTGAGAGAGTTACCAGCTTGACCGCCTCTTTGGAAGCTGTAAGATTTAAGTCTGCCTTTAGCTTGCTCTTAGAAGACTGGAAAGACTCCAGCCCATTTTAGTAAATTTTCCATCTTCCTAACTCTTGGTTTCTTGTTTAAAGCAAAGCAAAAAAACACAGTATTCACTAGGTGGTAGCTAAGTTCCTTGTAAACTTTACTTGTTTCAGTTTTGGCTGGAAGTTGTAACTTTCAACTGCAGTTTCACTTTCTTAGATTTTATACCAATTAAAGATTTACATCTACCTGTTAGAAATGTTGACAATACCTCCACCAAAATTAATAAATTTGTCCATAGCAAATAAGCCAAGTGCAAAGTAAAGTTTTCATCATTCCAAATATATTTATTTTTGTTAAAAAAGTCAAATGTCAAATATTTACCATATTTAAAAAACATATTAAAATCAGGAATTATCCATGCTGGAGGACTGTCTCAGAACTTTTATGTCATATCTCCATATCATTTACTTTTCAGGAAAAAATATCAGAAGAAAATACTAAGTCCTAGACATGTCATAAGCTAAAATATGAAATAAGACATTAAAAGGTAATAGGAAAACATAGCATATGAGACATTATATAGTAGGCCCAAGAAAATCAACTAAAATTTGAATTAGAGAGTTTAGTATAGTGGCTAGTTACAAATAAAGAAACATATATATATATATGCATATACATATATATGATTATCAACATTTGAGAAATAACAAAAAATACAATTGAAAAATTACTTCATCAAAATTAAAATAAAATAATTCATAAGTTTTGTAACTTTCAGTATATAATGAAAAAAGTTATAAAACATTACTGAAGTCACAAAAGAAGACCCAAATAAGTTAAAAATTAAACCACGTTCTAGGATAGGAAAGTCAAATGTGGTCAATACCAATATATATTTATCCCTGAAACAATGTTTTGGTTAATGCAGTTATAAAGATATAGTGTTCATATTATTTGGTAAAATCACACTAGTTAACGTAAATGAAGAATCGAATGACACAAACGAAGATAGTTTGAGGAAGAATAGTAACGGGAGTACTTATATGGGTAGATATTAAAATGTAATATAGGCCAGGCACAGTGGCTCACAGTGCCTGTAATCCCAGCATTTTGGGAGCCTGAGGTGGGTGGACCACTTGAGGTCAGGAGTTCGAGACCAGCCTGGCCAATATGACAAAACTTTGTCTCTACCAAAAATACAAAAATTAGCCAGGAATGGTGGCACACACCTGCAATCCCAGCTACTTGGGAGGCTGAGGCAGGAGAATTGCTTGAACTGGGGAGGTGGAGGTTGCAGTGAGCCAAAATTGAGCCACTGCACTACAGCCTGGGTGACAGGGCAAGACTCCATCTCAAAAAAACAAATAAAATAAAATAATAAAATGTAATATAGATTTACATTAATTAAATCAGCTTGCTACTGAACTAATCTCAGAAGACATTGCGCCAAGTGAAAAAAGCCACCCTCAACAGGCTATTTGCTGTATGATTCTACCTATATGACAATCTTGAAAAAGCAAACTCTAAGAGCACAGTCAGATGGCTACTGTCAAGGACAGGAAATGGGAAGGAGGAGGTGACTACTGTGGGGGACAGGAGCATTTTTGGGTTGATGAAACTGTTCTATCTCTGAGATTTGATAATTATATAACTATGGGCATTTGTCAACAATCCAGCCAATTACCCTGAATTGTTCATTATACATTCTTTGCTTGCATCAAAACATCTCCAGTACCTCATAAATATGTGCAACTATTATATATTCATAATAATTAAAAATAAATTTTAAAAAATTAAAATAATAAAAAATAAATTGCTATAAAAGCTCACAAAACCATACACTAAAGAGTCATTTTTTCTATATGTAAACTGTACTTGAAAAATGAAACAAAAAGCTTAATATTTGTACTATGAATTGATTGTAGGGTTCTCTGAAGTGTCAATCTTCCCTTCTCCCTTGTGAGTCCTGAACAAATTCATAGGTAGAATTGTGAATAGGAAGAGACAAATATCAGTATTATTACTGGTAAAGTTGCACTGGACTTAAAACCCCAAGAGTCTTCCTACTACTTTCCCTTAATTTTAACCCTGGGATCCCCTTAAATAGAGAGTTTGCAGAACAAACATTTAGCTGGGCAGAGACAAGGATAATTCTAAAGTGCACATTCTGGCTAGGCACAGTGGCTCACGCCTGTAATCCCAGCACTTTGGGAGGCCAACGTGAGTGGATTACCTAATGTCAGGAGTTCGAGACTACCCTGGCCAACATGCCCAAACCCTGTCTCTACTAAAAATACAAAAATGAGCCAGGCGCAGTGGTGGGCGCCTGTAATCCCAGCTACTCAGGGGGCTGAGAGAGGAGAATCACTTGAACTCGGGAGGCGGAGGTTGCGGTGAGCAGAGATTGCGCCACTGCACTCCAGCCTGGGCAACAGAGTGATACTCCGTCTCAAATAAATAAATAAATAAAATAAATTACACATTCCTCCAAGAGCAGAGGACCCTGACAGGAAGACAGTTTGAGGTGTTAACAAATTTGCCCATGGAAAACAGGTGCTACCCCTTAACTGGGGTTTAGAACTGTGTGCCTCGGCTCCTCTGAAACAGCAATACTGTAAAACGCCGAGAACCTCATGCTCAGTCTCGTTTCCAAATTTCAGTCATCTATAAATCACATCACGTGCTTAGAAGGAGAGCAAGTGAATGGCAGGCAGAAGGAGGGCGGTGCCTCTACTGGCTGTCAGGGTGAGGGTTTCTGTATTATATGCTTGATAGTAGCTAGCATGTTGGGAGAGGGAAAAAATAACTCCTTCTAATAAAGACAGTTCACAAATTTCACATAACAAGGGGACAGGGTAGATTATTTTTCAAATAATACTGTTTTGAAAATTAGCTAAATTATTTGGGAAAAATATTGAGTAGTTAGTAGCTTTCTCTGGCATAAGAAATACATAATAGTAGTTGGTAGCTTTTTTCTTGACATAAGAAATACATAAATAACTTACAAATAATTTATATCACAAATTCGTGACAATTTGCTCAACAAATTGTCAGTCACATCAACCAATCAATAATAGCCTTTTAAAAACAAAACTCTAGATTATATTAAACCTATGGGTATTTTCATAGTATGTGTTCAGAAAAGAGCTATTTCTAGTTAGATATAATATAACCAGCTTAAAATATAACCAGCTGAAGTCTCCCCCGCCTCCCCCCACCCCGAGCCCCCAACACACCCACCCATGCCCACCTCCCCGCTCAGAGGCTGAAAACAAGTGCAGCAAGGTGTGGTAAAAGGAAAGCAATTTTATTCAAATGCAAGCAGGTGGGGGATGGCCAGGCTCATGCCTTTAACAGACCATTCCCCGTTTGGGGGCTAAGTAAAGGAGTTTAAGACGGAAAAGATATGGGAAATATGTGGGAATAGTGCAGGAACGTGCAGGTCTGCGTGTTTTGTTCTGAAGGTTATCTTGAGTGATGGTCTGTCCTGAGGCCTGATTTGCCTTTTCCTGACTTTGGCCTGGTAGTGGTGGGTTAACTGTAAGTAATTCCCCTCTCAAGGGAGGATTCTGCAGCCAGGTTTCCCTGCCTTGTTTGTTTCAAAATCGGCCCCTAGGATTTCTAAGCAAGTCCTTAATTAGATAAGAAACACTGTGTATGAATGTACCTGGTGGGAAAGGGAGACAAAGTCTTACAACACAAGGCTACATTCTGAGATTCAGAAAGAAAGAAAAAAAAAGTTTGAAAATGCATTTTGAGGCTGGGATCCTTGGTCACAATAATTCAACTTGTACACAAAATGTTTTCTCCATAAAATTGGTTGCTCAGTATGAAACAACTAAGGCTGATGTGACTGTGCCCTTTATGTAACAAATGATCTAAAAAATAACATGTTAGAGACCTAGTACTCAATGTTTTATCTTCTGTCTCTGGAATGGCTTTTCTGGATACTAGGTATAATATATCCAATAAAAGGCATAAAGTTCTTTTTGGATTTATGCTGAAGTTGAAAGACAGTAGACATCTTCTCCCATACCCAGTTGCCTTAAATTTGCTTTAGCCTTCAAGTCAGTTACAGGCCTAGTTGCCTAGATTGCAAAGAGAAATATGAACAGAGCTAAGAAGGGGGAGATAAACTTGGAATAGAAGCAGTACAATGTACAAGTTGGGACAGGAATGGTCTATGCTTACTTTTTTTCCTTCCTGTCTCTCTTTTAAATTTCAGCATGACACAGTTTTGAATTCCAAAGAGTGTCCTATATTTTCTATTATATGATCAGACTACATTTGACCTACCTCTCTATCTCATCTCTCAACATCATAGCCCATGACCCAGCTCAATGAAATTATGTATAGGTTCTCCACTGTGTCATGCTTCTATGCATTCTCAACATACTATTTCTTTCTCGTGGAATGTCTTTCTTTTCCATCTAGCTGATGCTAACTATAAGTGGAAACCTTCCTGCCCTGCCCTGATTGAGATGCCATTCCTGCACTCTCAAAGCACCCTGTCCATCATGTAACAGTGCTGTTCGTGCCATGGAACAACTGCCAATTTAGTTTGCTCGATCTATCCATAGGCTGTAAGTTCCTTGAAGGCCTGGCTATATCTTCTGGCATTCTGTAGGCTCACAAAATATGTGAAGAATGGTGAACACACTGTGTTTATGGAAAACAACTTAGTATAATTTAATACACACTAATCAGGGATTACCCAGAACATGCAGTTTTCTAGCCTGTAAGGCACTTGGATAAATAACCGTGATGAGATGTCATCTGTGTGCTTTCTCTAAACATAGATTACCAATAACAACAACAAAAAACCTAACAATAATAATGTGTTTTCTGAGGTTTAAGAGCATGCTAAAATAATAATGAAAGATGCATATAAACAAGGTTGTATAGACGAAAAAACTAAATCACAGGGAACTTATTTATTTTCTTCAAATTTGCACCAGAGAAACTGATAAAGGTGGGATTTAAATGTATACAAGCCAAACTGTAGATATTATGTGTTTGACCATAAAAGATCACAAAAAGGTGTTTGCTTTTTAACAATTACATCTACTATTTCCTCATATGGAACTTGAACTGTTAGCTGGTACACAAGTTATAGTGGTTTTTGCCATTACTTTAATTTTGTCATTTACTTTAATGGCAAAAACCGCAATGACTTTTGCACGAACCTGATACATTAAAAACGAGTTTCTTAAATGTTCAAACAAACAAGAGAGTGTCTCTTCAAAAGTCTCATCTAAAAAGTATGCTTTAAATTTATATGCAGAGTCTTTTTTTAATGGCTGCTTTTACCTCTTGATTTCTTAATGTATAAATAATAGGATTTAAGAGAGGTGTGAAAATTGTGTAAAACACAGAAAGAATTTTATCTACCGAGTATCTGCTGAAGGGCCAGACGTAGATAAAGACACACGGAGCAAAGAACAGAGTCACAACTGTGATGTGAGCTGAGAGAGTGGAGAAAGCCTTAGAGGATCGACTAGCAGCACGGTACCTAACTGAGAATATTATGACTCCATAGGAGACAAGCAAGAGGAGGAAGCAGACCAGTGACAGGAGCCCACTGTCAGCAATGACCAGGAGCTGTAGGATGTAGGTGTCCTTGCAGGCAAGTTTAATCACAAGGGGAAGGTCACAGAAAAAGCTGTCTATAACATTGGGACCACAGAAGGGCAAAGTCAACATGAAAGCCATTTGACTAGATGAGTGCACAAATCCAACTGCATAGGAGGATAACAGTAGCCCAGTGAGCACCCGTGGGCTCATGATGGTCATGTAATGGAGGGGTTTGCATATGGCAACATACCTGTCTATTGCCATGGCTACAAGCAACATCATCTCACTCCCACCCAGGAGGTGCATAAAGAACATCTGGGAATAACATCCCCACCATGAGATGGTCTTACGTTCTCGGAGGAAATCTACAATCATCTTAGGGGTAGCAAAAGAAGCCAGGATCATATCAATGCAGGAGAGGTTGCTAAGCAGAAAATACATTGGTGTGTGAAGGAGCGAATCAAAGGTCACAGTCACCAAGATGAGCAGGTTTCCTAACACAATCCCCACGAAGACCACAGAGAATCCCAAGAAGAATAAAATCTGAAGATTTTGAGATTTGGAAAGTCCCAACAAAATAAATTCCGATACCACTGAATGGTTTGCTCTTTCCATATCGTCAACTTTATCCCATAATGATCAAAATAAGTGAGAATAAGGGGTAGGGAAATGATGCATATTGGAAAGAAATGTTCATGTTGATGTCCACATTTGGTACTCAGTCAAGGCACTTGAACTTACAAGGACCCTTACTTTTGTGGAATTTTGTCAGTCAGTGATTTTACTAATGGCCCAGAGAAGTATCCCAAATAGTCAGTAGAATTCAGAATATAAGTTTCTGGAAGACAAAAATAAAAACATTAATAGTACATGAAACCACAAAACTATAGGTCATGAATTAGAATCAGAAGACCTCTACAGGACACCTGGGTAAGCTGCTCACTGGGTGACACAGGACAAGTAACTCTCCTTTTGAGGGTTTTCTTCTCAGTGAAAAAAAGAATTTGGACTATATGGTATCGAATGCCTCTTTCTGCTATAAAGATCTCTATGAATAAGATAATGATTCTGGTGAGTTTTATAGTCACAGAATAATATTGAGTTTTATTAATGTGGAAAGGATATCAAAAATACATCCAGGATTCTCAAGAACCATGTTTTGAAATGGACTCTGGTAAAGAAATATGAATTAGGTCCTGAGAAACTTACCTTATTTCCTCCATGCTCCATTCTTGCATGAATCCCTCACAGATCAGTATTAGCAGTAGTCACTACACACTTTTGAAGTGTCAAGTATATGTATAGTATATATATATTAAACATGTATATTACATACATTTCATATATTTATATATATTTATATAATTCGTTCATTCAACATTTCATATTATTCACATCAAATACCTCCTCTAGATGGTTAGACAATGTGTACAAACAACCCACAGTCAAATGTAATTGACTAATTTCACTTTCAGCTTGCATTCATTTATTCATTTACCTGGTTATTGCTATGTAGTGGTTAGCTGGTTGGCCTGTGTATGGTTGTCATAGGTTTCAAAATGACTTAGCTTGATGTAACATTTATGTTGGTAAAAGAAATACAGTTCTTTCAGTATAATCTAAATTTATGACAAAATTTGTCATCGGCTCATGCTTATTACAAACTGGTTCTATTGGTTCAGCTTTTAAAAAAATTGCCTCCGTTGCTAATAGTTTTAAATTAATCTAGGTCTTACAAAACACCTTCAGTAAATAAAGTATTTGTAGTCATCTTTTTGTGCTGTTATTACTTACAAGACAGGGGAAAAAAACTTTCGTGATGGCGTCGTACGTGAATCCCAGGAATGGCCTTTTATCTCCTTTTCCTGTATCCCCATCAGTTATCTGCAATTTACTCTTCCAATCATCAGAAACAGAAAAAATAGAGACCATAGTGCTATATGTTTCTATGAGATAATCCCATAGGAACACTTATCCAACTAGGGATGTATTTTTTTCCCTATGTAAACATATCTGTTGGCCAATTTCCCACTCTGAGAAACTTTGATGCAAAATATTAAATTTCATCAAATATGTAATTAGAGCCATTCATTTATATGTCTATAAAGGTAATAGCTCTCTTCAGTTTTATGACTAATATTTAAGAATTCCTACTAATGCTTCTTTTTGAAACCCAATTTTTGAAGCTGCATTTAAACAGAAGAGAACAATTTTCAAATACATACAAAGAAGTTTATAAATCCTCCACATCTGGAATAGTGCATATCAAAAACACTAAGTGAATATCTGTTGAATGAATAAACTATGTAGTGCATATTCAGGATCTAGATTAAGTCAGCTGACTTAATCCACAGAAAAATCCACAACATTAGGAATTTTAACAATATTTATTTTTAAATGTCAAATTGAATGTTGAAGTATTTTAAAATCAGAAATAGAACAGCCATTCTTAAAAAGCTGGTTAAAATATGTTTTTTTCTTTTAATTATCTTTTAAAAAAAAAGGTAGTTTATGCCAATGTGAAAAAAGCACATCACAGATAACAGAAAGACTGACTGAACATTTTAAGAGCTTCTTAGATAACTTTCCAGAAAAATAATACACACTTCAGTACAGTGTGTGTGTGTTAGTGTTACAGGTATTTATATTTATATCATTTTATTAAGACTGCAGATTATATATTATATGTATAGCTATTTTTCTTGAGTTTTTAACTTATTACATTTAAATATGTTTATATTAACATATAGAAACATAACTTTTTAATAGGTGTATAGAATTCCACTTTGTAGATGTTGCATAATGTAATCTCCCCACAAATACAGTTTATTCTTAGAATGAATTTAACATTACCTATAAAAATTATTTTTCATCATATCACTCTCTTCTTTATAAACCTGTGATAACTACCTTATCAATCCCTAACTTCTCCTGGATATTCATAATCAACTCCTCACCCACCCTAAAAATCCAATATTATTTTCTTTTTTTTTCTTTTTTTTTTTTTAATTATTATACTTTAAGATTTAGGGTACATGTGCACAATGTGCAGGTTAGTTACATATGTATACAAGTGCCCTGCTGGTGTGCTGTACCCACTAACTCGTCATCTAGCATTAGGTATCTCTCCCAATGCTATCCCTCCCCCCTTCCCCCACCCCACAACAGTCCCCAGAGTGTGACATTCCCCTTCCTGTGTCCATGTGTTCTCATTGTTCAATTCCCACCTATGAGTGAGAATATGCGGTGTTTGGTTTTTTGTTCTTGCGATAATTTACTGAGAATGATGATTTCCAATTTCATCCATGTCCCTACAAAGGACATGAACTCATCATTTTTTATGGCTGCATAGTATTCCATGGTGTATATGTGCCACATTTTCTTAATCCAGTCTATCATTGTTGGACATTTGGGTTGGTTCCAAGTCTTTGCTATTGTGAATAATGCCGCAATAAACATACGTGTGCATGTGTCTTTCTAGTAGCATGATTTATAGTCCTTTGGGTATAAACCCAGTAATGGGATGGCTGGGTCAAATGGTATTTCTAGTTCTAGATCCCTGAGGAATCGCCACACTGACTTCCACAATGGTTGAACTAGTTTACAGTCCCACCAACAGTGTAAAAGTATTCCTATTTCTCCAGATCCTCTCCAGCACCTGTTGTTTCCTGATTTTTTAATGATTGCCATTCTAACTGGTGTGAGGTGATATCTCATTGTGGTTTTGATTTGCATTTGTCTGATGGCCAGAGATGGTGAGCATTTTTTCATGTGTTTTTTGGCTGCATAAATGTCTTCTTTTGAGAAGTGTCTGTTCGTGTCCTTTGCCCACTTTTTGATGGGGTTTCTTGTTTTTTTCTTGTAAATTTGTTTGAGATCATTGTAGATTCTGGATATTAGCCCTTTGTCAGATGAGTAGGTTGTGAAAATTTTCTCCCATTCTGTGGGTTGCCTGTTCACTCTGATGGTAGTTTCTTTTGCTGTGCAGAAGCTCTTTAGTTTAATTAGATCCCATTTGTCAATTTTGGCTTTTGTTGCCATTGCTTTTGGTGTTTTAGACATGAAGTCCTTACCCATGCCTATGTCCTGAATGGTGATGCCTAGGTTTTCTTCTAGGGTTTTTTATGGTTTTAGGTCTAACGTTTAAGTCTTTAATCCATCTTGAATTAATTTTTGTATAAGGTGTAAGGAAGGGATCCAGTTTCAGCTTTCTCCATATGGCTAGCCAGTTTTCCCAGCACCATTTATTAAATAGGGAATCCTTTCCCCATTGCTTGTTTTTCTCAGGTTTGTCAAAGATCAGATAGTTGTAGATATGCGGCGTTATTTCTGAGGGCTCTGTTCTGCTCCATTGATCTATATCTCTGTTTTGGTACCAGTACCATGCTGTTTTGGTTACTGTAGCCTTGTAGTATAGTTTGAAGTCAGGTAGCATGATGCCTCCAACTTTGTTCTTTTGGCTTAGGATTGACTTGGCGATGCGGGCTCTTTTTTCGTTCCATACGAACTTTAAAGTAGTTTTTTCCAATTCTGTGAAGAAAGTCATTGGTAGCTTGATGGGGATGGCATTGAATTTATACATTACCTTGGGCAGTATGGCCATTTTCATGATATTGATTCTTCCTACCCATGAGCATGGAATGTTCTTCCATTTCTTTATATCCTCTTTTATTTCACTGAGCAGTGGTTTGTAGTTTTCCTTGAAGAGGTCCTTCACGTCCCTTGTAAGGTGGATTCCTAGGTATTTTATTCTCTTTGAAGCAATTGTAAATGGGAGTTCACTCATGATTTGGCTCTCTGTTTGACTGTTGTTGGTGTATGAGAATGCTTGTGAGTTTTGTACATTGATTTTGTATCCTGAGACTTTGCTGAAGTTGCTTATCAGCTTAAGGAGATTTTGGGCTGAGACAATGGGGTTTTCTAGATATACAATCATGTCATCTGCAAACAGGGACAATTTGACTTCCTCTTTTCCTAATTGAATACCCTCTATTTCCTTCTCCTGCCTAATTGCCCTGGCCAGAACTTCCAACACTATGTTGAATAAGAGTGGTGAGAGAGGGCATCCCTGTCTTGTGCCAGTTTTCAAAGGGAATGCTTCCAGTTTTTGCCCATTCAGTATGATATTGGCTGTGGGTTTGTCATAGATAGCTCTTATTATTTTGAAATACGTCACATCAATACCTAATTTATTGAGAGTTTTTAGCATGAAAGGTTGTTGAATTTTGTCAAAGGCCTTTTCTGCATCTATTGAGATAATTATGTGGTTTTTGTCTTTGGTTCTGTTTATATGCTGGATTACATTTATTGATTTGCATATATTGAACCAGCCTTGCATCCCAGGGATGAAGCCCACTTGATCATGGTGGATAAGCTTTTTGATATGCTGCTGGATTCGGTTTGCCAGTATTTTATTGAGGATTTTTGCATCGATGTTCATCAAGGATATTGGTCTAAAATTCTCTTTTTTTGTTGTGTCTCTGCCTGGCTTTGGTATCAGGATGATGCTGGCCTCATAAAATGAGTTAGGGAGGATTCCTTCTTTTTCTATTGATTGGAATAGTTTCAGAAGGAATGGTACCAGTTCGCCCTTGTACCTCTGGTAGAATTTGGGTGTGAATCCATCTGGTCCTGGACTCTTTTTGGTTGGTAAGCTATTGATTATTGCCACAATTTCAGCTCCTGTTATTGGTCTATGCAGAGATTCAACTTCTTCCTGGTTTAGTCTTGGGAGAGTGTATGTGTCGAGGAATTTATCCATTTCTTCTGGATTTTCTAGCTTATTTGCGTAGAGGTGTTTGTAGGATTCTCTGATGGTAGTTTGTATTTCTGTGGGATCCGTGGTGATATCCCCTTTATCATTTTTTATTGCGTCTATTTGATTCTTCTCTCTTTTTTCTGTATTAGTCTTGCTAGCAGTCTATCAATTTTGTTGATCCTTTCAAAAAACCAGCTCCTGGATTCATTAATTTTTTGAAGGGTTTTTTGTGTCTCTATTCCCTTCAGTTCTGCTCTGATTTTAGTTATTTCTTGCCTTCTGCTAGCTTTTGAATGTGTTTGCTCTTGCTTTTCTAGTTCTTTTAATTGTGATGTTAGGGTGTCAATTTTGGATTTTTCCTGCTTTCTCTTGTGGGCATTTAGTGCTATAAATTTCCATCTACACACTGCTTTGAATGCATCCCAGAGATTCTGGTATGTTGTGTCTTTGTTCTCATTGGTTTCAAAGAACATCTTTATTTCTGCATTCATTTCGTTATATACCCAGTAGTCATTCAGGAGCAGGTTGTTCAGTTTCCATGTAGTTGAGTGGTTTTGAGTGAGTTTCTTAATCCTGAGTTCTAGTTTGATTGCACTGTGGTCTGAGAGATAGTTTGTGATAATTTCTGTTCTTTTACATTTGCTGAGGAGAGCTTTACTTCCAAGTATGTGGTCAATTTTGGAATAGGTGTGGTGTGGTGCTGAAAGAAATGTATATTCTGTTGATTTGGTGTGGAGAGTTCTGTAGATGTCTATTAGGTCTGCTTGGTGCAGAGCTGAGTTCAATTCCTGGGTATCCTTGTTAACTTTCTGTCTCGTTGATCTGTCTAATGTTGACTGTGGGGTGTTAAAGTCTCCCATTATTAATGTGTTAGAGTCTAAGTCTCTTTGTATGTCACTAAGGACTTGCTTTATGAATCTGGGGGTTCCTGTATTGGGTGCATATATATTTAGGATAGTTACCTCTTCTTGTTGAATTGATCCCTTTACCATTATGTAATGGCCTTCTTTGTCTCTTTTGATCTGTGTTGGTTTAAAGTCTGTTTTATCAGAGACTAGGATTGCAACCCCTGCCTTTTTTTGTTTTCCATTTGCTTGGTAGATCTTCCTCCATCCTTTTATTTTGAGCCTATGTGTGTCTCTGCACGTGAGATGGGTTTCCTGAATACAGCACACTGATGGGTCTTGACTCTTTATCCAATTTGCCAGTCTGTGTCTTTTAATTGGAGCATTTAGTCCATTTACATTTAAAGTTAATATTGTTATGTGTGAATTTGATCCTGTCATTATGATGTTAGCTGGTTATTTTGCTCATTAGTTGATGCAGTTTCTTCCTAGTCTCAATGGTCTTTACATTTTGGCATGATTTTGCAGCAGCTGGTACCAGTTTTTCCTTTCCATGTTTAGTGCTTCCTTCAGGAGCTCTTTTAGGGCAGGCCTGGTGGTGAAAAAAATCTCTCAGCATTCGCTTGTCTATAAAGTATTTTATTTCTCCTTCACTTATGAAGCTTAGTTTGGCTAGATATGAAATTCTGGATTGAAAATTCTTTTCTTTAAGAATGTTGAATATTGGCCCCCACTCTCTTCTGGCTTGTAGAGTTTCTGCCGAGAGATCTGCTGTTAGTCTGATGGGCTTCCCTTTGTGGGTAACCCAACCTTTCTCTCTGGCTGCCCTTAACATTTTTTCCTTCATTTCAACTTTGATGAATCTGACAATTATGTGTCTTGGAGTTGCTCTTCTCGAGGAGTATCTTTGTGGCGTTCTCTGTATTTCCTGAATCTGAACGTTGGCCTGCCTTGCTAGATTTGGGAAGTTCTCTTGGACAATATCCTGCAGAGTGTTTTCAACTTGGTTCCATTCTCCCCATCACTTTCAGGTACACCAATCAGACGTAGATTTGGTCTTTTTACATAGTCCCATATTTCTTGGAGGCTTTGTTTGTTTCTTTCTATTCTTTTTTCTCTAAACTTGTCTTCTCGCTTCATTTCATTCATTTGATCTTCAATCACTGACACCCTTTCTTCCAGTTGATCGAATCAGCTACTGATTCCTCAGGGATCTAGAACTAGAAATACCATTTGACCCAGCCATCTCATTACTGGGTATATACCCAAAGGACTATAAATCATGCTGCTATAAAGCCACATGCACAGGTATGTTTATTGTGGCACTATTCAGAATAGCAAAGACTTTGAACCAACCCAAATGTCCAACAATGATAGACTGGATTAAGAAAATGTGGCACATATACACCATGGAATACTATGCAGCCATAAAAATGATGAGTTCATGTCCTTTGTAGGGACATGGATGAAATTGGAAATCATCACTCTCAGTAAACTATCACAAGGACAAAAAACCAAACACCGCATGTTCTCACTCATAGGCGGTAATTGAACAATGAGAACATATGGACACAGGAAGGGGAACATCACACTCCGGGGACTGTTGTGGGGTGGGGGAAGGGGGGAGGGATAGCATTAGGAGATATACCTAATGCTAAATGACGAGTTAGTGGGTGCAGCACACCAGCATGGCACATATGTACATATGTAACTAACCTGCACATTGTGCACGTGTACCCTAAAACTTAAAGTATAATAATAATAAAATTAAAAAAAACATATTTAAATCTACTTTGTGTCTTTTCTATTAGTAAGGTCTCTTTGGCAGGGCACTGTGGCTGACACCTATAATCCCAACACTTTCAGAGGCCAAGCTGGGAGGCTGTCTTGAAGCCGGAAGTTCAAAACAAGCCTTGGAAACAAAATGAGACATCTTGTCTTGATATAAAAAAAAAAAATTAGCCAAAGTGGTGGCGTGCACCTTAGTCCCAGCTACTCTGGAGGCTGAGGTGGGAGGATTGCTTGAGCCGAGGATTCCAAGGCTGTGGTGAGCTATGATCACACCACTGTACTTCAGCCTGGGTGAGACAGCGAGACTCTGTCTCAAATAAATAAATAAAAATAAGGTTTCCAGTCAGATATAAACTATTTCATCTTTTTCTGGTTATTTTAGCTCTCATTTAAAAAATACTGTATTATTATGTCTTAGCTAGCTTCTTTCAAAATTTTTGGCTACCATTATTTATATTTCAATGGGTATCGTTTCACATGGGTCTGCTTCACCTATCTAGAACAACATGGAGGTGTTCCCTGTCAATCACTTTTTTTTTAAACCAGAGTTCTGCACTTTATAATATCGTTATAAATGGTATGGATAGTTTAAGAGATCTGTTTGGACATTAAGCTGCTTGTCAGAGAAAGTAAGTGAGGCAGAGGGAAGCCAGCAATAAATGTTCATTATGCTATCTCTGAGCACTATACTCCCCAATCTACTAATTCACGTGCTCCATGGGAGGAAACTCAAATACTGGACCCTTCTTTCAATCTCAGGAAAATTGAGGCCACCTCAAGTTGCACAACCATAGATTCACATGTATCAAGGATTCATTCTGTTTATCATCTCTGCTTATCTTACTTTCAGCAGCAACTACAGAAGTGACTCCTAGTATGTTCATGTTCCATATTCCATCTTATCAATTTCATTTTTCTTGATCCTTCTCAATTAAAAAACCATTTGCCTCCTCTTTCACTTGCATGTTCCTCATGATTTTTGAGTGTAGAAAGAGATTTGAAGAGGGACAGGCCCTCTTCTTTGCCTATGGAGGACCAATAAATCTGTTCCTCCAATTCTGAAGAGGTGGCAGGAAACTTCCATACCTCCTTACCAACTGGGTTATTCACCTTTCTCAAGATTGATGTAGATATGAGTTACATATTGATGGCTTCAAATTTATTCAAACATATTGGCAGTTATTCATAATTTTTGCTGAGAAATTATGTCTACTCTTTTTTTAATATTGGATTCATTTTTCTTCAATACTTTTGATTCTTTTTGCACATTTCAGTGAATTTTAGAAGCAGTGTTAAGTGCATATGTATTTCATTTCTCATATCTCTCAGAATTTAATTTTTATTTTGTTTTAGGTCATATATGCCAACAGACAAACAAATGGAAAAACAAAATCAGTCCATGGTGCCTGAATTTATTTTGTTGGGATTCAAAAATCTCATGAGCTACAGATTTTCTTTATCTTATTTTTCCATTCTCTACATATCCATAATTAAGTAACCTAATCATTATCTTTGTAGTGAAACTGGATCCTCAATTGCATTCTCCCATGTACTTCCTACTGGCCAACCTGTCATCTACTGATATGCCCCTGGCCTCCTTTGCTACTCCTAAGAAAATCGATAATGTAATTAGTGAATATAGGACCATCTCCTATGAAGGCTGCATGACATAGAGATTTTTCCTTCACTTTTTAAGTGGAAGTGAGATGGTTTTACTCTTAGCCATGGCAATCGATAGATAATTTGCCATATGCAAACCCCTCCATTACAAGTCCATTGCATCGGACTTGCTCCTCGCTCCTGGACTATGGATTTCATGCACACCATGAGCCAAATTGTTCTCACAGTGACTTTGCCATTCTGTGGTCTCAGTGTTGTGGATATTTTTGTGTGTGTGTGATCTGCCTTGTGATAAAACTTGCCTGTACAGACACTTACATCTTGGAGCTATGAGTCATTGCAGACAGTGGACTACTTTCTTTGCTGTGTTTCATGTTTCTGTTAATCTCCTATAGCACCGTCCTGATTATTATTTGACATCATTCCTCCAGGGGGTCTTCCAAAACTCTGTCCACGCTTTCAGCCCACATTATGGTGGTGGTACTGTTCTTTGGAGCTTGCATCTTTACCTGTGAAAGACCATTCAGCACTGTCTCCATTGATGTCTGTGTTTTAAACTATTTTTGCTCCCCTTTTAAATCCAATCATCTACACATTCAGGAATAACGACATGAAGAAAGCATTAAGAAAAATGAAGATTAACTTTGTGAGTTCTAGATCAACTTGATAACTAAAATATTATAATCACTAAAAGCATCATCATTATTGTTGTCATCATCATGATCCAAAGACACTGAAGTGGAGGATTTTTGTACCAAACGTAAGCCATATTTTGGGATATAATAATCGATCCCCATGTAAGTGTACATGTAATATAATATTCTGATTTTTCCTCCAAGTACAAACTATTCCAATATGTTATTTGCTTATGTTGTAATTTTATGTTGCCTATTGATTAAATTATATTTTTAAATGTAATTTATTGAGTGCTATTCATGTATGAGGCACTTTCCATAAATTTTCTCCTATTTCACAACAAGGAAAATAGAGAATATTATTTACATATTATCAATAGGTAACAAAACTGAGCATTATAAAACGTAATGAAATTGCCACAGAAATATAAGTACTAGATCCAGTATCATATCCTATACCTAACTATAAAATCTATGTTTTTCTAACTAAAAATGCTTTCCTATCTACATTTTAATAACATAATTTTTTTGTTTTCTGAACACTTCTTTACAGATCATAGTCCTCAATAAATAAATCTTTGCAAAAAGAAAATATGTGGTATTTTATTAACCTGAAAGTAAATACTGTCACTAATACCAAGACATTTGAATCTTCTTCCCCTCCAGTTTTTTTTTTTTCTGTTTGTGTGTGTTTGCTCATTTGTTTTGAGACAGGGTCTCGCTCTGTCACCCAGGCTAGAGTGCGGTGCCCCTATATCAGCTCACTCCAGCCTCTGCCTCCCAGGTTCAAGTGATTCTCCAACTTCAGCCTCCCAAGTAGCTGAGACTACAGGCACGAGCCACCAATGCCCAGCTAATTTTTGTATTTCTTGTAGAGATGGGGTTTCACCATGCTGCCCAGGCTGGTCCTGAACTCCTGAGCTCAAAGCAATCCTCTTGCCTTGGCATCCCAAAGTGCTGGGATTACAGGCATGACCTACCACACCCATCCCAGACATTTAAGTATTCTTTCACCTCTAATTAAAAAGAGAAGAGCTTATTAAACCAGCCAAGTTGACTCACTCCAATTATCAATGCATACTAGAATTGCTGTTGTACAGTTGGGTAGGGAAGCCCATGTCTGAAACCCAAGTGATTTGCTGTTGTACCTCATATTATTTGCATATCAAGTAGTAAAAATAAGTGAACATTACATCACCTAGGAAAAATAAAATTTTTATTCATTCCACCACGTAAAGAATCACCATCACTGGAGATCTGAATGCATACAAAGAGGAATAAAATAGGCAGTAAAAGAAGGTAGCCGTGAACATTAATTGTCTCACAATTTGTTAGTAAAATGATGATTTTAGAAGCTACAAATTTTTTATATAAATTGCATTTGTTCACAAATTCCTGGTTCCTTTTTTCCTTTTTATTTTTTCTTATCAAGGAGACTAATTTACAATTTAGTCTCTAGGTTACAGAATATTAATGTGGGATTATGAATGAATTCGAAAAGATGGCAACACCGTACAGAAATGGATATAGTAACCAATGAGGATTTTTGGTTTTCAGTTAGAGAAAGGAGGCCAGAGTGTCTTAATTTGTTTGCAGGATAGATGCATCTTTAGACTGAAGCTATTGTCATTCTTTGGAAGTTTAAATAAATGTAGAATGATGTGTATTGATACTGAGTAACCAAAGGGGAGCATTCTGAATGTTTGTCTGTTGACCTTCAACCCCATGTCAGCTCTATAGTCTTCTCTCTACAGTAGGGAGTTACAAGCCTGAAAACTGCATTTCCCAGACTCTCTTGTAAACTTATTCCTGTGAGTTTCTGCCAGTAGAAGACATTCATATGATACTGAAAGGTGAAAAAAAATGAAAAAATGGAGAAGCCTTAGATTTCTCTTCTGTCTTTCTCAGTAACTGTAGCAGGCAACTGTGGACTGTAGAAGTCTTGGTGGGTCCCAGCAGCATCAGCAATATTGAAGGCTCTTGAAGCTTCCTTAAGTATATGAGCTCTTAATTTTTAATACAGGATAGAGGTTCCAACAGCAGCAATGATGCCACTGTGCCAACAGGAATTGTGGGCTCTGTATAATATTGCTTCCTTTTTTTTCTCATCTAGCCTTTAGAGTGGTAGTTGCTTTCTGCAGTAACCTAAATGTTGATAATATCATCTAACCTTTTTTGTTCCTCATTTCTGAGCTACTCACACATTTTTATTTTCAACTTCCTACTATACCCTTCCCCAGCTATCTTGAAGGCATCTCAAGCCCAAATGCAAAAAATTAAATTACCTAACTTCCAAAGCCTGTTATTTTTTCTGCACTCCCTATTTGAAGTAATATGATCATTATCAGGCTAACATCCAATCTAGAAGCCAAAGTTGACATTTCATAACATATGTAGGTGCTCTTACTAGTGTTCCACATTCTCTGAGGCTCTATTTATTTTTCCTTATTTTTATCCCTCTCTGTTGAGATCGCATAATTGCTACAGATATGTTTCCAAGTTAACTGGTGCCAGCTCAAATCTACTGATGAGTTCCTTTATTGATTTCTTCATTTGAGTTATTATACATTTCAACTTCTGAATTTCCATTTGGTCCTTTTTTTTATAATTTCTATATCTTTATTGATATTCTTTATTTGCTAAGACATGGACTTCATATATTCCTTTAATTCTTTAGACATGGCTTTCTTTACTTCTCAAAATATATTTATAATAACTGTTTTGAAGTTGCTTTCTACTAGGTGCAATATCTTGGTTCCCATAAAAGCAGTTTCTATTGGCTTTTTTCATGTAAATGTCACACTTTTGTGTATCTTTGCATTTCTCATCATTTTTCACTTGAACATTGGACATTTTATTGTAGTAACTCTGATTACTGACCACCACTCCCATCCACTGATGATTTTCTTGTTATTGTTTGTTTAGTTGTTTATTTAATGACTTGGCTTAAACCTGTGAAGTCGATTTCCCCTGCAGTGTGCAGTGTCTGATGTCTCTACTCCAAATGTATCCCTTTTTAAAATTCTCCTAGCCTGGTACTTGTGGATTATGTCAAGGACAGCACAAGCTACTTATGGAACAAAGATTTTGCTTAAGTATCCTTCCTGACCAATTAGATTTTTATCCTTTATCACTAGACGTAGGTGTGGCTAGGAGGCTTCTATCAAACTCAAGAAACTTACATTTTTGCCCCACATTTATTTAGGGACTAGAATGTTCCCTCTCCAATCACTCCTGAGAATTACACACATGTGGACATTCACTCAGTCCTCCAGACTGCCAGGAATCTGTGTGATTGTATTTGTAAGCATAGCTTCCTAAGAAGTTGCTCTTGGTTCAGTGTAGTTTGTTATTTAGCTAGTGTTTGCTTAGAGGTTTTGCTTAAGCTTCTTGTGCCAGTAAGCCTTCAACCCTTTGTCAATGGAATTGTGTGTGGCTTTAAGAATGTTTTCATTTCTGCCCCATACCTTCCTCTGATTTTCTTCTAAGTGGATGCAGCCAGTACATATCCACAGCGTCTCCTATTCCCAGGACTATCTATGATTCCAGTAGGGCTCTTATCTGTCTCTTGCCTGATCCTCTTTGATAAACATGTTGACTCTGCCATGTGACATGTTGATACCAGAAACATGGTGCTATCAGCAACTTCTTAATTGTTCTCCATCAGCATCTCTGTGGTTTCTGACAATGCCTATAGACATGGAACTCTTGAAGCTCTGTTCCAAATAAAGGTAGGCCCCTCAGGTGGAGCTGCAGAGTTTTCATCCTTATGGCATGCCTTTCTTCCTGGGCAGAACTTCTGTGCCAGTGCACAAGAGCAGGGACAGCAGCCCACTTCTCCCAAGATGATATGCCTGCTCTCTGAGTGGGCACTGAGAAGAGTCGAGTCTCTGGTCATCTTGGCTTGCCTTTTCTGGCACAAACGACTGCTGTACAAGCAAGCTAAAAGACAGAGGTGATAAGAGGGCGCTAGTATTCTCAGCCTGTTCCTGCTCACTCTACAAGTAGATGCTAGGTAGGGAAAGATAGCCTCATCCTCTCCTCAGAGTCTACTAGGAACAAAGCTTCTGCAATACTTAAGTCCTAACGCTCCCAGGGTGAAACCTGAAACCATAGCCCTCCACCTAAAAGTGAGGGAAGATGGAGTCCTGCCTTTTTTCCCACACCTGCTTGGAGTACAGCATCCAGAGGAGGGCTTCTATATTACAGGACTGGGAGAGAAATAGGAGAGGAGGTAGCAGTAGCGGCGTGAAACCCCAGACTTGCTGTTCTTACAGAGATTTGGAAGACTCTCTTAAGAGTATTTCTCCATTTTCTGTATGCCCTAGGACAATTTCCTGAGGCTTTAAATTATTGTCTTTTAGAAGTTTCTCTATCAAATGTTTGTTTTGTTAGGGAAAGACTCCACCAGGCTCCTTACTCTGTCACTCCAAAAGTCTCCAATTTTTATTACAAAAGCATCTGATTCTGATGCAAATATCTGCAGACAATATTTTGGAACTCCACATTCTACTCCATATGCACTGTCATCAGTGATGCAGTTCTGTTATCTCATCTTCACAATTCCATCTGATAATTTAACCATACCCTCCTCCTCATCACTTTCTACAGCCTCAGGTCAGGCTTTCACCATTTCTTACTTGGATTGTTAAAATGACACAGTAATTACTTCTCAGAACCACTACCATAGCCTTCTAAAAAGTCAATTTTCTTCATAGCCTCTAATTTACCACTTCCATAGTTGCCAACTAACTATAATATATATTCCATATTGCTTTGATTGATATCTCAGATCTTTGAAAATTCTTATCTGACTTTTCTGTCCTTACTGAAAACTCTCCCTTCTTCACGACTCCACGAATCTATGGTATATTTCAAACATACTAGATATTTTCTGTTCACTTCTATGTCACAATATTTTAGGCTCCCATAAATTCCTACATATAATTATTTCTGCCTAGAATTTTCTTCTGGTTTCTCTTAGCAGTTTCTATTGCCTTTAAAGTCTCTATTTATCATTAAAGGCAAAACTGTTCGTGAAAGAGGGGTCTCTTTTATAAGAAAATTTGCAAACTCCACAAAACAGAGTTTGACTCATGCCATATCTGTATTACTACGCTCAGCATTTTATTATTTGGGGTCAGCCTCCAATGATAAAGCTCCCTGAGGACAAGTTCCTGACATACAGTTTAGGCTCAATAAAGCTTTGAGCTTTGCTGAGTTCAATACTTAGCTTCAAGGCCTTATTTTAGTCCCTTGTGAACTACTTGTGGATAATTTCCTTATTTCTTGGAACAAGATCTACACTATAAGTACTTATGCCACCAGAAAACAAATTTGAAATTAGAACAGCTTAATTTGTCATCCAGTAAAATCTTCAAAGAAAATCAAAAGAGAATACATACAACATCAGAGAGTTGAAGGACATCAGTGAAGAAGCAGCAAATTTATTAAATCCACCAAAAATAAGACGTTAAACTAGGGGTAGAGATGTTTGATAAATACAATACCTGCTACCAGTGAATATACGGTAAAGGGAATATAAATTGAAAGTATTAAGTACTTGAGACAGGGAAGGAATATTTCAAGAATCACAGAATTTTATTTTAGTCAATAAGTTAGGCTAAACATTTAATCAACCAATAAAAACAAGAAAACTATGAGTCTGGGAAGTACAGGACCTGGAGGAATATTTAATTGGGTCAGAATCCACATTTGATCCAAAAAAGAAGACTGAGTTAGCCAGTTATTTAAACTTATTTTCCCAAGGCACGGTGAATACATTTAAAGCTGCCTGCAGACAAGCAAGTAACAAAATAAATATAAGAATATCTGTTTATCTCTTTTAATTTGAAAAGATAAATTTTTAGAAAGCTTTACTAATATTTAATAGACATTATTTTTGGTGCCCTAGCTGAATCTGTATTTTATCTGGTCATGTGTTATACATGATGTTTAACGTTTTCTAAGGAAAGTACAAGTCAACCAAAAGGCAGAGGGGTTGAAAGCAGTTCCCTTCTCATTCATTTGCTTTGAGCATATTGTTATATATTGCAACTTTGGTGTGCCCAATTAAGGGGAAGAGAGAGATTAAAGATTATTTTATATTATTTTAGCTCAATTTGTTCTCCAAAAATTTATAAGGGGCTTATAAAAATATTTTTGCACTTTAACTTTGGATTGAAGATAATTCTAATGATTAAAACTCGCATGAACAATTATAAAATGACTGTGATAATAATTCTACACATAGTAGGAATTCACTCTGTCAGCTACATTACAAAGTAAAACAACAAAATTTAACTATCTGAACTGATAATAAGCAAGCTAAAAACATTCTGTTATTAAGAAATATTATCTTACAATATGGATTTACTTTTGTTATTAATATTGAACTTGACAATCTGTACTGTGCCTTGATTTATTAGCTAGTGATATTATGAAGTCATCATGATCAGCAAAACATTTAAAAAGTAAATATGTACAACAAAATAAATGTATATAATTTTCTTTGTAATATCTCTAGTTATGGAGGACTTTACATTTTTAGCTAAATGTAATAAAAAGTGTTTAAATTTTTCTTACCAAATAGCAAAATAACAAAAGTAATATTTCACTGAGAAAATACTTATGTTCTCTGCCACTGTATAAATGGTTATAATGAGCAACATGATATAAATAAATGCACTCCTTGTTAGCAAATGCTATCAAACATGGTAGAAGTATGGGTGGCCGGGTGAGGTAGCTCACGCCTGTAATCCGGCACTTTGGGAGGCCGAGGGGGGTGGATCACCCGAGGTCATGAGTTTGAGACCAGCCTGGCCAACATGGTGAAATCCCATCTCTACTAAAAATACAAAACTTAGCCGGGCATGGTGGCATGTGCCTGTAATCCCAGCTACTTGGGAGGCTGAGGCAGGAGAATTGCTTGAACCAGGAAGGCAGAGGTTGCAGTGAGCTGAGATCATGAAACTGCACTCCAGTCTAGGCGACAAGAGCAAAACTCTGTCTCAAAAAAAAACAACAAAAAAACAAAACAAAACAAAACAAAAAAAATGTATGGGTGATTCTAACATTTATAATAAAAAAAATTTAAATTAACTGTTATGACTCCTTCAATAAAAGAGTCTATGAGAAAAATCTAGATTAAGCCATAGGTTAAGTGGTGAATTTAACAGGGACTAAGCAAAGACTTCGAAATAGTGACAAATGTCAATTAATTTGAATTTATTCACAACATCCCTTGATAGCAAGTTATTCAAATAAACTATGAAGCCTGAGATATGTGGTGTACCAGAATCATCAATATGATTAATTTTGTAAAAGCAACATCTTGTAAAACAAATATTTATTGTATATTGTATAGTAAAATGGCAATAATTATGAAACTCTTTTTTGCTACAGATAGATATTCTCTGAATATCTCAAAGCAAGGTACCTAATCAAAAAATAATTGTTTATATTTTGGTGAACACAAAACAATTGTATCATTTCTAATGTCAAACTTTAAATTATTCAACACAACTTACTTTCAAATTTCTACTTCTTTAGTATGCTTTCTTTATACATATTATTCACTTTTAATAGTACATTTATAACATATGCATGTAAATTATTTATATTGAAGAACTATGTGCAGAAAAGTTTGAAGATTATCCTTCTTAAGAATTACCCACAAAGTTCCTAGAGGGAAGATAAGAGGAGAGCTTGAGAGTCATGTGAGGGAAAGGAAGTTCCATTAAATCAAAGCTGTCTACTCTATACTTACTATATCACAGCCAATCAACCAACACTTCCATGGCTATTTTAATCAAGCTACCACTCAGAGAGAGCCACAGCATCTTATAGGGCCAGAAATCAGATGTAAACATCTCTCCCAGTCATACTAGGGCAGAAGCCTCAGTGGTTTAACAAGTTCCACTGAAATTTGGATTCCCAGAGCTCCAGCAAATCTGCCCCCAAAGTGGTTCACATCTTTTTTAAAAAGACAGAAAGTAGAATGCAGAATCATATATGGGGCATCACAGAGAATAAAAAGATTTTTAATTTTGAATAACCTCTTGAGCAACTTGTTCCTCATACTGTGCCTTTAAAACAGGTAAGTAAAAATATTGTAGCGAGCTGATTTATTAGAACTTCAATATACTGAGGACGATATTTTAATTAGTTTTGTTTTGGCTGGAAGGAAAAGGCTTTGGCATGTAAGGTATTAGATCCTCTTTAATTGGGAGGTCACATAATAGTATCTCAGAAAGAGCTGAAATTAACAATTTATATGAAAATTGAAAGAAAATATGCCCTCAAAATGATACTGGAGAGTAAAATTGGGCCGTAGATGGTAAGTGATTAAGTATGATGAATAAACAAAAAAAAGGTAAATTCTGATCATTAAGAAAAACTCGTACTATCATTGAAAATAATAGAAAAGCTAGCAACTCTTTTTTGCAAGTAGGGAATATTTTTTCTTTTCGTAAACTTTCAGGTGTTGACAGAACATGCAAATAAACATACCATGTTGACAATTGAAGAAGGAACTGCAGAGAGACAGAATTAGTGATCATAATTAGATATTAGGAAAATCTCCATGTAAAACTTACCATTAAACAATAATACAACGGAGATCTTACAGAAATGAGGAAGAAGTCCTTAGAAGATGTCCATAGCCAAGGGAATAAAGAAAATGTAAATAATTTAGAAAATTCAATATGAGTATTCTAAACAGTAGAGAAAGCAGAATAGCAAGCTTCCAAATCCAGATGGCAGCTAAAAATATAAATTCAAATAGAGGAATTTTAAAACTAGATTAAATTTTAAAACTAGATTAAAACTAGAAATTTTAAATTTTAAGTTTTAAATTTTAAAACTTAAGTTTTTAAGAAATTTTAAAACTAGATTAAATTGGATTTGCTATATGTCCTTGATTATTTCAGAGTGAAATATATTTGAGTTCAAGAAGCTGGACAGTACTAGAAAACTGTATTTAAAAATACTAAATTAAATTATTTAAGAGAATTGTAACTTTAGGGAGAAAACAAAAAAGTGTAAAATAGTTGAATTTTTATTGCATATAATTCATATACTAAAAAATTCACCCATTTTAAGTAGACATTTCAATTATTATTATATTTGCATAGTTGTGCAACCATCACCACAATCTTATCAATCCATTTTCATCACCACAAAAAGAAACATCATGCCCATTTACAGCAAGCTTTGGCCAAAAGCTAGCACTAATATCCTTTCTGTCTCTATAGATTTGCCTTTACTGGACATTTTCTTTTTTTTTTTAATTTTATTATTATTATACTTAAGTTTTAGGGTACATGTGCTTTTCTATAAGTAGAATTATATAGCCTGTGGTCTTTTGTGTCAGACTTATTTTACTAAGCATAATGGTTTTGAGATTCATCTGTTTTAGTATAATTAGGTATAATTTTTTTAAAATAATAAAATCAGTCAAAATTGAAATTATTTTCTTCAAATGGCTAGAAGAAAAAGAAAAGCAAATATTTACTTTAGCAAATTATTTTTATATTAAGTAATACGTATCATATATGCATGGGCAAGAGCAGAAATGTTTATATTCAACTACTTAATAAAATGAGTCTCGGTTAATTCCTTTCATAAGAGGGGTTTATACGAAAAATTCCCAGGATTGTAATCTTGGATTTACACAAATGACATAGATTCAACACATACCCCCTCAGTGCCAATCTTCTGCCTTGCCAGGAGTTTATACCCACACCATCTCACCTAATACTCATGACCTCTTGGGGGTGGTTCTGCCTCTATGACCTGGGAAGATTTACTTAATTATGTGGATCTTGATTTTTCATTTACTAAACAAGATGTGTAGAATAATAGATTACGAAGTTCCCTCTCAGCCCTAATATATTATTCTACTTTCAATTTCCTTCAGAGCATATCATAAATTATTTAGTAAAAGTAATTATTATAAAATGTACAATTGATTATTCAATGGAAAGAAAATTGTTCTCATTAATAGAATTATCTAAGCCATATGATAATTTATTTTCATTAATCTACATAGCTTTTGTACACTCAAGTATAATAATAGGTATACTGTATTAAGTGTAGACTAGAGAAACAGTTTTAGAAAGCATGCTTACAAAGGGAGAAGAGTAATAAGAGAAGCAAATGCTGAGAAAGCCATCAACATAAATTAATGCCAGCTTTTCCTCTGAAATAAAAGGCCAAAATAAAGCTTTTTAAATCAACTTATGTTTAATTGTATTGATTTCTTACCCAAGTTTTTCTGTTGTCACTGTATCACAGGGCATAAAATCCCATGTAGCAAAGCTATTCACCCTCAAATTACAGCTGTTATCTTCATTCTGTCTAGCAATTGTCAACTCTTGTTGTTTTCCCAAGTATATCTAGTTATTGTTACTGCTGTTATAAAAGTCTCAAAAGCAAAATTCTTGCTCCTTTACATGACAAGCATGCAACACAACCCTGTAAAGCAGGTGTGGCCACCCATGCAGCCTCCTCCAGGGCCACAGCCTGTCATTGAGTACCCATTCAGTGTGTTCCTACAGGTTGACCTACAGGAACCTTACATCATCTTTATTTTCTCTAATTTGTTACCATTATCCATTTCTCAAAAATATCTAAGATATGAAAACAATAGAGGCAGTTACGTTTGGATGATGATAATACAATATTTTGACAGAAAACTGAGGAAGAATGCAAACAAGGAGAGAATTACAGGTCATTGGAGAAAAGAAACCAGTCACTTCCTATTCATCGAAATATCTTAATCCAGTCTCCTTTCTAAACATGTCACTCTTGATATGCACTGCTCATCTAAATATCTTAATCTAGTCTCCTTTCTAAACATATCACTCTTGATATGCACTGCTCTTCATTCTTTTCCTTTTATAGATGCTCACACATTTTCTACTCCTCATTCTTTTTTGTTTGCTTACCATAAAACTTGGTTTTTACAAGTGTTTTGAAGATAATACAACCAAGCCTGAAGTCATATCTAAAAGTGTCACTTGAAATTGATCTCTGTTTTTCTGAACCTCTTAAGACATTTTGCATATACCTTGTACCAAATTACATGTGTTCTCACATGGCTCATTTGCTATTTTTTGTTTGATAATCATGTCTCTCTAGATTGTAAACTCTCTAGATATAGGGCATTCATTCTGTATGAGAAAATAATGCAGTTAATTGTAACATAGAGGGATGATCCCAACATACTTGTTGAATCATATCCCCAAACCCACTCATATGGACCATACAAATTCAATCAATAATTAATACTTTGGCTGTAAATATATAGCAATTTAATTTTTGAGACAATACGGTGTATTGGTATAAGCCCAGGTTCTGGTGTCAAACTAACTCAGCTTGAATACTAGCTCTCATCCATGTTAGCTGTGTAACCATGAATACGTCATTAACTATTTGAATGTCACAGTTTCCTTACATGCAACATGAAGAAAAAAATAGCACTTACATCATGGTATGAGCATTAAAAAAATTAATGTATATGAAACACTTAGAATGGAGCCTGGCACATACTAATCACTTAATTGTTGTTGACCACTTTCGATCACTCTAGATTCTATGAACATTGTCTAAAAAACTGAGTAACAATGATTTAGTGTTAAACTTTACATCCAAACAGAAGTAATACATTGGACTAAATCACTTTACTATTTACTTCTAAACCACCACATCTGTACACATATACACAATGCACAAGCTCCTCACTGTGAACAATGGTAACACAGAGGATTTGAAAAAACAAGCGCAAACCATCTGAAGCTGAGTCCATGTTTCTTGTAATTCTCAGTACAGGGATACCTGAGAGATATTGCTGGTTTGGTTCCAGACCACTACAATAAAGTGAATTTCACAATAAAGTGAGTCACAATTTTTTTGGTTTCCTAGTACATATAAAAGTTATGTTTATACTTTACTGTGGTCTATTAAGTATGTAATAGCGTTATGGATAAAAAACACACATACCCTAATTTTTAAAAGTGTTAACGGTTATCTGAGCCTTTAACAAGATGTAATCTTTTTGCCACTGGACAGTCTTGCCTCAATGTTGATGAGTGCTGACTGATCAGGGAATTGGTTGCTGACAGTTGCAATGAATGTGGCAATTTCTTAAAATAAGACAATAATAAAATTTGCCACATCAATTGACTCCTTATTTCACAAACTATTTATTTGTAGTATATGATGCTATTCGACAGCATACAACCCAAATTAGAACTTATTTCAAAATTGGAGCCAATCATCTTAAACCTTGCTGCTACTTTATCACCTACACTTATGGAATATTCTAAATCCTTTGTTGTCATTTCAACAGTGTTCACAGCATCCTCACCAGGAGGAGGTTCCATTCCCACCACCCCCCAAAGAAAACAGTTTATTTGCTCATTCATAAGAAACAACTTCTCATGTTTTAAAGTTTTGTCATGATATTGCAGCAATTCAGTCACATCTTCAGGACTCTCTTCTAATTCAAGATCTCTTGCTATTTCTACCACATTTGCAATTACCTTCTCCGTGGAAAGCCTTCTTCATGGGAAGTCTTCTCCATGTAAGTCTTGAACTCTTCAAAGTAATCCATGAGGACTGGAATCAGCTTCTTCCAAACTCCTGTTAATGTTGAGGTTTTGATCTCCTCCCATGAATCATAAATGTTCTTAGTGGCATCTAAAATGGCGAATTATTTCCTGCAAGTTTTAAGTTTACTTTGCCCAAATCCATCAGAGAAATCATTGTCCCTATGGCAGCTATAGCCTTATAAAATTTCTTAAATAATAAGATTGAAAATGAAAATTACTCCTTGCTCCATGGGCTGCAGAATGGATGTTAAATCAGCACACACGAAAGCAGCATTAATTGGATTGCACATCTCTGGCAGAGCTCTTGCATAACTAGGTTCATTGCCAATGAGCAGTAATGTTTTCAAATGAATCTTTTTTTTCTGAGCAGCAATTCTCAGCAGTGGTCTTCAAATATCCAGTAAACCATGCTGTAGACAAATGTGCTGTCATGCAAGCTTTGCTGTTCCATTTACAGAGCACAGGCAGAGTAGATTTATCGTAATTCATAAAGGCCTTGGATTTTTGGAATGGTAAATGAGCATTAGCCTCAACTTAAAATCAACAGCTACATTAGCCTTTAACAGAAGAATCAGCCTGTTTTTTGAAGTTTTGAAATCAGACATTGGTTTCTCCTCTCTAGCTATCAAAATCCTAGACAGCGTCTTCTTCCAACAGAAAGCTGTTTCATCTATATTGAAAATCTGTTGTTTAGCATAGCCATCTTTATCAATGATCTTAGTCAGATATTCTGGATAACTTTCGGCAGCTTCTATATCAGCACTTGCTGCTTCACCTTGTAGTTTTATGTAATAAGAATGGCTTCTTTCTTTCAACCTCATGAACTAACCTCTGCTAGCTTCAAACTTTTATTCTGCAACTTTCTCTCCTCTCCCAGATTTCACAGAATTGAAGAGAGTTAGGGTCTTGCCCTGGATTAGGCTTTGGCTTAAGGGAATGTTGTAGCTGATTTGAACTTTTATCCAGATCCCTAAAACTTTCTCCATATCAGCAATAAAGATGGTTCACTTTGTTATCATTCATGAGTTCACTGGAGTAGCACTTTTAATTTCCTTTGAGAACTTTTTCTTTGCATTCACAATTGACTAATTGTTTGGTGCAAGAGGACTAGCTTTCAGCCTGTCTCAGCTTTAGACATACTTTCCTCACTAAGCTTAATCACTTCTGGCTTAAAAAACTTTTTTACAGACTTTATTGTTTGGGGCAGTTTTAAGTTCACAGCAAAATTGAGCAGGAAGTACAAGAGTTCCCGTGTGCCCTCTGATGCCACATACAGTCTCCCCCACCCTTAACAACCTGAACCAGAGTGGTACATTCGTTACCGCTGGTGAGCCTACATTGCACATTATTATCTCCCCAAATTTGTAGTTTACATTAGGATTTACTCTTGATGTTATACATGCTATGGGTTTTGACAAATGTGTTATGTATTTCTAAGTATAGTAGATAAGAATTGTTTCAATACCCTGCAAATTCTCCGTACTTCTCTTATTTCTTCATTTCTCCTTCTTCATTCAAACCCCTGGAAACCACTGAACGTTTAACTGTCTCCAGTTTTTTCTTAGTTTATTTCAAATAAAAGACATGCAACTTTTCCTTTTACTTGAACACTTAGAGGCTATTGCAAAGCTATTAATTGGCCTAAATCCAATATTGTTGTATCTCAAAGAATAGAGAGGCCTGAAGAGAAGGAGAGAGATGAGGGAAGAGTAGGTTGGTGGAGCCGTTAGAAACAACATTTATCAATTGTCTGCCATTCTACATGGGCACGGCTTGTGGTGCCCAAAAATAATGAAAATAGTAACATAAAAGATTACTGGTCACAGATCAAATAACGTGTAATAATAATAATAAAGTTTGAAATAAATATTTTGGGAATTACCAAAATGTGACACAGAGACATAAAGTGAGCACATGCTGTTGGAAAAATGGTGCCAATAGACTTGCTGGATCCAGGGTTGTCACAAACCCTCAGTTTATAAAACATTAAATAACTGCAAAGGACAATAAAGTGAAACACAATAAAAGAGGTATACATGTATATTAAAAAGAAAAATTATTTTAAATAAATTTATATACTTTCATCCATGTATAATTTGCTCCTGATTTGTGTGTGTGTGTGTGTGTGCTTTTTGTTTGTTTGTTTGCTTATTTAGTTTAGAACCATAGAAAAACCTTCATAAATTACTTCAGAGATGTAGAACAATGTAATTCTTCATTTTCTAAATCTTGTATTCCTTATATATTGGGATAACATAATCTCAAGAAGTGCAGGTACAGAATACTATAATAATAAAAGGCAAAATAAAAAGTAATTAATTAGTATCTAATCTTTATATGTGAACAAATGAGTAAGAAAGTCAAGATCCATTGATAAGAGTATGATTTTATGGAATAAACAATAGAAAATGGAACTTCTACTTCTTCAAATGATTTGTAATTACTGCAGAGTAATTGTTTCAAAGTGATATAATATTTAAGCTAATCTCTGTGTTGATATATTTAAAATTATATGATCTCATATCATCAACTATTATCACCAACTAATAGAAATAAGAAAATATTGGTGTTAACTGTGACTTATTTTTTAATTCTCTTTGTATATAAAGAACTTCTGGAACCTTTCTGAGTTGAGTAAATGGATCTTAAAAATGGATCTCTAGTGACCGAGTTTATTTTACTAGGATTTTTTGGACGATGGGAACTTCAAATTTTCTTCTTTGTGACATTTTCCCTGATCTACGGTGCTACTGTGATGGGAAACATTCTCATTATGGTCACAGTGACATGTAGGTCAACCCTTCATTCTCCCTTGTACTTTCTCCTTGGAAATCTCTCTTTTTTGGACATGTGTCTCTCCACTGCCACAACACCCAAGATGATCATAGATTTGCTCACTGACCACAAGACCATCTCTGTGTGGGGCTGCGTGACCCAGATGTTCTTCATGCACTTCTTTGGGGGTGCTGAGATGACTCTTCTGATAATCATGGCCTTTGACAGGTATGTAGCCATATGTAAACCCCTGCACTATAGGACAATCATGAGCCACAAGCTGCTAAAGGGGTTTGCGATACTTTCATGGATAATTGGTTTTTTACACTCCATAAGCCAGATAGTTTTAACAATGAACTTGCCTTTCTGTGGCCACAATGTCATAAACAACATATTTTGTGATCTTCCCCTTGTGATCAAGCTTGCTTGCATTGAAACATACACCCTGGAATTATTTGTCATTGCTGACAGCGGGCTGCTCTCTTTCACCTGTTTCATCCTCTTGCTTGTTTCTTACATTGTCATCCTGGTCAGTGTACCAAAAAAATCATCACATGGGCTCTCCAAGGCGCTGTCCACATTGTCTGCCCACATCATTGTGGTCACTCTGTTCTTTGGACCTTGTATTTTTATCTATGTTTGGCCATTCAGTAGTTTGGCAAGCAATAAAACTCTTGCCGTATTTTATACAGTTATCACACCCTTACTGAATCCGAGTATTTATACCCTGAGAAATAAGAAAATGCAAGAGGCCATAAGAAAATTACGGTTCCAATATGTTAGTTCTGCACAGAATTTCTAGATGTTAGCACTATATAATTAACTTTTAAATGCTACGATAAGATAGTTTGAATAGATTATGTATAATGCATCATTTCACTTTTCTTATGTTATAATAATAACGCATAAAGACAATACTAAATTACTTTAAATTTTACATTTAAGACTTTTATAAACATAAGGATAGAGATCTGCAGCAAAATAGACATAAAAATAGACATAAATAAACATAAAAAGATTATTGAGGATTTTTATCATATACATTCAATATATTCATTAATAAAGAAACAACTGTAAATGAATACATGAAGATATGAATATTATTAGAGGTTATTTTAATATATATTGATAATGTTATTCATAAATTTATACTATTATTAAATGAGGTATCATGAACAAGTCATGAATTAAATAATGTTAACAGAAAAAGCAATTCTAGTTTCTTGAATCAATGGAGGCAAAAAGTAAGAATGAGTCCACAAATTCAACAGCACAGTGACTATAAGATGCCAGAGAAAAATGCCAATGGAACGACAATTTTAGTAGAACTACAAACGAACAGCCCTTTTTGAAACCAAATGCTCTGAGGAATATAAGTAAACACAGCTGACTTTCAAACTTCAATAAATAAAAATAAAAACAAAATCCTTTTTATTTTGTGTAATATACCATGTAGCTTTACCTTTTTAAGGGCTTTACATAAAATTACAGCTAAATTTTCCTCTGGTAGGATTCCAACCTTTACTGATTTATAAGCTAAATCTGATGTTTGTGCATGTTGGAGAGGGAAGTGAGAAGTGCATTCAAAATTTGAAATAGTATGCATTGATAATTAAGCTTATTTTCTCTTAATTAAAGACACCATCATTTCTTGCTTATGCTAGGTGAGCTTTGTAATTAATCCTAAATCAGTTACATAAATCCTTTCTTCCATTCAATGCATTCTCTATAAGCAGCCAGAGTTAGGTCATAAAAATGTAACTCTCAATGTCATTTTCTGGATTAAAACTATTTTATGGCATGAAGACTTAGGTTCAAATTCTCAACTGGCCTTCATAATATGGCTTGCTTCTGGAATTTTGCTCCAATCTATCCTTTTCCATAATAGTAGAGTTACACTGGCCTTCTTTCAAGTTGTTCAAAACACCAGACATCTTGTTAACTGACTTTTTCTAAACTCTTCCCTTTAGGTAAAAGAATCTTTCATCTCCTCTTCACCAAGGTAATAACCTCTCAGAAGACCCAGATGAAATATTATATTTTAGATCACTTTTCCTACATGTTCTTTGCCAGTTTAGATTTCTTTATTTTACTCATTTATGGCATGCTACAATTTCCATCCTTCTCATATATTATGGTAATAATTGCTTGTGTAATTATATGTTAATATCTGCTTTGTCTTAGCCTATGAATTCTATAGATCTCTAATATCTAGCACAGATATTGATACATAGTAGTTCATACCTAATGAATAAAGAAAAGATGAAATAACCATATTCTAGAATAATAATATTCAATTTAACCTACTACTATGGAGAACATGTATTCTTACTGTGAGATGTGATGTGTTAAAAATATTAGAAGTACACAAGGCATATGGTGCTCGTATACTTCAATAATGGAACTACAGGGATTAGAGCTCTGTAACTAAATCCAAAGAGAATCAAATACATAATAAATTTAAAGCAAATGGGAGAAGAAATACTGCAAGTTTAGAATACTTGCTATTACAAACTACATTGGACTCTTTGCTACATAGTAAACTGCAACAACAAGAAACTTCACAGTCATACATTATAGCACCACCCATATTAAGGAAATTTCAATCATTTAAAAGGTAAAATATGCATCCGCTGGTAGATAAGATTATTTTCTAGTTGATAAAATACTGTGTAAGATTTTTGTATCTGTCAGTATAGCACACTCAGGATCCTAAAACTTTTTAGTTACAAAACATCTATGTTTGCTAAGATTATTTAAAACATCTTTTAAATCACTTAAAGCTATTGAAAAAAAATTAAAGTAAATCACACCTGAGGCCCAGTATAAAACTTGAATTCCATTCCAGGAAGGTAAAGCAGCACTGAACCATTGCTCTCTCTGAGAACATCTACACATCCATTGCCTAGATAGAAGTTTGAAATTGGGAAAGCACTGTGCATTGGACTTTGAGGCTGAACAGGGAGGGAATAGATTGCAGGCAATGCTGAGGGCTCAGACTCTGAAAAAAAAGTGTAAGAAAGCCAGCCTACCAAAAGCAGACACCAAGAAAAAAAAAGTCTGTCTCAACCTTGATTCATGAAGATTAAAGTAAATGCTTTTCTAAGAAGTGTATGGCGGAAGAAAAGACAAATCCTCACTGAAAATAAAGTACCTTCATAGAGATTGATCTTTGAGCCTCAGCCACATAACTCAAGAATCTGACTTGGAGTGACATTAGCCAGATAACACAATGACAACCCACTCATATCCTCCCATAAGAATTCTGAACCCATTCACAGAAAAAAGTCTCTTAGAAGGAGCCTTTGGGTTCAGGCAGAAGGTTGTGGAACACCAATAGATCCCAAAACCTAGGACAGCCATTTTGAGGGAGCAGACCCACATCCAGGTGGCAGAACTGCTAATCATTTTCCTGGGTTCAAACCTGGAAATGGCCACATTTTCTGAAGGGATTGGCTACAGCCCCAAGTGGCTTTGAGCCCACAACCAAAACTATCTGCCAAAGGGGCCAGGAGGAATCACAAGCACCAGTGTGCCTCAGTGGATAGGCTCTTATCACTGAAATCAGTGTCAGCAGTAGACCTGAAAGTTAACCTGTAACTCAGTTCCAGCCCCATTAGTGTTGGTCCTAGCATAGTGCAACTCACACAAGGACCCAGAGGGAGGCACACCCTATTGAACCACTGGGATAGATGAGCTTGCTGGCCTCTGTCCCACAGCAAACTCTAAAGGGGATGTAGGGTTCCGGTACCTCTCTGCTACAGCCTGGGAATACCCTCCCACAGACATACACTCTGGACCACCAGGGTGGGTTTGCTTGCCTCTGTCCAACAGTGGATTCTGCAGGAGCCTTGGCTTCAGCCTTTCTCTGTGGCAGCCAAAGAGCTGCCCCACTGTCATCTGAGCCATTGGTACAGGCTTGCCAGCCTTTGACCAACAACAGATCCTGAAGGGGTCCTGTCCCAGCTTCACCTTTTTTTTTTTTTTTTTTTTTGCCATAGTCAGAGAACTATCCTACCTGTGCAGGGAATTACTGGGTGACACACCTATCTAAGCCATTTGGACAGGTTTACTGGCTTCCCACCCACAGAAGATCCTGAAGGGGCCTTTTCTTGGCCTCAGCCCTTCTCTGCTGCAGCACCAGAGTTATTCTGCTTGTGCAGATAACTCCTGGGAGATATACCTGGGCAGGATTGCCAGCCACCATGCCACAGAAGTTTCAGAAAGAACCATGAATGCCAGTTCCAGCCCCCCTCAACTGTACTATGCAAGCAATACTGCCCACATAGGGCACTTCTGAGAATCTTGCCCATTGGTGTTACTGGACTGGGTTTGCCAACAGTCTCACAGCAGATTCTGAATTACCCTGAAGGTTAGTTTTAGTCCCTCCCAGCTGTGGTCTGGAAGAAGTTCTACTCAGTCAAGCTCCTGCCAAGAGATACACTAAGCTGAGCCCCTGTGCTTGCCAGCCTCTTCCTTCAACAGTTCCTCAAACATCCCTAGATCTTAGTCCTGGCTCCTCTTATCTATAGACTAACAACACCTCTGCCTGCCTGGAGACTTGGAGAGAGGAAAGTTCAATAGCGTTTTTGCAGTGTTATGCCCTGCTTTTGATCACATTGTGAATCTTCAAAGAGCCCTATAAATTGATTTCATTTCTTCTTAACTGCAGTCTGAGAGCAGGCCTGCTCACCCTGTAACTCCCTGGGAGACATGGCTGTCCGTGACTATGAAGACAGGTCTAAAGATCTCAGTCTCAACTCTAGGCTTGAAACAACCCTGTGTTTATTTCCAGCTCATTGTAGCCATTTGTAGTATGGCCAACCCAAAGACTCATCAAATGATGTAGTGAAAGGCCTCTCAGAAACTCGGAGAAAGCCAAACCTGTCAGCATTGCAGGTAACAGGGCTGCTGTCTGAGAATCCAGAAGCAAACCTTCACCTTACCTCCAACTCTTCATGGGACTCCAGCTTGGGCAACAGCAGCCACTATGGACCTTGTGGTTTCTAAGCCTGTAACAGCTGAAGTCATTGCAGTGCTGACAATGACTTCAACAGTCACAGGCTTAGGAACCACAACAGTCTTCTCAATATTCCTGAACATGCCTACTGTAGAAGGGCAATCACAGAAAAGCAAGACTGCAAAGATTGCAATACATTCCTATGTCATCCAATGCACAGATATTGAAACATGACCACAAGGACCAAGAACAACCAGAGAAACTGACATCACTGGCATAAAATAAGATGCAAACTGCTGACCCTAAAGAGATGGAGATCTATGATCTGCCTGACAAATAACTCAAACTACCTGTTTTTAAGGAAGCTCAGTTAACTTAAAGAAAATTGAGAGACAGTTTTTAAATTTTTCAGAGAAATTTAACATAGAGATTAAAATAATAAAAAATCAAACAGTAACTTTGGATCTGTAACATACAGGGAATGAAATAAATGCAACTGAAAGCATCAGTAGCAAAAATAGGTAAAGCAGAAAAAAGAATCAGTGAGTTAGGAAGACAGGCTATTTAAAAATATACGATCTGAGATGAAAAAACAAAACAGAATTAAAAGGAACAAAGAAAGTTTGTCAGATTTATGGGACAACATTAAAAGAGCAGATATTTGGGTTACTGGGGTTTAGAAGGGAGTAGAAAAAGACAAAGAGTTAGAAAACTTATTTTAAAAATAACAGACAACTTACAAACCTAGAGAAAGATGTAACTACTCAGGCACAAAAGACACCAAGTCAGATGCAATCCCAATAATAGTATCAAAAGATATAGTATAATTAAACTGTATAAGATGAAAGACAAAGAGGGGATCCTGAAAGAAACAAGAGAAAAGAAACAAATAACATACAAAAGAGCTCCAATATGCCTGGCAGCACGCTTCTCAAAACAAAAACAAAAAAAAGTCTTATAGGCAAGGAGGAGTTGGGATGATATATTTAAATATTAAGAAAAAAGCCTAGCAGCCAAGAATACTGTATCCAGCAAAGCAATACTTGAGTGTTGAAGGATACGTAAAGACTTTCCCAGACGAATGAAAGTTGAGAAAGTTTATTAATACAGACCTATTTTGCAAATGCTAAAAGGAACTCTTCAAAATGAAAGACAAGGAAACTACTAAGTAGTATAAAAAATCTGAAGGTATAAAACTCACTGGTAAAAATAAATATACAGTCTAACTCAATATATTTGAATAATCAAGCTGTATAAACTACCTATATATTTAGCATGGCCATTAAAAAATAGAACTCTCAGGAGGCTGAATGCAAGGACTGCTTGAGCCCAGGATTTTGAGGCTTTGGTGAGCTATCATTATGCCACTGCACTCCATCCTGGACGATGGAATAAGACCTTGTCTCATAAAAAATTAATTCACAAATTCTGAAATTGAATCCATAATACAGAAATCTACCAATCAGAAAAAGCCCTGGACCAGATGGTTTCACAGCCAAATTCTACCAGATTTAAAAAAAAGAGCTAGTACCAGTCCTACTGAAATTATTCCAAAATATCAAAAAGGAAAGACTCCTCCCTAACTTAATGTATGAGGCCAGCATTATTTCAAAACCTGGCAGAAACAAAACAAAGAAAGAAAATTTCATGCCAATATCCTTGATGAACATAGATATACAAATCATCAACAAAGTATGAGGAAATCAAATCTAGTGGAATATCAAAGAGCTAATACACCACAATCAAGTAGGTTTTATTCCTGCAATGCAAGGCTGGTTCAACATATGCAGATCAATAAATGTGATTCATCACATAAACAGAACTAAAAACAGAACCCACATGATCATATAAACAGACACAGAAAAAGATTTTGATAAAATTCAACATCCTTTCATGTTAAAAAAAATTCAACGAACAAGCCATCAAAGAAACATACCTCAAAATAATAAGAGCCATATATGCAAACTGACAGCCAACATCATACTGAATGGGAAAAAGCTGGAAGCATTCCTTCTGAGAAATGGAACAAGATAAGAATGCTCACTCTCATCACTTATATTCAACATAGTACTGGAAGTCCTATCCAGAGTAATCAGGCGAGAGAGAGAAATAAATATAACAAAAGAGAAAGTCAAACTATTTCTCCTCATAAATAATATGATTCTATACCTAGAAAACCTGCAGTCTCTGCCCAAAGACTTCTAGATCTGAAAATCAGCTTCAGTAAAGTTTCGGGATACAAAATCAATGTACAAAAATTATTAGCATTTCTATACACCAATAATGTCCAAGCTGAGACCCCAATCAAGAATGCAGTTTCATTCACAGAAGCCACAAAAAGAGTAAAATACCTAGAAATATGGCTAAACAGGGAGGTGAAAGATCTCTGAAATGAGAATTACAAAACATTGCTGAAATATATCAGAGATGACACAAATGCAAAGAAATCCTATGCCCATAGATTAGAAGAATCAGTATCATTAAAATAGCCATTAAATAGCTGCCCAAAGCAATTTACAGATTAAATACTATTTCTATTAAACTATCAATTTTATGTTTCACAGAATTAGAAAAAAAGTATTCTACAATTCAAATGAAACCCCAAAAGGAGCCCAAATAGCTAAATCAATTCTGATCAAAAAGAACAAAGCAAGAGGCATCACACTACCCAACTACAAGCTATATATGAGACTACAGTAAACAAAACAGCATGGTACTTGTACAAAAACAGACACATAGGCCAATGAAACAGAACAGAAAACCCAAAAATAAAGCCACACACTTACAACCATCTGATCCTCAACAAAGTTGACAATAACATGCAGTGGAAAAAAGACTACGTATTCAATAAATGGCATTGCAATAACTGGCTAGCCATATGCAGTAGAATGAGACTGGATCTCTTCCTTTCATCTTATACAAAAATCAACTCAATGTGCATTAAAGACTTAAATGTAAGACCTAAAACTATAAAAACCCTGGAAACAAACATAGGACATACCGTTCAGGACTTAGGCAATGGCAAAGATTTTATGACTAGGTCTCTGAAATTAAAGGTTAACAAAAAAAAATCAGATCTAATTACTTCTGCACAGCAAAAGAAACAATTGACAGCATAAACAGACAACCTACAGAATGGGAGAAAATATATGCAAACTATGCATCTGATAAAATTCTAATATCCAGAATCTATAATGAACTTAAGTAAACAAGAAAAAAACAAACAACCATATTAAAAAGTGGCCAAAAGACAAGAGCAGATACTTCTCAAAAGAAGACACATATGTGGCCACAAACATATGAAAAAATATTCCACATCACTAGTCATTAGAGAAATGCAAATCAAAACCACAATGAAATGCCACATCTCACAAAAGTCAGAATGGCTATTACAAAAAATAAAAAATAAATTTTAAAAAGCAGATATTGGTGAGGTTGCAGAGAAAAGGGAACTCTTACACACTGCTGGTGAGAACGTAATTATTTCAGCCACTGTGGAATGCATTTTAAAGATTTCTCAAAAAACTTAAAACAGAACTACCACTTGACCCAGCAATCTCATTACTAGGGTATACATACAAATGAATACAGAGAATTCTACCAAAAAGGCACCCAATCTTGTATATTCACTGAAGCACTGTTCACAATAGCAAAGACATGGAATCAACCTAGATGCCCATTAGCAGTGGACTGAATTAAAAAAAAAAAGTGGTACATATACACTATGGAATACAATGCAGCCATAAAAAGAATGAAATACTGTCCTTTGAAGCAACATGGATGTAGCTGGAGGCCATTACCTAAGTGAATTAATACAGAAAGAGAAAACCAAATACTGCACATTCTCATTTACAAGTGGAAGATAAACATTGAGTACACATGGATACAAAGAGGGAAACAATAAATACTGGGGCCTGCTTGATAGTGTAGGGTGGGAAGAGAATGAGGGTCAAACAACTACCTATTGAATACTCCACTCACTACCGGGGTGATGAAATCATTTGTACACCAAACCTCATTGACATGCAATTCACCCATGTTATAAACCTGTACATGTACCCACTAAACCTAAAATAAAAGTTGAAAAAAAAATATATATATAGGCATTTTTCTCTAATAACAAGTATATTAAATTAGAAAAATAAAAATAATAATAACTGCAATAATCTGTTAGGGATATGCAATGTATAAAGGTGTAAATTTTGACATCCAAAATTTTTAATATGGGAGGGAGAGGAGTTAGCACATACAGTTTTTTTTTTTAATGTGATCAAAGTTATCTGTTTAAAATAACCTGTAAATGATAGGTCCAATAGAGCCATGATTATTGGTCAACACTTACAACTTGGATTCAGATATGTTATAAGATAATTCTTTGATTAAACTCTGTATATACCTTCAGATAGCACCCTGTAAATGTAGAATGCAACCCTATGCCTTCTGTATATATCTTCCCATGAAGATGAGTCATTGTCTCATCTAGAATAAAATGGGTAATAACATCAACTTGTCCCAGTGGCTGGTTATTCTGTCTACAAGATGGTACCAGATTAGGGGGTTCAGGTTAGTTTTGTTGATGACATTTATTGCACCACAGCAAGTGTGATCTTGGTGAGTAGGAAGCCAAGCAGTGGGTCCATACACAACCTCCTTTTCTACTATTATGACTACTTCAATAATAGCAAGTAGTTTATATCAACTGGATGAGCCATTATGTCATCTTGTTTATTTCATGCCTTTTTTTGATGCTGTCTAGTGAATATTAATATCAAATAATCAAGTTTTTTTGTAGATAGCTCTGCTTCTATAGTCAACATAAGTTCCATAATCACATGTTTCATCCTTATTAGAATAGAGTGAAATCTAGGAGCTGATTTAAAATTCATGTATTTCCAGTTTTGCTACAGATGCTATGGTTCAAGCTACATGACCTTAGGAATCTACATTGTTATTCTTCTACTAGGGTTTGCCAAAACCTACAAATGCTGTATTTCTCCAGCACAGACAATTGTAGTGCCACAGACTTTACCTGGATATGTGGTTCGAGTAGTATGACTACTTGATACTAGATCTAGTATACACACTGTATGCTAGATGTGCTAATATTCCTTTCTTATACTGGACTCCACCAAAAGCTAGAAGTCTGTATGTCAATAAAAAATGAGTCAAAGCAATCATCCCAAGTATTGGAATATAGTGCCTTCAGAACTGAAATAGGATCACCAGACAATATGCAATCTCCTTAAAAGTTTAGTGATTAAAGTACAAGGTGCAATATTTGTCCATTACTTTTAAGGTGATCTTTCACCATGACCATAACAAATAAAAACGCTAAAACCTTCACTGAAATATTAGGATTACCTTCTTAAATAATGAGGATTTGTCCTCACACTTGATCTTCACGGTGAACAAATGTTCAAAGAGAAAATATTTTTCTAATGTTCCATCTTAGGAATATTGAAAGTTTTACTTGCATGCTCTTTGGGTAACTCTACCTCACAGATGTCTGGTCAGAATTATATTTGTATCTGTCAGTCTGCTAGTAATCAACTAGACTATAGTGTTATAAATAAATCAGACGAAAGTTTATTTTCCTTGTAAAACCAATTGATAGAATATTACCTCACTGTTGGTATGCCAGCTTCACAAAATCAGGAAGTATGAAACTTCCTGTTTATTTTTTGCTTTAGATTAATATTCTGACCTCAATGTCACAAACTATCTGTAGAAACTCCACACATCACATTTACATTCTAGACATAAAGAAAACTAAAAGGATGTGAGCTCGTGAGCTCGTTTTTCTTCCGATGCAAAGTTTTCATTTTTTTTTAGTTTTGCTTTGTATTATACAGAGGCCTATTGATTAAGAATGCATTTCCAAGTTTCTATGTCACCTAGATTCCTGATAGTCACAAATAACAAATAAAAGTGACAGGTAGATTAATGGAGAGTCATTGGTAGATTAATAGGAAGGGATACAGAAGCCCACTTCACCCCTCAACCTCTCACTGCACCCAGCACACTGCCTATGCCTACATCTCTACAAGTAGTTGTATCAAGTTCATGGCTCCTGCTCTCCTGGTAGAAAAAACAGTCATATTTCTTTTTTTTTTTTTGGACAGAGTTTCACTCTGTTGCCCAAGCTAGAGTGCAGTTGCGCCATCTCGGCTCACTGCAGCCTCCGCCTCCCAGGTTCAAGTGATTCTCCTGCCTCAGCCTCCTGAGTAGCTGGGATTATAGGCACTTGCCACCATGCCCAGCTAATTTTTGTATTTTTAGTAGAGATTGGGTTTTGCCATATTGGCCAGGCTGGTCTCGGACTCCTGACCTCAGGTAGTCTGCCCTCTTTGGCCTCCCAAAGTGCTGGGATTACATGCGTGAGCCACCGCACCCTGCCAAGAACCACCATATTTCTAACTTTTGACCATAAGCTATTGAAAGCAGAATAATGGTCTCCCAATGAAGTCCAGACCCTAATCCCAAAACTTGTGAGTATGATACATTACAGTGCAAAAAAAAAAAAAAAAAAAAAAACAGAGAGAAAAAAAAAGAAAAACCACCAACAACAACAAACTTCGCTTATGTGATTTAGTTCACAAACTTTGATATGAGAAGATTTCCTGGAATATTTGAATGTGTCCAGTGTAATAACATGAATTTCTAAAAGTGATAAAGCTTTCCTGTCAGTATAGAAAAAGAGAGTCATGGCAGAAGAGAAGGCCTTTTTTTTTTTTTTTTTTTTTGAGACAGAGTCTTGGCAGTGGCACGATCTTGGCTCACTGCAACCTCCACCTCCCAGGTTCAAGCACCTGCCTCAGCCTCCTGAGTAGCTGGGATTACAGGCGCCCACCACCACATGGGCTAATTTTTTGTATTTTTAGTAGAAACGGGGTTTCACCGTGTTAGCCAGAATGGTCTCAATCTCCTGGCCTCCTGATCCACCCGCCTCAGCCTCCCAAAGTGCTGGGATTATAGGCACGAGCCACCGTGCCCGGCTGGGGATGAGCCTTTCAAAGGGTCCCGTCCACTGTTAATGGCTTAAAAGAGGAAGGGGATCATGACAAAGGAAGATCAGATAGTATCTAAATATTAAGGATAACCCTTGAATGGCAACCAGCAAAGAAATGGAGATGTCAGTCCTACAATCACACAGAGTGAAATCCTGCCCACAACCTGTCCACAGTCCTGGAAATGAATTCCCCCAAAGTCTCTAGAAAAAAATTTAATCCTGTTGATGCCTTGATTTTAGCCTAGTGAGATTCATATTTAACTTCAACCTACTGGACTGTAAAATGATGAATTTGTGTTGCTTGAAGCAAATAAATTTGTATAATTTGCTAGGAAAGAAATAGAAAACTAACACGACCCCACACTTGGCCTGTGGTGAGAGTGCCTCTTCTCTTGTTCCTACAGCTTAGATGTGATAGTGGCTTCCATTTGATAGTCATCTTTGGTTTCTCTGAACATATCCTGTTCAACATCTTAGCTATTCCATCGCTTGAGTAGCTAAATAACCTGTTTGAAATACTCAGAGTTATTTTTCTTTTCTCAATTAGACCCCAGAAATTACAGAGTTGGGCAGAGGCAAAGGGCATAACTCTCTACTGAGTCAGCTCCAATACAAATTTCATCAAAGAGCTACCCAATAATATAGGGGTTTTTTTGGAATTTGCTCCTTCTAAGTTTAAGGTAGACTGTATAGTATACTCTAACTGAATTTAGGTGTCTCTTACCAAGGAAGAATAAGAGAATGACCTTTCAGAGGACACTACTAGTCTCTGGGACACAGTTAATGCTCATTGCTAAACTAGTCTCTGGTGAGTGAAGTGAAAGCACTTTGATTGTCCTAGACAGATGTCTTATGAAAAAGATTTGATCCTCCATGGAAGCACATAGTCAGCCTATCCCAGAGAATATATGGTTTCAATTACCAAGAAAGAAGAAAGAATCATTACTGGGAAACCAACGAGTTCTACCATAGCCAGTTATCACCATTGGTATTCAATATTGCTCAAAAATTTCAAGTTAATGAAATAAGGTAATAAAATAATAGTAGAGAAATATTTTAATGTGAATATTATCTATCTTATCAATAATACAAAAAATAGAAGAGAACCAATTAGAAAAATATTGAACATGAGATTTGATTCCATTTACCACTTAAATATATATATATATAAAACATTTACAGATAACAATAGCAATAAGATGAATTAATATAAAGAGAAAAATCATATTAAGTATAGCATCAAAGTAGGAAATACGCAAATTTTATTTAACCACAAATATGTTACAAAAACATTGCTGACAAAATGAAGATGACAAAACTTTTCTGTGAGCCATAAAAGAAGACAAAAATTTTAAGAACACAAAAACAATGACAAAAATGAATAGATCTAAAAAGTAGCCAGACTTATCTCCAATTTAAATAAATATAAAGGGAGCATTATCCGTTTTCTTTCTTTTTTATTTATTTATTTATTTTTTTTGACAGAGTTTCACTCTTGTTGCCCAGGCTGGAGTGTAATGGTGCAATGGTGCCATCTCAGCTTACTGCAACCTCTGCCTCCCGGGTTCAAGCGATTCTCCTGCCTTGGCCTCCCCAGTAGCTGGGATTACAGGTACCTGCCACCACGCCTGGCTAATTTTTTGTATTTTGAGTTGAGATGGGGTTTCACCATGTTGGCCAGGCTGGTCTCGAACTCCACATGCCTCAGCCTCCTAAAGTGCTGGGATTACAGGCATGAGCCACCGCACCTGGCCAGAGCATTATACATTCTTAATAAAATGAATTATTTAATTGTAATAATAAAAACTCATATCCTATCATTTATTAATTTCAGACAAGTTAGAATTAAACGTGAAAAATTTATCATAATAAATTTTATAATTAATGTAATCTAGAATGAGTGACATCGCCAAGATGAAGGAGTAGGAGATACCAGTATTTATCCTCCCCACAGAAAAACAAACATAGACAGCTATGCACAAACCAAAATAGTTCTGAGAAAGCTTAAGGGCCCACTAAATAATCTACAGAAATATAATGGAGCAAAAAGTCAAGAATATCCTCACAGAAAAGATTTCTGGTGAGATCAGCAAACTTAAGACATGAAGAGATGGCAAAGGACAAAAAAAAGGCAGAGGTTATCACTGTCAGCCATGCAGCAAGAACTATGGTCCCAAAGGCCTTCTCTTCAGAAAACATTGGCATCTTTTGCCACTGAGGCAACCAACAGCCATTCTTGCTGGGAAACTCTAAAGAGTTAGATGCAGCCACACACCTTAACCCCCTCAAGACACAGTCATTGTTGTGCCCCTTCAGATGGGACTCATCATCTCTCCCTATATCCTGTCAATACTGTGCATACCTATGCTTCTGTTCTTTGTACCTTGTTTGCTTCACAAGCACCTGTGCCTTACATGTTGTTATGAACATGACAATGAGGGCATGTGCACCCTGGGTACCACTGCCTATACCACCCTACACCCCAGAGCCATAGTCCCTCTACATGTGCTCATGCTTCAGGCCTCAGCTCCACAGTCACTTCATGGTTAGCACTCATCAGAAACTGGTGCCACTGTCCCTGGAGTGGGCCCACAAATTGGACACAGTGTCAAGGGGGATCCCTTCAGCCACAACTTTCCCAGTAGGAGATACAGACATTGGAAGGACCTTAGCAGCAATTGCCAATGAAGACCACATCAGTCATTCAATGGTACTGTGAACATGTACAGTATTGCCTGTCAAGAATCCTTGTGATCTTCATTAATACTGACCACAACTAATAGAGATGCCCTGGAATTCACAGCTGCTTCTTCACTGGTGTTAGAACCAGTGCCCTTGCACCCTTCTCTTCATAGGGGAAGGTTTTTCCACACCAAAATGAACTCATAAAGTCAAAAAGAGGTGACTGTTTTACCAAATGTGTAGACCTCAATGCAAGGCATCAATAAACATAAAAAGCCAAGGAGACATATAACCACCAAAAAAGAAATTCAATAATTTTCCTGGAGCTGATGCCCCAAAATGGGGATATATGAATGGCTTGACAAAGATTTTATAATTGTATTTATGAGGGAGCTAAGAGAATGTCAAGAAAATACAGAGGAAAGTTGATTAAAAATCAGGAAACAAACAAAATTAGAAACTTAACTGAGAGATTAAAAATACAAAAAAAAAAACCTAGAAATTCTGAAGCCAAAAAATATAGCTAATGAATGTAAAATGCAACAGAGAACATTAAGAGCAGAGTTAAGCAAAATAATCTATGAACCTGAAGATAGTGTATTTGAAAATATATAGTCAGAAGAGACAAAATTTCAAAAATCAAAAAATAAAGAAAGGTTATGGGATTTAAGGGATCACATCAAGAAGGCAACTATTTGAATTGTAGGAGATAAAGAAGGAGAAAAGAGTGGCAAAGGGACAGAAAGCTTATTTGAAGAAATAGTACCTAAAAGCTTTCCAAATCTAGGGAAAATAGAAGCATTCAGGTTTGGATACTCAAATGTCTTCCAAAACATTCAGTCCAAAACGAGACTATACCAAGACATGTTATAATCAAACTTTCAAAAACGAATTATGAAGAGACAATCCTGAAAGCAACAAGAGAAAACAAACATATCACACGTAAGGAAGTTTCAGTGAGGCTAACAGATTTCTCTGCAGATACCTTGTAGGCCAGAAGAGAATAGGATGATATATTTAAAGTGCTGAATGAAAGAAACTTTCAAATGAAGAATAGTTCACCCAGCAAAACTTTCCCTCAGACACGAAGAAGAGATAAAGACTATCCCAGAAAAACAAGAGCTAAGGAATTTCATTACCACCAAATCTTTTTTATAAGAAACATGAATGGGAGTTCTTTGAGCATAAGAAAGGACAGCTTTTAGTAACATGAAAACATATTAAAGAAGAAACCTCATTGTTAAAACTAGGTACACAGTCAAATTTAGAACTCTAACACTGTAATGCTAGTGTGTAAATCACTTATTTAGTATGAAGGTTAAAAGATTTAAAAAATCAAAATAATACGTACAATAATTTTTAAGGCATATACATACAAAATATGTAAACTGTGACATCAGAAACAGAAAATGTGTTGTGGAGAGGAAGAGTAAAATTGTAGAGGTTCTTTATGCAAACAAAGTACAATTGTTAGCGTAAAATAGGCCATTATAACTATAAGATGTTTTATGTAAGCCTTATGGTTACCACAAAACAAAAACTCTTAATAGATACACACACGCAAAAAAGTAAGGATTCAAAGCATATCACTATGCTTTATATATATAATAGATCTTATATATTGTATTATGTCTTAATATATGTCATAGTATATAAAATCTTACATTATATATATATTACATATATTATGCACATATTTATATATATAGAGAGAAATCTAATTATAAATAAAGACAGCAAGGGAGGAAAAAAAGGAAAATAAGATCAACAAAATAACCAGAAAATGATGAACAAAACGGCAATAATACATCCTTATTTATTCATATTAACCATAAATTTAAATAAATAAAATTCTTTAATCAAAAGACAAAGTAGCAGAATGGATTTAAAAAACAAACTAGTCCCAACTATTTGTTGCCTACAAGATATTGACTTCAACTTTAAGAACACACATAGACTGAAAACAAAGGAATTGGAAAAGATATTCTATGCCAATGCAAATCAAAGAGAGAAGGAGTAGCTATTCTTACATGATGTAAGATAGCCTTTTAGTCAAAAACTATAAAATGAGACAAAATCTGTGTAATGATAAAGATATCAGTGTACCCAGAAGACATAAGAACTGTAAGTATATATGCACCCATTAGCAGAGCACCTAAACATATAAAGCAAATATTAGTAGGTCTGAAGAGAAAGATAGACTGCAATGCAATAATAATAGGGAAGTGTAGTACCCAACTTTAAACAATGGATAAATCATTCAGACAGAAAATCAATAAGAAAACATTACGGTTGAGCTACACCTTAAAGAAAATGGACCTAACAGACACATACAGAATAGGCTATGTGTCTCAGAGTCTCGTCAGAAATGCCCAGCATGTGCTCAGTCATACCCTAAATGGAGGCAGCTGCCCACTGTTACACAAGTGATAACAGGGCGAGTGACCTTGACCAGGTGGTAAGTAGACTACATCGGGCCGCTGCCAAAATTGCAAGGGTATACAACAACAACAGAATATACAGCAACAGAATGTACGTTTTTCTCCAGCATGCCCAGAACATTCTCCAAAATAGATGACATGTTAGGCCACAAAATAAGTCTGAAAAAATCTTTAAATTTTGAAATCATATTAAGTAAGTATCTTTTTCTAACACAATAAGTCTAGAAATCAATAATAGGATGAATTTGAGAAAATTCACAAATATATGGAATATAAACCACAACCTTATAAATAGACAAAAGGTCAAAGAAGCAATGAAATAGAAATTTTTTAAAAAATCTTGAAACAAATAAAAATTGAAAAACAACAAAATGTATAGGAAAAGCAGTTCTAAGAGGGAAGAATGTAGCAATAAACACATCAAAAAAGAAGAAAGATTGCAAATAAAAAATGTACTGTTACACCTTGAGGAACTAGAGTAAGAACAACAAAATAAGCTAAAATTTACTGGAAGGAAGAAATAATAAATAACAAAATAGCTATAAATAAAATAGAGACTAGAAAACAATAGAAAAGTTCAACAGAATGAAAAGCAGGTTTTTTTTGAAAATATAAACAAATCTGGCAAATCTTTTAATGTAGCTAAATGAGAACAATAAAGGACAGAGTCAAATAAATAAAAATAAGAAAATGAACATCACATCTGATACCACAGAAGTACAAAATATTATGAGTCCATTATGGACAATTATTTGCCATCAAATTGGAAGACCCAGAAAAATAGATAAATTCCAAGATGCACACAACCTATCAACATTGAATCATGAAAAAATAGAAAACATGAAAAAATCAATAAAGAATAAGGGGATTGAGTCATTAATAAAAAAGTTTCTGATCAGAGAAAAGTCCAGAACCTGATTGTTTAATTGCTAAGTTCTATGAGATATTTACAGAACTGATATCAATCCCTTTCAAACATATCCAAAAATTAAAGAAAAATGAATACTTCCCAACTCTTTTTTAGACAGAGTTTCGCTCTTGTCACCCAGGCTGGAGTGCAATGACGCAATCTTGGCTCACTGCAACCTCTGCCTCCTGGGTTCAAGAGATTCTCCTGCCTCAGCCTCCCAAGTAGCTGGGATTATAGGCGCCTGCCACCACTCCCAGCTAAGTTTTGTAATTTTAGTAGAGACGGAGTTTCACCATGCTGGCCAGGCTGAACTCAAACTCCTGACTTCAGGTGATCTGCCCGACTTGGCTTCCCAAAGTGCTGGGATTACAGGCGTGAGCCACTGTGCACGGTCCCAAATTTTTTTTTTTTTTTTGAGACAGAGTTCCACTCTTGTCACCCAGGCTGGAGTGCAATGGTGCGATCTTGGCTCACTGCAACCTCCACCTCCTGGGTTCAAGAGATTCTCCTGCCTCAGCCTCCCAAGTAGCTAGGATTACAAGGCGCCTGCCACCACGCCCAGCTAGGTTTTGTAATTTTAGTAGAGACGGGGTTTCACCATGCTGGCCAGGCTGAACTCAAACTCCTGACTTCAGGTGATCGGCCCGCCTCAGCTTCCCAAAGCGCTGGGATTACAGGCGTGAGCCACTGCACACAGTCCCAAATTCTTTTTTTTTTTTTTTTTTTGAGACAGAGTTTCACTCTTGTCACCCAGTTTGGAGTGCAATGGTGCGATCTCGGCTCACTGCAACCTCCACCTCCCAGGTTTAAGAGATTCTCCTGCCTCAGCCTCCCGAGTAGCTGGAACTACAGGCCACGCCACCATGCCCAGTTAATTTTTGTATTTTTAGTAGAGACGGGGTTTCACTATATTGGCCAGGATGGTCTTGATCTCTTGACCTCGTGATCCACCTGCCTCAGCCTCACAAAGTGCTGGGATTACAGGCATCAGCCACCATGCCCCAGCCCCCAAACTAATTTTATAAGGCCACCATTACTCTGACACCAAAGCTAGATAGGGATACTGAAAATAAAACTATAGGCCAATATTCCTTGGAAGGATCAATATCATTAACATTGCCACACTGCCCAAAGAAATACACCATGGAATACTATGCAGCCATAAAAAATGATGAGTTCATGTCCTTTGTAGGAACATGGATGAAATTGGAAATCATCATTCTCAGTAAACTATCGCAAGAACAAAAAACCAAACACCGCATGTTCTCACTCATAGGTGGGAATTGAACAATGAGAACACATGGACACAGGAAGGGGAACATCACACTCTGGGGACTGTTGTGGGGTGGGGGGAGGGGGGAGAGATAGCATTAGGAGATACACCTAATGCTAAATGACGAGTTAATGGTGCAGCACACCAGCATGGCACATGTATACATATGTAACTAACCTGCACATTGTGTACATGTACTCTAAAACTTAAAGTATAATAATAATAAAATAAAAAAAAGAAATCTACAGATTTAAAGCTATTCCTATCAAACTAGCAATGTCGTTTTTCATAGAATTAGAAAAAAACTATTTTAAAATCCATAAGGGATTTTAATAGAGGCCAAGTAGTCAAACCAATCATCAGTAAAAGGAATAAAATCCTAGGCATCACATTACCTGAATTCAAACCATACTATAAGGCTACAGTAATCAGGACATCATGATAATGGTACATAAACAGACACGTAGACCAATGAAACAGAATACAGAACCCAGAAATAAAGTTGCACACCTACAACTATCTGCTCTTTGACAAAGTCAACAAAAATAAGCAATGATGTAAGACTCCCTATTCAACAAATGGTGCTTGGATTACTGGCTGGGCATATTCAGAAGAATGAAACTAAGCCCCTATCTTTCACCATATACAAAAGGTAACTCAAAAAGATGTAAAAGTAAGACCTCAAACTATAAGAATCTTAGAAGAAAACCTGGGAAATGGCATTCTGGACATTGGCCTTGGAAAAGAATTTATGGCTAAGTCCTCAAAAGCAATTGCAACAAAAACAAAAATTGGCAAGTAGAACTTCATTAAAGTAAACAGCTCTGCACAGCAAAAGAAACTATCAATGTAAACAGAAAACCTACAGAATAGGAGAAAATAATTTCAAACTATGCATCCAACAAGTGTAATATCCAGAATCTGTAAGAAACTTAAACAATGCAGCATGCAAAAAACAAATAATTCCATTAAAAAGTAAACAAAAGACATGAATAGACACTTCTCAAAAGAAGAAACAAATGAAACAATGTTCAACATCAGTAATCATCAGAGAAACGCAAATCAAAACTGCAATGAGATGCCATCTCACACCATCCAGAGTGACTCTGACATCAAAAAGTCACAAAATAAAAGATGCTGGTGAGGCCGCAGAGAAAAGAGAATGCTTATAAGCTGTTGGTGAGAATGTAAATTAGTGTAACCACTGTGAAAACCAGTTTGGAGATTTCTCAAAGAACTTAAAGCAGAACTACCATTAGACTCAGCAATCTCATTACTGGGTATATACTAAAAGAAAATAAATCATTCTGCTAAGAAGACACATACATGTGCATGTTCATTGCAGCACTATTCACAATAGCAAAGACATGGAACCAACCTAGGCACCCATTAATGGTGGACTGAATAAAGAAAATGTGGTACATATACATCATGGAATACTAGACAGCCATAAAAAGAATGAAATTATGTAATTTGCCACAATATGAATGTAGCTGAAGGCCATTATCCTAAGCAAAGCAATTCAGGAACAGAAAACTAAATACCGTATGTTTTCACTTGTAAGTGAGAGTTAACCACTGGGTACTCATTGACATAAACACGGGAACAATAGACAATGCAGACTACTAGAGGTGTAAGGGAGGGAGAAAGGAAGATAAGGATTGAAAAACTATTAGGTATCACACTCACTACCTGGGTGATGGGATCAATTGTATGCCAAATCTCAACATCACATAATGTACTCATGTAACAAACCTGCATGTTTGTAACAAATCTGTACCTCATGAATCTAAAATAAATATTGAAAAATCAGAAAAGTAAAATACAGGCTAATATTCCTGATAAACATTGATGCACACATTCTTAACAAAATATTTGCAGATCAAATTCAATAACATATTAAAAAGATCATTCACCATGATCACATGGAATATATCCCAGTGATGCAAGGATGATTCAACATACGCAAATAAATAAATAAATGTGGTACACCACATTAAGAATGAAAGACAAAAACCATATGATCATCTTAATAGATGCAGAAAAGGGATTTGACAAAATGTATCATCTTTGTATGCTAAAAAATTCTCTGGACATCTTCCCAACTATAATAAATAATACTGCATTTATGTTTCAAAATTGCTGAGAGTAAATTTTAAATGTTTTCATCACAAAAAATAAGCATGTGAGGCAACAGATTTGGTAATTATCCTGATTTAATAAATTTACATTGTAAACATGCATTGAAATACCCCCCACCCCATAAATATATACATTTATTAGTTGTCAACTATCAATAATTTTTTTAAATGTTTAAAATCTTTCCATGAATTATATAAAAAAGGAATGTACATTAACATAATAGAGGCCGTATGTGACAAGCTCACAGCTAACATCATAATCAATGATGAAAGTTCAAAATTTTTCCTCTAAGATTGGGAACAAGACAAGTGTGCACCATTCTAGCCATTCAGGACTGAAAATCTGAGCCTGAGCAATTGGCAAGAAAAAAATATATAAAAGGTACCTTAATCATAAAAAAAGTTAAATAGTCTCTGTTTGTAGATGACATAATCTTATATGTGCCCTAAAGGAAGCAATAGATAGATAGATGATAGATAGATAGATAGATAGATAGATAGATAGATAGATAGATAGATAGACAGATGACATCTGTATGTGCTGAGTGTGTGTGTATATATGTTTCTTATATATAACTCTAAAGATTCCACGACAAAACTGTTAGAGCTAATAAACAAATTCATTAATCTTGAAGGATACAAAATTGACACACAAGAATCAGTGGCTTTTCTATACACTAATAATGTAATACACTAATAATGTAAAAAGATATCAAGAGAATAGTTCTATTTACAATAGCTACAAAAATACTTAGGAATGAATTTAATCAGAGGTAATATATCTGCACGCTGAACATTTTTTATTATTATACTTTAAGTTTTAGGGTACATGTACACAATGTGCAGGTTAGTTACATATGTATACATGTGCCATGCTGGTGTGCTGCACCCATTAACTCGTCATTTAGCATTAGGTGTATCTCCTAATGCTATCCCTCCCCACTCCCCCAACCCCACAACAGTCCCCCTTCCTGTGTCCATGTATTCTCATTGTTCAATTCCCACCTATGAGTGAGAACATGTTGTGCTTGGTTTTTTGTCCTTGCGATAGTTTACTGAGAATGATGATTTCCAATTTCATCCATGTCCCTACAAAGGACATGAACTCATCATTTTTTATGGCTGCATAGTATTCCATGGTGTATATGTGCCACATTTTCTAATCCAGTCTATCATTGTTGGACATCTGGGTTGGTTCCAAGTCTTTGCTATTGTGAATAGTGCCACAATAAACATACGTGTGCATGTGTCTTTATAGCAGCCTGATTTATAGTCCTTTTGGTATATAACCAGTAATGGGATGGCTGGGTCAAATGGTATTTCTAGTTCTAGATCCCTGAGGAATCGAAGGACATGAACAGACACTTCTCAAAAGAAGACATTTATGCAGCCAAAAAACACATGAAAAAATCGTCACCATCACTGGCCATCAGAGAAATGTAAATCAAAACCACAATGAGATACCATCTCACACCAGTTAGAATGGCAATCATTAAAAAGTCAGGAAACAACAGGTACTGGAGAGGATGTGGAGAAATAGGAACAGTTTTACACTGTTGGTGTGACTGTAAACTAGTTCAACCATTGTGGAAGTCACGCTGAACATTATAAACATTGATAAAAGAAATTGAAGAAGACACAGATAAATGAAAAGATATCTTGTGTTAATGGATTGGAAAAATTAATATGTTTGAATTTTTTATAATCCAAAGGGATGTATAGATTCAATGTAATCACTATCAAAATTGAAATAAACATTTTTCACAGAAATAGAAAAAACACTATAAAATTTATATGAATCCACAAAAGAACCTGAATAGCCAAAGCAATCTTGAACAAATAGAACAAAACTGGAAGTATGAGCGTACTTGATTTTTAAATATATTACAAAGCTATATAGTTATCAAAACAGCATGGTACTGGCATAAAAACAAACACACAGACAAGTGGAATAGAATGAGGAGCCAGAAATAAATCCACACATTTCTGGTAAATTGATTTTTGACAAAGGTTTCAAGAATACACAACAGAGGAAGGAAAACCTTTTCAGTAAATGGTGCTGGAACGACAGGATATCCAAACGCAGAAAAAATGAAATTCTACACTCATTTCATACTGTATGCAAAAGTCAACTCAATTTAAAGACTTAAGCATAAGAGCTGAAGTTATAAAATATCTAGAAGAAAATGCAGGAGAAAATCTTCATGATATTGATCTGGGCAACAATTTCTTGGATATGACCCTAAATGCACAGGCAACAAAAGCAAAAATACGTAAATAGATTGCATCAAAATAAGAAGCTTCTGCACAGCCAAGGAAACAACACAGTAAAAAGACAACCTACAAAATGGGAGAAACTATTTGCAAAGCATGCACCTAATAAGGAATTAACATCCAACATATGTAAGAATCTCACACAGCTCAATAGCAAGAAAACATATAATTGTTTAAAAAATTAGCAGAGGTCTTGAATAGGCATTTTTCAAAAGAACACATATAAACGTTCAAAAGGAATATGAAAAATGCTCCACATAACTAATCAATCATCCAGGAAATGCAAATTAAAATCACAACATACCACTTCATCCTTGATGGAATGCCTATTATCCAAAAGATGAAAGTTAACAAGTATTAGCCAGGTTGTGAAGAAAAGGGAACACTTATATGCTGTTGGTAGGGATGTAAGTTGGTTCAGTCATACGGAAAACAGTGTGGAGGTTCCACAAATATTAAAACTAGAACTACCATATGATCCAGCAATCCTATTACTGGGCATACATTCAAAGGATATGATATAAGTATGTCAAAGACATGTATGCACTCCCATGTTTATTGCAGAATTATTTGCAGCATCCAAGACACGGAAACAACCTAAGTGTCTATCAAGTGATGAATGGATAAAGAAAATGTGGTATATATGCAAGCAAAACAATATTCAGGCTTAGAAAAGAAGGAAATCCTAAAATTTGTAACAACATCTATGACCCTGTGTGGGGAAAAGAAAGAGAGATCAGATTGTTACTGTGTCCGTGTAGAAAGAAGTAGACATAGGAGACTCCATTTTGTTCTGTACTAAGAAAAATTCTTCTGCCTTGAGATGCTGTTAATCTGTAACCTTACCCCCAACCCCGTGCTCTCTGAAACATGTGCTGTGTCAACTCAGGGTTAAATGGATTAAGGGCTGTGCAAAACGCGCTTTGTTAAACAGATGCTTGAAGGCAGCATGCTCCTTAAGAGTCATCACCACTCCCTAATCTCAAGTACCCAGAGACACAATACACTGCGGAAGGCCGCAGGGACCTCTGCCTAGGAAAGCCAGGTATCGTCCAAGGTTTCTTCCCATGTGATAGTCTGAAATATGGCCTCATGGGAAGGGAAAGACCTGACCATCCCCCAGCCCGACACCCATGAAGGGTCTGTGCTGAGGAGGATTAGCATAAGAGGAAGGAACACCTCTTTGCAGTTGAGACAAGAGGAAGGCATCTGTCTCCTGCCCGTCCCTGGGCAATGGAATGTCTCGGTATAAAAGCCCATTGTATGTTCCATCTACTGAAATAGGGGAAAACCACCTTAGGGCTGGAGGTGGGACATGTAGGCAGCAATACTGCTCTGTAAGGCATTGAGATGTTTATGTGTATGCATATCTAAAGCACAGCACTTAATTCTTTACCTTGTTCATGAGGCAGAGACCTTTGTTCACTTGTTTATCTGCTGACCTTCTCTCCACTATTATCCTATGACCCTGCCACATCCCCCTCTCCGAGAAACACCCAAGAATGATCAATAAATACTAAAGGAACTCAGAGGCCAGCGGGATCCTCCATATTGCTGAACGCTGGTCCCCTGGGCCCCCTTATTTCTTTCTCTATACTTTGTCTCTGTGTCTTTTTCTTTTCCAAGTCTCTCATTTCACCTAACAAGAAACACCCCCAGCTGTGGAGGGGCAACCCACCCCTTCACCCTGGAAGACATTAAGTTAAGTGAAACAAGCCAGGCACAGAAAGACAAACATCCCATGATCTCACTTATATGTGGAATCTAAAACAAAATTTAAACTCATAGAAACAGACAGTAGAATAGTGGCTCAACCAGAGACTGGGTTGTGGGATTATTTGGGAGATTTTGGTCAAAGAACATGAAGTTTCAGTTAGATAGAAGGAATAAGTTCAAGAGATCCATTGTACATTATGATGACTATAGTTGACAACAATATATTGTATTCTTGAAAATTTATCAGTGAGTAAATTTTACGTGTTCTTACCGCACCTAAAAACATGATAATTATATGAGGTAATAAATATGTTGATTAGCTTGATTTAGCCATTCCACGGTGTATACATATATTAAAATATGTTGCACATAATAAATGCATACATTTTTATTTGTCCATATAAAATAAGATTACTAACACAGAATAAATATTAATATTTTGCATGAATAGAATAGTTATCAGTGTTTATTGTGGAAAATAATTTCAGCAATAGTATGTATGACTATCACACAAAAATCTCATAATTCATCTCTAGTTCTCTTTCTATACCCTCCTGAGTACTGACTGTTGCCTTTAAAATGTCACCAATTTGATAGGTAAAATACAGTGTTACATTTTCCATAATGGCATAAAGGATATTTTAATAATCCCCATTGACTGTGTACTGCCAGTCTCTGAGGAATGTAATAACAATGAAATTAGTTTTCTCCTTTATGCCTCTGTGCCTTTCTTTTTTTTTTTTTTTTTTTATTATACTCTAAGTTTTAGGGTACATGTGCACATTGTGCAGGTTAGTTACATATGTATACATGTGCCATGCTGGTGCGCTGCACCCACTAATGTGTCATCTAGCATTAGGTATATCTCCCAATGCTATCCCTCCCCCCTCCCCCGACCCCACCACAGTCCCCGCCTCTGTGCCTTTCAAACCCAGAGCAGAACATAAAATCACTAGATGGTGAAGATTAAGTATCCAGGATTTCATAATGGTGTTACTTCTTAAAGGTAACTGTAAACTGGTAGGTTACATAATCCTGATATATTAATTACTCTACATACATAATATGTCTATCACACTATTGGCATTTACAATATTATATAGGATCATAAGTAATAAAACACAAATCCCAAAATCATAACTAAAGAAAGGGCTAAAAAGGGGAAAATTTAATTGCAAAGAATTATATTTTATTGCAATTAATAAAAAAGAAAACTTGTAATTTTGTATTTGGAGTTAAGAAAATAATCTAGCAATCTAGGCCAAATAAGACATTCTTAGAGAACGAGGGTCTTAGTATGTTTAAATTTTTTGGCTTCACTGATCATATTGAATTTTATTCTTTCAATTATTGCTAAATATGAAGAAATTCACATAGCTGCTTAGGGATGGAATTATTTTTAAAGAGGGATAAATAACAGGACTACAAGGATAAAATGCCTCATCCTTAGTTTCATTCTTTCTTTTTTTGTTGTTATTATTATACTTTAAGTTTTAGGGTACATGTGCACAATGTGCAGATTAGTTACATACGTATACATGTGCCATGCTGGTGTGCTGCACCCATCAACTTGTCATTTAGCATTAGGTATATCTCCTAATGCCATCCCTCCCCCCTCCCCCCACCCCACAACAGTCCCCAGAGTGTGACGTTCCCCTTCCTGTGTCCATGTGTTCTCATTGTTCAATTCCCACCTATGAGTGAGAATATGCGGTGTTTGGTTTTTTGTCCTTGTGATAGTTTACTGAGAATGATGATTTCCAATTTCATCCATGTCCCTACAAAGGACATGAACTCAACATTTTTTATGGCTGCATAGTATTCCATGGTGTATATGTGCCACATTTTCTTAATCCAGTCTATCATTGTTGGACATCTGGGTTGGTTCCAAGTCTTTGCTATTGTGAATAGTGCCGCAATAAACATACGTGTGCATGTGTCTTTATAGCAGCATGATTTTAGTCCTTTGGTTATATACCCAGTAATGGGATGGCTGGATCAAATGGTATTTCTAGTTCTAGACCTCTGAGGAATCGCCACACTGACTTCCACAATGGTTGAACTAGTTTACAGTCCCACCAACAGTGTAAAAGTGTTCCCATTTCTCCACATCTTCTCCAGCACCTGTTGTTTCCTGACTTTTTAATGATTGCCATTCTAACTGGTGTGAGATAGTATCTCATTGTGGTTTTGATTTGCATTTCTCTGATGGCCAGAGATGGTGAGCATTTTTTCATGTGTTTTTTGGCTGCATAAATGTCTTCTTTTGAGAAGTGTCTGTTCATGTCCTTCGCCCACTTTTTGATGGGGTTGTTTGTTTTTTTCTTCTTTTTACTCTGTGTTCTCAATAGGCTAATAATCCTTAGTAGAGTATACAAAATTTGTTTAGAAAGCAAAACTTCAAACATTTCTTGGGTACCACAATGGTTTTGTAAGAATTCAACATCAATTGAAATATTAAAACCAGCCAGGAACCGTGGCTCACTCCTGTAATCCCAGCACTTTGGGAGGCCGAGGCGGGCAGATCACGAGGTCAGGAGATCGAGACTATCGTGGCTAACACAGTGAAACCTCGTCTCTACTAAAAATACAAAAAAATTAGCCAGGTGTGGTGTTGGGTGCCTGTAGTCCCAGCTACTCAGGAGGCTGAGGCAGGAGAATGGTGTGAACCCAGGAGGCGGACTTGCAGTGAGCCGAGATTGTGGCACTGCACTCCAGCCTGGGCAACAGAGCAAGACTCCGTCTCAAAAAAAAAAAAAAAACCAATAGTGAAAGTCTCATCACCACTCTTTCTCTCTCTACAGTCCAATATTTAGTAAAAGGAGATTATCTATGTTAAGAATTAGTCAATATTCTATGAATTTCTCCATGAGCCTTGCTCAGTGTAGACATTGTTTATTTTGATTTACTTTAGTAAAAACATTTAATCATCACATTAATTATAAATGTTAACATTCATGTAATCAAATGAAAATAATTTAAATTGCTTTAAGTGTCATCTATCATAGTTTCATTTTCTAAAAGTGAGTTTGCCCAAAAACACCCAAACTATGAGTTAGGACTTCCAAAGAAAGCCCATTCTAGAGAAAGTTCAAAGGGCTGATGTACTTGATGAATTCACTGTCTGCTTAAACAATGAGAGAATTAGTCCTTGCTCTGACCTCTAGGGGAAGCAGGTATGTTTGTTTTAATAACTCCATCTTGGTGTTTATCACCAGCCTGCATCTTATGTATCTATTTCCTGTCTCCTTCTTTTTTTAAAATCTGCAAATTATTGCCATGCATTTTTACTGGAAGTAAAAAAGATAACCAATATACATTCAGAATCTCACTGTTTCTACATGTCTTTGAAGAAGCCACTAGTCAGCCAAAACTGGCAGGTTTAAATAGCAGTGCTGATAACAAATTATAATATATACATTGATTAAAAATAAAACATTTTATGTAAAACATAACTAAATGAAAATCATATTATTCTGATCATGAGGGAAATAGTAATATATAATTTTGGTCAACTAGCATCTGAAAATGTGTATCTAGTTACAGTAAGAAGCAGAAGAGCCACTGTTCTGCTTCGGTTCTACAAATTGAACTTGTTTTTAAAATATAAACTTGGATTAGTTTAATCCACAGGGGATAAAAGAGAAAATAATTTATAACATGGTAAAGTAATGAAAATTATGTTATTCCTTTGCTAAATTTAGCATCTGTGATTAGTCTGACATTTAATCTAATAATGACTTATTAGAAAGTAAAAAAATAACAGATTTTGGTGAGGTTGTGGAGAAAAAGGAAATGCTTATACATTGTTGATGAGAATGTAAATTAGTTCAGCCACTGTGGAAAGCAGTTTGGATATTTCTCAAATACCTTAGAACAGAACTACCATTCACCCAGCACTCTCATTACTGGGTATATACTCAAAAGAAAATAAATTGTTTTACCAAAAATATATGCATTTGCATTTAATCACAGCACTATTCACAACAGCAAAGACATATAATCAACCTAGGTGCCTGTTAACAGTGGACCAGAAAAAGAAAATATGGTTCATATAAACCATAGAATAGTATGCAGCCATAAGAAAGAATGAAATCATTTCCTCTGCAGCAACATGCATGTAGCTGGAAGCCATTATCCTAAGTGAATTAATGCAGGAACAGAAAAACCATATACTGCATGTTCTCACTTATATGTGGGAGCTAAACATTGAGTACACACAGACGGAAACAACAGACTCTGGGATGGGAATAATAGACACTGGAGACATATAGAGGGAGGATGATGGGCAATGGGTAAGGGTTGAAAGATTACCTATTGTGTAGTATGCTAACTACCTAGGTGATAAGATCATCTGTACCCCAAATATCAGCAACACACAATTTATCCATGTAATAAATCTGCACATGTACCTCCTGAAACTAAAAGTTGAAAAAAAAGAAAATGAGAATCACTGAGTTATTTTAATATTTAATTTGCTTACTTATATTTTAATTTTCATAGTTTGAGTATTTGTTTTAATTCAGAAAACATTTAGGGATAGTCTACGACTATATCACCCTGAATGCAGCTGATTTTAGAAGCTAAGCAAGGTCAGGCCTGGTTAGTACTTGGATGGGAGAAAACAGTTGTGAATGACCAAATGAGATAAATGGCTAAATCAATTGATTCTTTTTTATTTCCCTTTACTCTCCACTTGTATTCTTGACTGAACACATATAACCTCTTAGTTAATGGAATTGTCTAGCCATACTGCTAATATATTCACTTTTTATAATTTTGCCACCCAAGTACTATCCCTTATTTTCTAAACCCACTAGCGCTTTTTAACCTACATCTAAAAGGGTTCTTTTTCTATTTTATTAACTTGATAAATATATCAGAACAAAGTTTTCTTGCACTTATAATGTTGAGAATATTTCTATTGAATATACAAGTGTATTACAATATTTATAGTGGTTATTTTGGCAGCAAATATAATTTTTTGCTTTCCAAACATTTTTCTTGGTGATAAGTGAACATTATCCATAGATTAATCCATATATGGCTTAACACTTTCATGAAAAGGAAACATAACAAAAACTTATGACCAATAGAAGCCATGCAGCCCTTGTTGTTATAAAAATAACTGTCAGTTATACCTTTCCACATATGCCAACTACTATTTTAGTGCTTTTGTAGAAATGTATTACTTGTTACCAAACATATGCCCACAGTACTGGACATCCTATTCTTTTCATTCTTAAATAAGCAACGAGTTAAAAGAAGTGTAGTAATGCTACATCTTTTAGCCACCTGAAAGGCACTGAAAGAGCTAGGTCCTCCAGTCATAAGCCATTCATCCCATTCTCAGACTGGGATGAAAATGCTAGAGAGTTACAAATGCTATTTGATCCAGAGAGAGAGAGAAATAAAATGCTATTTGATCCAATTTAATTCAGTTATTTTGTATTCCTTTTTAGTAAACTGTTAATTGTATAACATGTAATACTCAAAAATTAAAATTTTTTATTTGAAGTTTAACTGTGCCTTAAGGAGATCTGTTTTCTTTTGCTTTGTTTAACTTATTTTTAGCACTGATTTTAAAATGAACATTTTTTAAAATATTTAATCTTTGGCCATGTACACAAATTGTCATAATGAATGATTTTATCCATAACAATGTATTTTAATCCATTTAAATATAGACTTAGCTGGATATTTTTAAAAATATGCTTACAAAAATTCAAAAAAGCCTAAACAGTAATAAATATAATTTTATGGTCTTAATTTTCTTATTTTACATATTAAACTAAAAAAAATTACTGTGTGAGACTCCTCAAGAATTTCTCCTGTTAGTATTTGGAGATTAAAGGTGCATAATTTTGAAAAACAATTTCATACCTACTATGCAGATTCAATTACTGCCTGAAAGCAGATGCTAAAGATGATAATTTTAATCTTTTATAAAGTAGTCAACTACACAGTTCTACCAATTATATTTAATAGAGAAAAATAATTTCATTGACACTAAGTCTTCTTTACCATTCTTCCAAAGTAAAGTTCTGTGGTCCATATTGGTTTGGGTAACTTTATAGTTACCAGAAAATGGGGTAATTCTAAAGAATAGAATTTCATTAATGAACATGCATAGCACCTGTATGTATACGATTAAATGCATAAATATATTTCATATATGTTACCCTTTAGAACCTCCTACCAATCTGTGAGGTTAAAGATTGGGTATTATTTTATTTTTACAGGAAAAAATCCATGTTCAAAAGAGTTAGGAGTGTATTTCCCTATTAAATGCTGAGGCCAGGACTAGAATTTAAATGTTGGCATTTCAGGTTTTCCTTTTAACTTAGATATTTAAGCCAAATAATGTATTCTGAATATCTGATGAGCTATTAAGCCATGAAATTGAAATATAGAATAGATTTTCTTTTTTCTCTTCTGGTGCTCCAGAACTAGAATGTGGTATAAATATGTTCATTTGCATCTGTGTACGTCTCTTTTCTCTCTCTCTCTCTCCCCCTCTCTCTATGTGTGTGTGTGTATGTATGTGATGTTTACTAATAATTGTCATAAAAATAAAAGAGAAGGAAAAGGAAGCTAGGATTAAATTTCTGAATCAAATCTAAACGGAAGATATTAGGTTGGTGCAAAACCGCAATTACTTTTGCACCAACCTAGTGGAAGTGAGCCGAAAGTGTCAGCTCAATGTGGGAAGACATATAGAATACAAGTGTCAAGGATGTAAGAGCCAGTAAAATAGTCAGGAGGCAGTTTGCATGTGTGTGAAATATCAGAGGAAAGCACTGGGTACAGGAAGATATGCATTTAAAAGCCAAGGAAACACAAACATAAAGGATTGTTGGTTGCTCAGAGACTGTCTACAAAACACAGATTGCAAAGGGACAAGAAAGAAAGCACTCCAGCCAGGAGCCCAACAACATGAGATTCAGGAAAATAAGCAAGAGGTCTGCACAGTAATGGTAGGAGTTTTGTACAGTAACCAAATTATGACACAAAATACTACACTAAAAGAAAAAAAAATACATCTGGACCCTGGGAAACATTTTTGATTTTATCTAGAAACTTTCTAGAAAGTTAACATTTTAAAATAATTATAAAAGCATGGGGTGAACAGTAAGAACATATGCCAGACTGCAGCCAGCTTAAAGCTTCAGAAATAAGTGAAATCATTGGTATATCATTTGGGGATAAAAGAGAGAGGTAAGAGTATAGTATAGCAGATAGAAGAAAGTGCCATAAAATAATGTGTTAAACTGGGTGTATTAGTAAACTCACTTGCACATGTATGAATGCTTCAAATTAGAGAGAGGGAAAAGAATGAATACTAGGCACCAAAAAGCTAAGCAACTTTGCTCTTATCCACTCTTGGACTAACTCATTTGGCTAATAGTTATTTGACTAATTTTACTCATGGACCTATTGAACTCATGCATCAAGAACTCATGAACTCATCATAGAGACAATAAATGCACGTGGAGACAAAAATCTATGTCTGCAAACCATAATTACAGAATTTTATAATATATTTCTCATCTTTTGTGCCTTTCTGATTGAAGAAAATACAATAATGTCAATGACACTTGAATTAATTAAATTGTATTTTTCATATATGTTCATCTTCTCTCTTTCTGTAGGAATCAAATACTTTCTATATGTCCATATCTTCAAAATGGTCACAGGTAAAATTATAACTTTTTTCAGACTATCTTTATTTCAAATAGCTTTTGAAAACTACCAGATGGATATAAGAAACAGCTCAATAATAATCTGAGTTTGTTTTGTTAGAATTCATCAGCACTTGGGAACTTGAAATTTTGTTTCTTAAATATTTTTGTTGGCCTATGCAGCAATCATGGCAGGAAACCTCACTGCAATCGCTGTAACCTCCAATCCTCCCCTTTGCTCAACACCTATGTACTTCCTCCTTGGAAATCTCTCCTTTCTCAGTATGTTTATTTCCACAGTCACAATCTCTAAGATGGTCCAGACGTTCTCAGGGAGAATAAAACCACTTCCTCATGGGGCTGTATGGCTCAGATCTCCACTTCTTAGGAGGCAGTGAGATGACTCTTCTCATATTTATGGCTGTTGATCAGCACATTGCAATATGCAGACCTCTTCACTGCAGAACCATCACGAACTGCAGGGTACTCATGGCCACTCATGGGCTCTGTGCTGCTATCACGGGCTGTTGGTTTTGTGCATACTATAAGCCAGATTGTTTTTATTATCACCTTGCCCTTCTGTGGCCCCAGTGTGGTGGACAATTTATTTTGAGACCTTCCTCTAGTTCTGAAGCTTGCCTGCACTGAGACTTATGATCTGGAGTTGCTGGTAATTGCTAAAAGTGGACAGTTGTCTTTCATCTGCTTCATAGTCTTGCTCATTTTCTACACTATTATTCTGGTAACTGTGCAGCATCGATCCTCTGATGCACTCTCCAAGGCTCTGTCCACACTGTCTGCTCATATCACTGCAGTCACTCTATTTTTATGAGCCATGTGTCTACATTTACACTTGGCCATTTAGGAGCTTTTCAGTGGATACATTTCTTTCTGTGTTTTATTCAGTTACACCCTTACTGAACCCCATTACTTACAGTCTGAGATGAAAGCATCTATACATCAACTGAGGACCCAACACATCATCTCCAGACAAACCTTCTCTAATCAGCAATCATGAGGACAGGATATTAGTTCAGAACCCATATAAATTACGTTTCAGAATATGTTGATATTAATTTTATTTGTTGATTTCTATAAATAATATTGCATATATTGAAATTATCAAATATAATTTTTCATTATTATATTTCTATGGCATGTGTGGTTTTGTTGAAAATATAATTATCAGCCTGGGAACTCCATTACTGGGTATATACCCAAAGGAATATAAGCCATTCTATTATAAAGATACATGCATGCATATGTTCATTGCAGCACTATTGACAATAACAAAGACATGGAGTCAACCTAATTTCCCATCAATGAGAGACTGGGATTTAAAAAATGTGGTATATATACACCATAGGATACTATAGAGCCATAAAAAAGCAATGAGATCATGTCCTTTGTAAGGACATGGATGGAGATGGAGGCCATTATCCTTAGCAAACTAACACAGGAACAGAAAACCAAACACTGCATGTTCTCACTTAAAAGCAAAAGAGAACACATGGACACATAGAGGGGAACAACACACACTGGGCCTTTTGGAGGGTGGAGGGTGGGAGGAGGGAGAAAATCAGGAAACAAAACTAATGAGTACTAGGCTTAATACCTGAGTGATGGAATAATCTGTACAACAAACCCCCATGACATAAGTTCACCTATGAAACAAACCTGCACTTGTACCCCGACCTTAAAATATTTTTGAAAAAAAAAGCATAGTTATTTTCATTAACTTTCAATTCAAATTTGGGTTAATAAATTACTTTCAAAATATAATAAAAAGTTAACTAGAAAAACTGGCTTCTTAACTATATTTAGAGACTCCATGTATCTAAGACTTTCCTTAAATAAGAGAAATCAAATATAAATTTGTCTACTTTTAACTAGTAATCTTTCAGCCAAATTCTCTAAATGACCAAATGTAAACAAAGTTGTGTGAACTCTTATAAACCCACAAGCATGAACACACACACTTACATTTTTGTGCCCCTAATATGTGAAAGGATTATTATTTTTTAACAAGGCAGACAGGCTAGTTTTTATGAGTATATAGATGCATATAGTTACTGTAATCCACTGACATGAAGCATACACTTCTTCACTCTAAAGAGAAATTTCACCTGACAAAAAATTACACATAGAACATTTTAATCTTTCATGTTTTTGTTCATATTTTCTCTCATATATCTCTCCAGAAACAAGTAAGAACATTATTATTCTGCCAATTCACATGAGTAAAGAATAAATTAAGAAGCCTATATATTTTCCAGGCATTCCCTTCACAACAAAACAAAGTTTTCAATCTGATTAAGTTGCATAAAGAAAGCTTTAAAGTGTACTAAATTATAAAGTTAGATCTACGGTCCATGGACATTAGAATAAATACACATTCTATGACCTGTTTGGCATCAAATTCAAAATGCTCTGCTTTTACCCAAACATCTACTGACCCCTTAGAGGATTCTACCCGGTATTTCCTCACTGTCTCCTAAGTAATATGTATGCTATGTTAACTAGAGCTAAAAGGTGCCTTAAAGATGTATTCATAGCCATATGTGTATGGTATATTTTAAATTAAATGTTTTTTAAAAAATCATTGAGACACATTGGTACTGGGTCCCTTGGAATCACTGGACATATTTATATCTATTTCTTATCAACTATTTAAATTATAAGGTTAAATGTAGATACTGACATAACACATAATTTTTTGAATTTTTAAACATTTTGACACATTTGTATCAGATTCTCTTTTACCACCAAAGTGGATTATTAGAGATAATAAAGAACCTAAGCAACCCTCCATATTCAATTATTTTATCTTGGCAAAGATAACCACTATCATCAGCTCCATGGCATCATTTACTTTTATGTTTTTAAAATTATTATTATTTTGAGACGGAGTCTGGCTCTGTCGCCAAGGCTAGAGTGCAGTGGCACAATCTCGACTCACTGCAACCTCAGCCTGCCAGATTCAAGCAATTCTCCTGTCTCAGCCTCTCGAGTAGCTGGGATTACAGGCATGCACCACCACACCCAGCTAATTTTTGTATTTTTAGTAGAGACAAGGTTTCACCATGTTGGCCAGGCTTGTCTTGAACTCCTGACCTCAAATGATCCGCCTGCCTCTGCCTCCCAAAATGCTGAAATTACAGGTGTGAGCCACCACGACCAGCCTAAAATTATTTTTCTGATGTATGCATGCATTGTGCATAAAATGTTATGTCACATATTTTTGAACTTGATTTAACTGAAATCTAGATAAATGCTTTTATCTAAAAATTTATTTTCACTTAATCTTATGTTTAAAATATTTATCTGTTCAGAAATGTGCCATTCTGCTTCGTTCATTTTAGCAGCTATAGGGTCTTGTATGGATATGCTAAAATGTGATTAAGTCTCCTCTTTTTTGGAGACATTTATAATCTTTATAATTGTTTAGCCTAATAAATACGGTTTAGTTGAACATACTTATATATGTTTCTTTGGGTACACACGTGATAATTTCTCTAGGGTATGTACTTAGAACTGGAAATGCTGAATTATATTTTATCTTTAAATGTAAATGTGTAATATAAATATTTACATTTTAATTTTATTAGAAATTGCCAAATTTCCATACAAAGTTGTAGATATGCATACTCTTGAGGAGTCCTAATTTTTCCATGACCTTCTTATTGTGATTGCAGGATTTTTAAGTTACCCCCTTAATTTCACTAAATGCTACTGAGTGTCTCCAGAACGACTTAACCAGTCTACTTGCAATTGCAGAGCAATAGTTCCCATCACTTTATAAAATTTAGCTTTCATCATTTTTCTAAATTTTGTTTTGCCGTGTAAATAATACTTTGTTGCTTTAATTTGTTTTATTGTTGTTGTTGTTGTTTGTTGGTTTAGATTACCAGTGAGTTTGGAACCTGTCTCTCATATCTATTAGCTATTCGAGCTTCAGTTCTGTGATTTGTTCTTTCATGACCTTCATCACTTAAAATGTGTTTTCTGTACTTTTCTTGTTATTTGAATCCTGTAGATCTGCACTGTCCAATATGGTATCTATTATCATATGTGGCCATTTAGATGGTAATTTAAATACATATTTAAAAAGTAAAATTGACATTTTAGTTCACTAACATTAGCCTCTTTTCAAGTGTTCAGTAGCCATAGAGGCTACTATGAGATAAGACCAATTTAGAACATTCCCATCCTTGTAGAAATTCTTTTTGACAAATAATCTTGTCAATTTATTACATTTTTTTTAATCTACTACTGTTTGTTAATTTTGCCCCTAGTATTCGTCTTTGGATAGAATGTTTATAGTGTCATTATTTATTAAAATGTTTCTTTTTATTCATTTTTAAAAGATTTGTTTATAGATGTTCTTCTCTTAACTTAGGTTGCAAAGATATTTTATTCTATTATTATTCTATTATATTTTTGCATTTTGTTGTTAAATGTTTCTAAATACACATTTGTATACAAGGAAGGTAGCAACCTAACTTTATCTCCTTTTAGTAAACCACTATTTCCAACAACATCACCAATTTGATCTTGATCGCTTTGATTGGTCATCATATATCATATATGTCTGTGTGTGTATCTCAGCTAAGATATGTGTACATAATCATATATGACCTGTGTTTTCTATTCAGTGCCATTTATATGTCTTCTGTTTTATTATTATATTATTTTTATTACTATCACTTTGTAGGTGATTTAATATTTAGCTGATATGTTCATCTTTTTCATTATTCTACTCAAAGTTGACATAGCAAAGAATGTATCTTTAAATATGTTCGTTTTACTATAATTTTTTAAAAGGTAGATAAATTGTTATTAGTATATACATTTGGGGTAATATTGGCATCATTGCCATGCTATGCCATCTCATATACCAGCATGAGCATGAGCATATTCTTCCATTTATTCAAATAACAATTTATATCCTCTAACAGAGTTTCAAAAGTTTCTCCTTAATATTCCCCCTTTATTTTCAACTTGCAAATATTATTTTGCTTTAAGTTTGCCTGTTATAGGTAATTAATGGGACTTCTATTTTGCTATAATATAAATATTATTTAATATGAGTTTTATATGTTTACATAAAGATATATAATACAGATATACATTTATGATATTCATATATATGTGGCTGTATACACAGCATATAAAATTGTATTTCTATACATATTATATTGTTAATTTCATGTATCCACTTGGCTGTCCCATGATGCCCAGGTATTTGGTCAAACATTACTCTGGATATTTCCGTGAGGATGTCTTTTGGAGGACATTAACATTTAAATTAATTGACTTTGAATAAAGCAGACGACTCTCCATAATTTGAGTGGCCCTCATCCAAACAGTTAAAGGCCTTATTAGAACAAAGACTGACCTTCCCTGAGAATCCTGCCTTTACATTCAAACCACAGCTCTTCCCTCAGTTGCCAACCTGCAGACCTAGCCCATCAGATTTTGGACTCATGGAGTCTCCACAATCACATGAGCCAGTGAGTCAATTCCTCAGATATCTCTCTGTGTCCGTCTGTCTGTCTGTCTCTCTTTGTATACACCACATACACATATATAATTTTATGTCAGAACTGTGAGAGTAACTTAAACACATGATGCCCTTTTACCCCTTCCTCAGTGTGTATTGCCTAAAACTCTGTAACTTTTTAAATCAGAAAATTTACATTAATATTTTAAATGAATATCTAATCTATAGCCCTTATTAAATTGAGAGGTGTCAGCATGCTGGCAGCCCTTGCTCGCTCTCGGTGCCTCCTCGGCCTCGGCGCCCACTCTGGCCGTGCTTGAGGAGCCCTTCAGCCCGCCTCTGCACTGTGGGAGCCCCTGTCTGGGCTGGCCAATGCCAGAGCTGGCTCCCTCAGCTTGTGGGGAGGTGTGGAGGGAGACGGGGCGGGGGGAGGGTGGGAGGGAACCGGGGCTGTGCCCTACGCTCGCGGGCCAGAGTGACTTCTGGGTGGGCATGGGCTTGGCGGGCCCTGCACTCAGAGTGGCCAGCCCGCACCGCCGCCCCGGGCAGTGAGGGGCTTCGCACCTGGGCCAGCAGCTGCAGCAGGTGCTCCAGGTCCCCCAGCAGTGCTGGCCCACCGTTGCTGTGCTCTAATTCTCGCCAGGCCTCAGCTGCCTCCCCATGGGGCAGGGCTCGGGACCTGCAGCCTGCCATGCCTAAGCCTCCCCGAGCCCCCCACACCATTCCCCCCACTCCCCCCACTCACCCGCTCCCCTGCTCCTGCTCCACGGCACACAGTCCCATCGACCGCCCAAGGGCTGAGGAGTGCGGGCGCACAGCGTGGGACTGGCGGGCAGCTCCACCTGCAGCTGGGTGCGGGATCCACTAGGTGAAGCCAGCTGGGCTCCTGAGTCTAGTGGGGACTTGGAGAACCTTTATGTCTAGCTCAGGGTTTGTAAATACACCAATCAGCACTCTGTGTCTAGCTCAAGATTTGTAAATGCACCAATCAGCATTCTGTACCTAGCTAATCTAGTGGGGACTTGGAGAACCTTTATGTCTAGCTCAGGGATTGTAAACGCACCAATCAGCACCTTGTCAAAACAGACTAATCGGCTCTGTAAAATGCACCAATCAGCAGGATATGGGTGGGGCCAGATAAAGGAATAAAAGCATGCTGCCCAAGCCAGCAGTGGCAACCTGCTGGGGTCCCCTTCCACACAGCGGGAGCTTTGTTCTTTTGCTCTTTGCAATAAATCTTGCTGCTGCTCACTCTTTGGGTCCGCACTGCTTTTATGAGCTGTAACACCGAGAAGGTCTGCAGCTTCACTCCTGAGCCAGAGAGACCACGAACCCACCAGAAGGAAGAAACTCCAGACACACTGCCTTTAAGAACTGTAACACTCACCGCAAGGGTCTGCGGCTTCATTCTTGAAGTCAGTGAGAAAAAGAACCCACCAATTCCGGACACAAAATGTTGTTGTCAATTACATAAATAAAACCCTTTTAAAAAAGAAAAAATATCTGGTCCAGGTTCACAAATTACATTTCATTGCCATATCTCTTTATTATACGTTAATATTCAACAATTCCTCGATTTTTCCTTAACACTTATGACATTGACATTTTTTATAAGTGCAGACAATGGAATTTGTAGAATCTGTACATTTGAGTTTGTCAGTGTTCCTTCATGATTAGATTCAAACTTTTCATCTGGGGTAGTTTCTGGTGACGTGTTCTTCTCAGGGGTTTATATCAGGAGTATATGATGTTGATTTGTCCCATTGCTTGTAGTAACAAGTTTGATAACTTCAGTAAGGTGTTTTCTGCCAGGTATCACCCTTAAAGTTACTATTTTTCCTTTGTAATTCACAAGTGCTATTCAGCTAAATATTTTGAGACTGTATAAATACTATGTTCCTTATAAAAATTGTATTCACTAGTTTTAGTAGCCATGGATGGTTCCTGCTTGAATTAATTATTAAAATGATGATTTCCAAATGGTTCTTTTCTAATTCCATAATTTGATTTATATTTATCAGTTATTACTCTACAAAGAAAGAGTTTTAATTTTATCGTATTTATTTATTTACTCATATATCCATTTATATCTGCATGGACTTTTTCCTGTTTTTCTACAGTTCAGAATCTGTTACCAAAATTATTACAATGCTCAAATTGTTCTATATTTGGATAGTAGGTTCCCATTCAAGTTGGCATGTCAAAAGTCTCCCCTTGTTGAACCAAAGTTACTTAACTGCACAAAAAGACGTTCCAGACTTATTTTGTACTTTCCCCACCCCAGTCCTGAAGTTAGCTATGTCTCTAAGGAATACTAGTTTCTTGCAGTGGATAATGTTTATTTGAAACCAAGGTTCTGGAACTTGAGATCATTGCTACTGTGATGTCACTTCTTCTAGATCCACTTAGAGGAGAGAGTTAAAAAAAAATATGAGTGTTTGTATGTGTGTGTGTATATATATGTGTGTGTGTGTATACACATATTTTTTCCTAATTTATATATATATTTGAATGCATATAAAATATATAAATAAAAGTATAATTTATATATAACCGGTCACCCACATTGATAACTCCAGTTCCAATTCAAGAACACAGGTTTTATTATAACCTCCCTCTTCGACATCTGCAATTCCCTTTTCCAGCACTGAAAAAGTGAAACCCTTTATTCACTATACCCTTCCTATTTGCTAAATTCCAGACTACACAGAATGTTATAGAATCTACATTCTTGTGATATATAGTCAAAATACTTCAGTCAAAAGTTATTTGGGTTAATTCAACACTATTCTTTTTCAGTGTGGTTATGTTATCCATTTGAAATACAATTAGGTTTATTTGATTCTCTTAATTTTTCATTTTAGGGTATTTCTCTTTGTTGAATATATATGTAGCATATATATTCAACAAAGGATATATATATATATTTATTTATACACAAAATAACACATATATTATATGTGTGTGTGCCTGTGAAGTATTAATATGGTTTCAAAAGTCAAAATTTCAGCAAAATGTATACTCATAGCAAAAACACTACTCTCCTCACAGCAATAACACTACCCTCCTATACTTTTTAAAGCATTCCAGTTCCCAGTCCTTTCCATCCCATTGCCACTTACCACTCGTAAGCAATCAGTCTCATTATTTTGTGTTTTGTTTTCTGAGTTTTGTTTTGAACAAATGTCCAGATATATGGCTTTCCCCTTTTGTCTTATACTAAACTAGCTTACTGTAATTATCTTGCTCTTTTTGTTTAACAGTGTTTCCTGGAAATATCAGGTCATGTGAACTTCATACAGGTCATAGAGATCTTCATTCTTCATTACAGCTGCATGTATCAAATATTATTTTAAAAATAATATGAAAGATAAATTAAAAAAGAACACACTTCAAATGCTCTCTGGATTTTATTACAAAAACTTGGTAAATGTTCTTTCCATGTCTAATCACTGTTTCTATCTGCTTCAGCAAGATGGTCTCATACATCTTGTTCTAGTTGCTCAGATCATTCACCTTCTCATTTCTGCATCTTTGCTTGGTTGGGTTTCAGTTAAAGAGCCTTATACCCTCATCACTTGCTAGCAACTTGGCGGAAGAAAATCAGTCAGTTCTTGTTATTTTTCATAGATTAAGTTATGAGTATTTTATATAATTAATTTCTCACTACTCTGGTGGTGAGGCTTTACTCTGTAATTGATTAAAAATACAAACACTGAAAACTGCTTCCCATCTGTCCCATTCTTTCTTAGGAAGATTGGACAAAGAGAGGTTGGACCACATTCAACTTTCATGCACATAACCTGATCACATCTTATGAAATGTTTCTTTTACATGTCAAGTCATTGGTAATGATCGTATATGTAGAGATGTCCATCTTTTATGGCTTCTTTAAAAGCTTTTGAACATCGTCTTTATATTTTGATAATCCTACTAGAGTAACCCTGCCTCGTCAATAAAAAATAATAATGGTAATAAAATATTGTATTTCCCATTCATCCTCATTAGTGAAGTGTAGATATATGACAGCTTCATATACCATCAGATATATATACCTGTCAGAGACTTTTATTTCAAAGGGAGCCATGTAAGTGATAAGTCTGAGAGTGCAAATTCATTTTGCTAGCACCACTAGCAGCCCAAAGCCTGCATAATTGGAGGTTTGGCATTGTCAGTGGCATTTTTGCCTATCATGGCAGAGACAGAGTGAATATGGGGTCAGCAGTGAGAGGAGCTTTGCAATGAAGTTTGGGGCCATGTTCCATCAGCTTAGGTCTGGTTGTCTAGTACTTTTTAGAATTGCCACCACCCTTAAAATTTCTGCAAATTTTTTAAAGATCCCCTTTAATCCTTCCTTATAAAATGAGGTATATTAGATTCTGTGGACTGCAAGCAAAAATAATATGGTAAAACAGGGCACAATTTAAAAATTTACTTGGTAGTTGTATGCTTCTATTCTCTACATCCCCATTATTAAAGCTATACAAACTACCCCTCGTGAATAAAATAGATTTTTTGTTGTTCCAGGTGGTTTCCTTGAGGAAAACTGCTATTATATGTTCAGAAGAAGGAACACTGTCATATGGCAAATAATGAGAGTCTCTTGCAACCTAGTTTCCTAAAAAGTTTTTGAGGGTGTCCTAAAAATGGGAACACTTACACTTTTGTGTACACTTGAAATGTTTTTGCAACAATGAGCATATTGTACTTTACTGTTCATAAAATGGATATAGAGACATGGTGTGAAACAGAGGCTTAAAGACATTGTCTTTTGTAACAGAACAATGAAGAGTCTAATACATGGCTTCTTATTTGTCCTCTGACAGGAAACATTACTTTGGAGCATTGTGTTCTTCAAATTAATGTAGTTACAAAAGAGATATACAGCCAAGATGGCCGAATAGGAACAGCTCCAGTCTACAGCTCCCAGCGTGAGTGACGCAGAAGACGGGTGATTTCTGCATTTCCATCTGAGGTACCGGGTTCATCTCACTAGGGAGTACAAGACAGTGGGCACAGGAGAGTGGGTGCAGTGCACCATGTGCGAGCTGAAGCAGGGCGAGGCATTGCCTCACTTGGGAAGCACAAGGGGTCACAGAGTTCCCTTTCCTTGTCAAAGAAAGGGGTGACAGACGGCACTTGGAAAATCGGGTCACTCCCACCCTAATACTGCACTTTTCCGATGGGCTTAAAAAACAGCGCACCAGGAGATTATATCCTGCACCTAACTTAGATGGTCCTATGCCCACAGAGTCTCGCTGATTGCTAGCACAGCAGTCTGAGATCAAACTGCAAGGTGGCAGTGAGGCTGGGGGAGGGGCGCCGGCCATTGCCCAGGCTTGCTTAGGTAAACAAAGCAGCCCAGAAGCTCCAACTGGGTGGAGCCCACCACAGCTCAAGGAGGCCTGCCTGCCTCTGTAGGCTCCACCTCTGGAGGCAGGGCACAGACAAACAAAAAGACAGCAGTAACCTCGGCAGACTTAAATGCCCCTGTCTGACAGCTTTGAAGAGAGTAGTGGTTCTCCCAGCACGCAGCTGGAGATCTGAGAACGGGCAGACTGCCTCCTCAAGTGGGTCCCTGACCCCTGACCCCTGAGCAGCCTAAATGGGAGGCACCCCCCAGTAGGGGCAGACTGACACCTCACACGGCCGGGTACTCCTCTGAGACAAAATTTCCAGAGGAACGATCACAGAGCAGCATTTGCGGTTCACGAAAATCTGCTATTCTGCAGCCACCGCTGCTGTTACCCAGGTAAACAGCGTCTGGAGTGGACCTCTAGCAAACTCCAACAGACCTACAGCTGAGGGTCCTGTCTGTTAGAAGGAAAATGAACAAACAGAAAGGACATCCACAACAAAAACCCATCTGTACATCACCATCATCAAAGACCAAAAGTAGATAAAACCACAAAGATGGGGAAAAAACAGAGCAGAAAAACTGGAAACTCTAAAAAGCAGAGCACCTCTCCTCCTCCAAAGGAATGCAGTTCCTCACCAGCAACGGAACAAAGCTGGATGGAGAATGACTTTGATGAGTTAAGAGAAGAAGGCTTCTGATGATCAAACTACTCCGAGCTACAGGAGGAAATTCTAACCAAAGGCAAAGAAGTTAAAAACTTTGAAAAAAATTTAGAAGAATATATAACTAGAATAACCAATACAGAGAAGTGCTTAAAGGAGCTGATGGAGCTGAAAGCCAAGGCTTGAGAACGATGTGAAGAATGCAGGAGCCTCAGGAGCTGATGCAATCAACTGGAAGAAAGGGTATCAGTGATGGAAGACGAAATGAATGAAATGAAGCAAGAAGGGAAGTTTAGAGAAAAAAAGAATAAAAAGAAACAAACAAATCCTCCAAGAAATATGGGACTATGTGAAAACACCAAACCTACGTATGATAGGTATACCCAAAAGTGACAGGGAGAATGGAACCAAGTTGGAAAACACTCTGCAGGATATTATCCAGGAGAACTTCCCCAATCTAGCAAGGCAGGCCAACATTCAGATTCAGGAAATACAGAGAACACCACAAAGATACTCCTCGAGAAGAGCAACTCCAAGACACATAATTGTCAGATTCACCAAAGTTGAAATGAAGGAAAAAATGTTAAGGGCAACCAGAGAGAAAGGTTGGGTTACCCACAAAGAGAAGCCCATCAGACTAACAGCGGATCTCTCGGCAGAAACTCTACAAGCCAGAAGAGAGTGGGGGCCAATATTCAACATTCTTAAAGAAAAGAATTTTCAACCCAGAATTTCATATCCAGCCAAACTAAGCTTCATAAGTGAAGGAGAAATAAAATACTTTACAGACAAGCAAATGCTAAGAGATGTTGTCACCATCAGGCCTGCCCTACAAGAGCTCCTGAAGGAAGCACTAAACATGGAAAGGAACAAACGGTACCAGCCACTGCAAAATCATGCCAAATTATAAAGACCATCGAGACTAGGAAGAAACTGCATCAACTAACGAGCAAAATAACCAGCCAACATCATAATGACAGGATCAAATTCACACATAACAATATTAACTTTAAATGTAAATGGACTAAATGCTCCAATTAAAAGACTACAGACTGGCAAATTGGATAAAGAGTCAAGACCCATCAGTGTGCTGTATTCAGGAAACTCATCTCATGTGCAGAGACACACATAGGCTCAAAATAAAAGGATGGAGGAAGATCTACCAAGCAAATGGAAAACAAAAAAAGGCAGGGGTTGCAATCTTAGTCTCTGATAAAACAGACTTTAAACCAACAAAGATCAAAAGAGACAAAGAAAGCCATTACATAATGGTAAAGAGATCAATTCAACAAGAAGAGCTAACTATCCTAAATATATATGCACCCAATACAGGAGCACCCAGATTCATAAAGCAAGTCCTGAGTGACCTACAAAGAGACTTAGACTCCCACACATTAATAATGGGAGACTTTAACACCCCACTGCCAACATTAGACAGATCAACAAGACAGAAAGTTAACAAGGATACCCAGGAATTGAACTCAGCTCTGCACCAAGCGGACCTAATAGACATCTACAGAACTCTCCACCCCAAATCAACAGAATATACATTTTTTTCAGCACCACACCACACCTATTCCAAAACTGACCACATAGTTGGAAGTAAAGCTCTCCTCAGCAAATGTAAAAGAACAGAAATTATAACAAGCTGTCTGTCAGACCACAGTGCAATCAAACGAGAACGCAGGATTAAGAAACTCACTCAAAACCAGTCAACTACATGGAAACTGAACAACCTGCTCCTGAATGACTACTGGGTACATAACGAAATGAAGGCAGAAATAAAGATGTTCTTTGAAACCAACGAGAACAAAGACACAACAGACCAGAATCTCTGGGACACATTCAAAGCAGTGTGTAGAGGGAAATTGATAGCACTAAATGCCCACAAGAGAAAGCAGGAAAGATCCAAAATTGACACCCTAACATCACAATTAAAAGAACTAGAAAAGCAAGAACAAACACATTCAAAAGCTAGCAGAAAGCAAGAAATAACTAAAATCAGAGCAGAACTGAAGGAAATAGAGACACAAAATCCCCACAAATAATTAATGAATCCAGTAGCTGGTTTTTTGAAAGGATCAACAAAATTGATAGACCACTAGCAAGACTCATAAAGAAGAAAAGAGAGAAGAAACAAATAGATGCAATAAAAAATATTAAAGGGGATATCACCACCGATCCCACAGAAATACAAACTACCATCAGAGAATACTACAAACACCTCTACACAAATAAACTAGAAAATCTAAAAGAAATGGATAAATTCCTCGACACATACACCCTCCCAAGACTAAACCAGGAAGAAGTTGAATCTCTGAATAGACCAATAACAGGCTCTGAAATTGTGGCAATAATCAATAGCTTACCAAAAAAAAAGACTCCAGGACCAGATGGATTCACAGCCGAATTCTACCAGAGGTACAAGGAGGAACTGGTACCATTCCTTTTGAAACTATTCCAATCAATAGAAAAAGAGGGAATCCTCCCTAACTCATTTTATGAGGCCAGCATCATCCTGATACCAAAGCCGGGCAGAGACACAACCAAAAAAGAGAATTTTAGACCAATATCCTTGATGAACATTGATGCAAAAATCCTCAATAAAATACTGGCAGGCTGAATCCAGCAGCACATGAAAAAGCTTATCCACCATGATCAAGTGGGCTTCATCCCTGGGATGCAAGGCTGGTTCAATATACGCAAATCAATAAATGTAATCCAGCATATAAACAGAACCAAAGACAAAAACCACATGATTATCTCAATAGATGCAGAAAAGGCCTTTGACAAAATTCAACAACCCTTCATGCTAAAAACTCTCAATAAATTAGGTATTGATGGGTCGTATCTCAAAATAATCAGAGCTGTCTATGACAAACCCACAGCCAATATCATACTGAATGGGCAAAAACTGGAAGCATTCCCTTTGAAAACTGGCACAAGACAGGGATGCCCTCTCTCACCACTCGTATTCAACATAGTGTTGGAAGTTCTGGCCAGGGCAATTAGGCAGGAGAAGGAAATAAAGGGTATTCAATTAGGAAAAGAGGAAGTCAAATTGTCCCTGTTTGCAGATGACATGATTGTATATCTAGAAAACCCCATTGTCTCAGCCCAAAATCTCCTTAAGCTGATAAGCAACTTCAGCAAAGTCTCAGGATACAAAATCAATGTACAAAAATCACAAGCATTCTTATACACCAAGAACAGACAAACAGAGAGCCAAATCATGAGTGAACTCCCATTCACCGTTGCTTCAAAGAGAATAAAATACCTGGGAATCCAACTTACAAGGGATGTGAAGGACCTCTTCAAGGAGAACTACAAACCACTGCTCAGTGAAATGAAAGAGGATACAAACAAATGGAAGAACATTCCATGCTCATGGGTAGGAAGAATCAATATCGTGAAAATGGCCACACTGCCCAAGGTAATTTATAGATTCAATGTCATCCCCATCAAGCTACCAATGACTTTCTTCACAGAATTGGAAAAAATGACTTTAAAGTTAATATGGAACCAAAAAAGAGCCCGCATCGCCAAGTCAATCCTAAGCCAAAAGAACAAAGCTGGAGGCATCACACTACCTGACTTCAAACTATACTACAAGGCTACAGTAACCAAAACAGCATGGTACTGGTACCAAAACAGAGTTATAGATCAATGGAACAGAACAGAGCCCTCAGAAATAACGCCGCATATCTACAACTATCTGATCTTTGACAAACCTGAGAAAAACAAGCAATGGGGAAAGGATTCCCTATTTAATATATCGTGTTGGGAAAACTGGCTAGCCATATGTAGAAAGCTGAAACTGGATCCCTTCCTTACACCTTATGCAAAAATTAATTCAAGATGGATTAAAGACTTAAACGTTAGACCTAAAACCATAAAAACCCTAGAAGAAAACCTAGGCATTACCATTCAGGACATAGGCATGGACAAGGACTTCATGTCTAAAACACCAAAAGCAATGGCAACAAAAGACAAAATTGACAAATGAGATCTAATTAAACTAAAGAACTTCTGCACAGCAAAAGAAACTACCATCAGAGTGAACAGACAACCTACAAAATGGGAGAAAATTTTCACAATCTACTCATCTGACAAAGAGCTAATATCCAGAATCTACAATGAACTCCAACAAATTTACAAGAAAAAAACAAACAACCCCATCAAAAAGTGGGCAAAGGACATGAACAGACACTTCTCAAAAGAAGACATTTATGCAGCCAAAAAACACATCAAAAAATGCTCACCATCACTGGCCATCAGAGAAATGCAAATCAAAACCATAACGAGATACCATCTCACACCAGTTAGAATGGCAATCATTAAAAAGTCAGGAAACTACAGGTGCTGGAGAGGATGTGGAGAAATAGGAACACTTTTACACTGTTGGTGGGACTGTAAGCTAGTTCAACCATTGTGGAAGTCAGTGTGGCGATTCCTCAGGGATATAGTACTAGAAATACATTTGACCCAGCCATCCCATTACGGGGTATATACCCAAAGGACTATAAATCATGCTGCTATAAAGACACATGCACACATATGTTTATTGTGGCACTATTCACAATAGCAAAGACTTGGAACCAACCCAAATGTCCAACAATGATAGACTGGATTAAGAAAATGTGACACATATGCACCATGGAATACTATGCAGCCAAAAAAAATGATGAGTTCATGTCCTTTGTAGGGACATGGATGAATTTGGAAATCATCATTCTCAGTAAACTATCACCAGGACAAAAAACCAAACACTGCATGTTCTCACTCATAGGTGGGAACTGAACAATGAGAACACATGGACACAGGAAGGGGAACATCACACTCTGGGGACTGTTGTGGGGTGGGGGGAGGGGGGAGGGATAGCATTAGGAGATATACCTAATGCTAAATGACGAATTGATGGGTGCAGCACACCAGCATGGCACATGTATACATATGTAACTAACCTGCACATTGTGCACATGTACCCTAAAACTTAAAGTATAATAATAATGAAATTAAAAATACAAAAAAACTTTACAAATTAAAAAAAAAGTTACAAAAACAATGCTTATAATAATTCAATTATCAATCAAATAATTCAACTGTATAAATAGTAATTATTATATTAATAAATAAATTTCTATTCATTCTATGTAAATACATAAGAAAGGAAGTATATTGTAAGTTTAACCCCATGCCTAGTATATAGGAAACTATGTATGAACTGGCTATTTTTATTATCACTAGTCTATAAGCTTCTGGGGGGCTAGGAGTGTGTTCCTGTATTTATAGCCCTATAATTAGCCAAATGCCTAACATATAGTGTAGCTCAACTATTGTTCCCTTTAAGAGATAGGCTATTAATTACTGAGCAAGTGAATGAAACTAATGAATGCTTGAAGCATCAGAGAAGTGGTTTGGCTTATATTTGCAATGTCATAATTAAGCTCCAAACCCGCACATGCCTTTCTTCATAAGGTTCATTGTCTGTTTCATTACACCTCTCTTATGCCCTTTCTACCTTTCTATAGGTTTACCCGTATATCTTCCTCTCCTCATTATAACCCACCTCAACCACTGCTTTTATATCACCTAGTGATAGAGGTGGCATTTATCTTACCAGAGGATAGTCCTAAGGGCCCACCTCAGCATCCTTTTCTCCCCTTGTGCCCCTACATTAAGCTTAATCTCATTACTTTACAACCAGGAATCAAAATTAAATGGTCCCACAGCCAGCTGAGACAAAATAAAGAAGAAAGCAGGACACTAGCTCCAAAACCTCTCCAATCACCCTAGTGAAATTAACTTCATCTGTCACATTTAAACTATCATTGATTACGTAATATACTCTGTGGCCCTGAAGCATTATTCCCTCAGCAGACAGAATCACCGTTAGAATCATCTATAGAGGATTCCCAGAGTTTTCCAGCACTTATTAGGCACTACCTAATTCTAAGAGAGACGGTATTAGGAACTCCCCTGATTGGAGTCTAGATACTTTAGTGACTTGTTTCTTCTATGGAACTATAAGTTGAGAAGGTGCATGCCCTTCTCGATATTGTCCCCTCTGAACCCATGGCCCTGACTTCTTCTGAACTGGTAAGCAGAAGACATTGCTGACATTATAAAGCCAATGTATTTGCCTGTCACAGTTCACACAAGATAGCAATTGTTAAATGAACTTGTTATAATCAGTCATGAAAAAGCATAGTCTCAGGTTTGAGAAAATGCTCAAGACATTCTGGAAAATGTACCAAAAAGAAAATTAAACTCAGACTTACGAAGACTAAATGAGATGATATATGTGAAGTTCCTAGTACAGAGTCCAGCAAACAGCAGAACCTCAATAAATGATTGAATTTATTATCATTTGGAAAATGACACTGAGGCTTAAGTATATGCTAGGAACTTTACCAGGTGTTAAGATGGCAAACTAAAATAGTTCACAAACTTGGGAGGAAGACAGAAGTATATATAAATAACTATATTATAGGTTATAAGGGTAGTACTATGAGGGTACAGAGGAGAGAATCATCGACTGAGTCAGTTTCTTAGGAAAGTTTCCACTGAGAATGTATTGATTTGGACATTAACAGTGAACAGAACGAGTCAGAAAACAAGAGTATTCATGATTTGGTTGTATGTATTTCTTCTTGGCATGGACTTACATTTCCTGAAACTATCTTTCTAGAGGCTCTTGCAGAGAGAACTAGGCTGCTCCTAAATTAAAGTCATTAAAATGACCACATCTCAAAAACCCTTGCTAATTTAAGAGCATGTAAGCATTTTTATCCCCAGTCATCAGCTCTATTTGGAGTTTTGCTTTGGTGTTATTGTCGTTAATTAGGCTTCTACAATTTCCAGGAAAGAAATTGCTACAACTAAAACTGCTATATTTGAGTTCTTGCTAAAAGGCTGAGATGAATAAAGAAGAGCTTAGAAACTATAAGTATATGCCAAACAAAAAAGTAGAGAACTGTCCTATACACCTGTTAAGAGCCCATATACAGCCAGAAATTAGAAGATTACTAGGATTCAGCTTTACTCCAATGACCCATCCATAATCACCTCCAATTCTATGTGCCTTAGCTACTTTTTTGTGTGTGATTTGCTCAGCAGCCACATCCAGTTTCTTCCTGCAGTGGAAAGAGCAATCCAAGATCCACTTTCTCTTCATGGTAAATCGGCTTGGAGAACAAATGAAATAAATGGAGTCCTGGAGGGCTGGATAGGTCAAAGTCAGGAAAAGAAGTTTGGAACTTGTCATTTATTCAGAGGAGTAAGGAAAACAGTGGGAGGTAAGGTGTCATAAAAAGAGACATAATATTTTGTTGGGGAGATGAGAGGAGGGGAAATCCCAGTGAGAAAGGGAACTGAGGAATGAAAGCTGACAGTGAATTTCAGAAATTAAATATTAGTTTCTCGCTAGAGCATATAATATTAAGATTTAAGCAGCTCCAGGGTCATCTAAATTGGCCAGAATCTGACAGCACAGTCAATATCTTGGCCTCACACAGATATCCAGGAAAGACATTTGATCAGGGAAGTAGACTCCTCCTTAACAAGGAAAGGGTACATCGATTAATCTCTCTGCTTTGGAAAACTCATTTCTGTCCCGCAGTTAACAGAGGACTGAGACACATTCAAAAGGCAGGTAAGCAAAATGGAGTCAGTGTTCCATCCCTGTTACTAATCAGCACAAAGTGGGTGTTCAGAGTCACATGGTGATGATAGGTTTGGAAACCAGGAAAGCCCCAGTGCTGCAAGATAACACAAACTAGTTAGGTGAAGCCACAGTACCCAGACTGGCAACTAAAGTAAATGTGGTGGTCAGTGACCTAAATTCAAAGAAGACCAGAGCACCAGCTCAAGTCCTTGAACCTGATATACATGTTTTCCTCAGAGAAGGTTTACAATACATCTGTCGAGGTGAGACACGGCAGGCAGGAGTAAGTGAGTTTGTTGTTCCGGAGTGAGAATTATATAAAAATCGAGAGGCAAAATCATGTTAGATTTTTCCCTGAATTTCAAATTATTTCAGATAATATACAAATGTATGCAAATTTCTAAGGCCATGGCTGAAAATATGAATCCTGTGAAATAATGATGAAAAATAATTAAACTTGTATTATGCAAAATGCTGTAGGCATCCAAGTGTTCTCAATTGCTGCCCAATAGTAATCTGGTAAACTATGAAGATCAGATCACTATTAAAGTCTATTTTTGACACAGCTATTGATACAATTTGTCATAGTGAAGGCTAAGGTACTATGTTTTAGAGTAGAACATAACTTGTGAGTAAGGAGGAATGAAATATGGCATTACAGCAATCCCATGCCAAAAAAAATTATGTTTTAATTAGGTCATGCAATAATTTGCCTCAGGGCAGCAGACAGTTCTACTCAAATAGCAACAAAATATGAAAAATAAATCAATGTCTAAGTGTGATAATAGTGCAATTAATTCAATCATCCAACATTTTCTTTTTTATACATATTTACCTATTTATTCTAATAATTGTATTATCAACAATTATAGTTATTCAAAAACTTGCAGTGATAAGGCTAAAGTTCAGCCTTACTCTGGGGTCATGGACCCTTAATTTGGTGTCATGAAGTCCTGAATTTGAATCCCATGATTTTATCTGTGTGAATTTTAGCCAGTTAGTAGTAAGAATAGTAGCAATAACTCACATTTATTGTGTGCCAACTATATGCTAGATGCTGTACTATGTGCTTTTTACACACTATTTTAATTTAAATACTCAATTTGTCTAAGTTGTATTATTTGTTAATTTCTGTGATATAACATACATACTTATAAGAGTTTCTAACATAAAAAGTAATGACCAGTGGACTATAATGGTACAGAAAACCTTGAGTACAGTTTTCTTCTCATTGCCTAACATTGTCTTCCAGCCAACCCTGCTTGGAGTGACTATATCATAATGGCCTTCCTTCAGTTCCTTTATACTTTGTGTTGCTCCATTAATAGGCTGTGAATAGAAATTTGACTGAAGCCAGTCGTATAGCTCTTGTGAACATAAATATAAACAAGAGAAAAATACATAATTTTTTATATCAGATAGAGAATTTTCTCTATTTTCAAACAAGTGAGATCCCTAAATGTAAGTTCCTAAGCCCATTTGTGAATATCCATTTGTTCATAAGTAAAAGAAGTACTATAGCAAGCAAGTGTAAAATCCTACAATTGAAAATGTGCAGAGTTGATGCAGCTTGGTTGGAGAACATAGCTCTGTCTCTGTTTCTATGAATGACTGTAAACCAAATGGCTATTCTACAAAGGATACATTCTTTTTACAAACATTTTAATTAAAATATTGGTACTCTCAGGTTAGAGGCAGGTAGGGACTTTATGTCACCCTCACACATGGATGGTATGGTAAAAATGAAAGAAAGTTGCAGAACTATTCTGTATCTCGTGTGTAATTTATTATATTTTTCCATGGATCATGTTTTTTGGAGGTGTGTCTAAAAAGTATTTGCCTAAATCAAATTCATGCATATTTTCTCCCTTCTCCTCTTCCCAGGAAATTTAGTTTTACATATTGCATTTAGGTTTATGATCCAATTTGGAGTTAATTTTTGTAGAGGTTGTGAGGTATAGGTTGATCTTAATTTTTTACCCATTGTTTGGCATATCCAATTTTTCTAGTATGATTTGTTAAAAAGAACTTGTTGCATTTTTAAGATCTTTTGACTATTTTATATCAATATAAAACGTATTTAAATCTTCGCCATTCCAGGAAGATCAGTCTTAATTCTGTTTCCATTCTGTCTGCTATGTTATCAAGCCTGTGTCTTTACCCTGAAATTTCTTAAAATGAATTTCCCACCCATTACCTCAATTTCTTGATTTCACACTGATTTGGTTTCCCAAGTCCTCATTCACTGAAGTAATTTGCCTAAAGACAGAGTGTGACTGAATGGTTCAGTTCCAGGGATCACTCCACCTGATCAGTTAGTGAGAACTGCTTCCACCACTCATCACTATCACAGCTATCTTTAAGTAACGTCTTGCCTATGTTTTCCTATTATAAAGCATTGTATCTAATTCTAAGTTATCTTATATATTTACAAATAAATACTACTTGATTTCAAAAGCTAGAATAAAATAGGGTTAATAAAAACTCTCCTATAATTAATCTATTTAAACAAGCCACTGTCAAGCTTAAACAAGAACTTCTGAGGCCCTCATCTTGTAATTACTATAGCCAAACCACTGATTGCTTACAGGACTTTCTTGCATAGTCTTGGGCATATTATTCACCAAATTATGAATGACTGTAAGAACTTGGAAATAAACTAGATTAAATAATAAAAAGCAAACTTGCCTGTTTTGTTTCACTTTCTTTGTTTACAGACATCTTCTGAACACTCTCTTACTCCAAAAATACATATCTGAGCACAAGTGTTTTCAGGTCCTGGCATTTTTATGAAGGAATATTTCCAGCATGAAGTTCTTTTGGGACTAGACACATCACCATAGCAAAAATAATCTCTTTGTTAATAGTTGTGGCATTATTCAATATTTTAAGAAATATATAAATTTTGTATGTATATGCTTATACAATGTTTACAAAATGGGTTCATACTGTTTTTAACTTAAAATAATGTAAATATTTTCATGTTATTATATAGTTTTCTCAAGTATCATTTCATTAAAGATGCAATATTACATCCTATAATTTTCTATAATCCAGAAATAATAAGAAAGTAAGCCTCAATTTAGAACATTTGGAATGTTTCAACTTTTGTGTATCTACAGTACTGTTACCATGAAGATTTTATAGCACACTCATAATCCTTATGATAAATTCTGAGAGGTGAAAGATCTCAAAGGGTCTATATATTTTAAACTTTCTGAAGCATACATAGTAAATAAATATATTAGGGCTTAAAGTTAATGTTAACTATATTAATATTAATTTGGGGGAGGACTAGCATAGTAAAGTGACCAAGTGACATGAGCTCTAGGGAGCAAAATGGGGTCATATGGCCCTGGAGCAAAGATAATGTCACAATTTTTAAAAACTTACTAAGAAAGGAGATAAAGATATATCACAGACAAATTTTAGACAACTATTTTTCACACAGCTATACCTGATATTTGTATTTGAGTTGATTCAAAGTTAAAATCAAATTAGCTAACAAGTAATAAAACTCTGAAATGGGGATAGAATAATAGATTCATAAAAGATAATAATAGGCACATTAAAAACAGGCCTATGAAGTATTGGGCCTGAGAAGGAACTCAGGGTTTGAACGCAACCACTTGGTTTTACCAATCGTGAAACTGAGACCCAGAGGGAAAGATAAGGCAGCTGTTGGAGACAAAGGTGGCTCTCAGTCCCAGTCTGCCATCTTCATTTGAATGTTCTCTCCAAATAGCCTACTGATTCTTCTCACATTGTAACTCACAGAAGCACAGAATACATGACTTTCAATCTGACCTATCTTTTTTATGAGATTAATTATTCTGCTTCTTAATCAGAATTTTCTGCATAATCTGTCTCACACACACACAGAGACACACACAGACACACACACATACATTATATTATTTTCCAGATTGGAACATAGTGATCTACTAGTTTTAGCCATATAGTAGTTACAGTCATATCCTCAGCCTGAAGGCTCCAGTATGGGGGCTGTTGCCACTCATCACCAGATCAGTGTTATGTAAATAAATGTGAATGGAGTTCTAGTGAAGACTAGGGTTCAGGTATAAATTGTTAAACCTGGTTTGCTCAAGGTATACAATTTTATAAATAAAGGGGATGTGATATGTGAACTGGAAGCAAGAATCAAGACATTAGATGTCACAAGTAATGCCACTTTTGTTCACGGTGTCTTTCTTGCTTCCTCTGTAATATGTGGCTCTTGTTAGAATGTGACAAGGCCACATAGCCCCAGAGTATTCATCCGTGTTGCTTAATCTCAGCCTCCTTTGGCCTTATAGAAATTATTTAGAAATATGGGTTTCAGCCACAGGAGGCCATGAGTAGTAGCAGTCACATCAGAAAAAAATAATATTTGCCAAAAAGACTTTCTAAGAGAGTTACAAGACTAGAAGCCCACTGGTGGAAGATAAGGAGGAAAAACACAGCAGTATGCATTACTTGCAACCTCGCTAACTCACTTATCTAGAGCAGCTTTAAATCTGCTGAGTCAGAGTCCCTTCAAAACTCTGGGGATGATTCAGAACTAAAACAGAATTTCTTAAGGTCATTATGGGAAAATAACAACTCCAATATTCACTCAAATTTAAAATTTTGAGTTTGAAAGAGTAGAGGTTGTGCTGAAACCCTTTGTTCTCCAAGGAATTCAGACTAAACCATCTTTCAACCCAGAAAGTCACAGATTTCCTGAAGATGGTTCTATCTCTTTTGTCCTATGAAGATACACTTATATGCTCCAGAGCTTGTGGTTTGCTTCTGGGAAACCAACAGCATCAATAGGTCATTGCTCTTTTATGGAAGTGGACAGCTCAGACTATACGTCTCCTTTTTCAGACTTAATAGATACTGACACTAAATTTCAAGGTCCGTTTATTGAAAGATCCAAAGGAATGCATAAGTTTGGTTTTTCATATGGCTCTTTATTTTTCACTCATACTCCATGGTATGAGTGATCTTTTCTTTCTCTCTACAGGTCATCCAAGAGCGAGCTGTAGGATGGAGGCCATGAAACTATTAAATCAATCTCAAGTGTCAGAATTCATTTTGCTGGGACTGACCAGCTCCCAGGATGTAGAGTTTCTTCTCTTTGCCCTCTTCTCGGTTATCTATGTGGTCACAGTTTTGGGTAACCTTCTTATTATAGTCACAGTGTTTAACACCCCTAACCTGAATACTCCCATGTATTTTCTCCTTGGTAATCTCTCTTTTGTAGATATGACCCTTGCTTCTTTTGCCACCCCTAAGGTGATTCTGAACTTGTTAAAAAAGCAGAAGGTAATTTCTTTTGCTGGGTGCTTCACTCAGATATTTCTCCTTCACTTACTGGGTGGGGTTGAAATGGTACTGTTGGTCTCCATGGCTTTTGACAGATATGTGGCCATTTGTAAGCCCCTACACTACATGACCATCATGAACAAGAAGGTATGTGTTTTGCTTGTAGTGACCTCATGGCTCTTGGGTCTCCTTCACTCAGGGTTTCAGATACCATTTGCTGTGAACTTGCCCTTTTGTGGTCCCAATGTGGTAGACAGCATTTTTTGTGACCTCCCTTTGGTTACTAAGCTTGCCTGTATAGACATATATTTTGTACAGGTAGTCATTGTTGCCAACAGTGGCATAATCTCCCTGAGCTGTTTCATTATTTTGCTTATCTCCTACAGTCTGATCCTCATAACCATTAAGAACCACTCTCCTACTGGGCAATCTAAAGCCCGTTCCACTTTGACTGCTCACATCACAGTGGTGATTCTCTTCTTTGGCCCATGCATCTTTATCTACATTTGGCCCTTCGGCAACCACTCTGTAGATAAGTTCCTTGCTGTGTTTTATACCATCATCACTCCTATCTTGAATCCAATTATCTATACTCTGAGAAACAAAGAAATGAAGATATCCATGAAAAAACTCTGGAGAGCTTTTGTGAATTCTAGAGAAGATACTTAGATTAAAAATATAATGGTAGAGGCCGGGCATGGTGGCTGATGCCTGTAATCCCCACACTTTGGGAGGAATATCAGGGGAACCAGCCCCCAATATTTCAACATAGGTTCTTTTCTATTTTCCCTAAGTGTTGACTGGTCTGAGAAATAAAGGGAAAGAATACAAAAGAGAGAAATTTTAAAGCTGGGTGTCCAGGGGAGACATCACATGTCAGCGGGTTCCGTGATGCCCCCCAAGCTGCAAAACCAGCAAGTTTTTATTATGGATTTCAAAAGGGAGGCAGTGTACGAATAGGGTGTGGGTCACAGAGATCACATGCATCACAAGGCAATAAAATATCACAAGGCAAATGGGGACAGAGCAAGATCACAGGACCAGGGTGAAATTAACATTGCTAATGAAGTTTTATGCCCCACTGGGCACTCATTGCCATTGATAACATCTTATCAGGAGACAGGGTTTGAGAGCGGACAACCGGTCTGACTAAAATTTACTAGGCAGGAATTTCCTCACCCTAATAGGCCTGGGGACACTACAGGAGACTGGGGCTTATTTCATCCCTTATCTACAGCCGTGTAAGACAGACATTGCCAGAGCGGCCATTTTAGAGACCTCCCCCTAGGAATGCATTCTCCTTCTCAGGGTTATTCCTTGCTGAGAAAAAGAATTCAGCGATATTTCTCCTATTCACTTTTGTAAGAAGAGAAATATGACTCTGTTCCACCCAGCTCCCAGGCAGTCAGACCTAATGGTTATCTCTCTTGTTCCCTGAACATCGCTGTTATCCTGTTCTTTTTTCAAAGTGCCCAGATTTCATATTGTTTAAACACACATGCTTTATGAACAATTTGTGCCATTAACATAATCATCACAGGGTCCTGAGGCAACATACATCCTCAGCTTAAGAAGATGATGGGATTAAGAGATTAAAGTAAAGACAGGCATAGGAAATCACAAGAGTATTGATTGGGGAAGTGATAAATGTCCATGAAATTTTCACAATTTATGTTCAGAGATTGTAGTAAAGACAGGCATGAGAAATTATACAAATATTAATTTGGGGAACTAATAAATGTCCATGAAATCTTCAAAATTTATGTTCTTCTGTCACGGCTTCAGCAGGTCCCTCTGTTCGGGGTCCCTGACTTCCCGCAACAGAGCCAAGGCAGGTTGCCTTGGCTGACTTGAGGTCAGGAGTTTGAGACCAGCCTGGCCAACATGGCGAAACCCTGCCTCTACCAAAAATACAAAAATTAGCCAGGCGTGGTGGTGCATCCCTGCAATCCCAGCTATTCAGGAGGCTGAGGCAGGAGAATTGCTTGAACCCAGGAGGCAGAGGCTTCAGTGAGCTGAGTTTGTGTCACTGCCCTCCAGCCTGGGTGACAGAGTGAGAGTCCATCTTAAAATAATAATAATAATAGTAGCAGAGAAACAATAATTTTTTATATTTTTAAAGGTTTCTCTTAAGTATAGAGTTATTAGCTACACTGAGATGAAGGCAAGTAAAATGCAGTAAGATTACAGTAGTCAGTCAAGATTATTTTTAATGCAGCACCAAAAATAATAAATTATTGATTTTTAAAATGTTGACTGAGTTATAAAAGGTGTCAGAGACTCACTTGTCCTTCAGAGGAGCTTGATAGATATGTACTTTGTTTAGTTGTTACAATGGCTTTTGATGTAAATGAAATAAAGTGAATCCTCAAAATGTCTGTCACATTTTTACTGTATAATTGAGTTAAATGATTTGGCACTCACTGTGAGATCATGTTTGGTTCTCTGTCTTCTTTACAATATTAATGTCTAAGTCAGCACTCATATGCAGTGTCTCCTAAGAAACCAGTAATTCAGACTTTCCATATCTACCTACACTCATTTTTCTTGTAGCTTCCAAAATAAGAATTCATGAAGATACCTTTATGGTTGTTAATATTATAAAATCTCACTTTCACCTCCTTGTCCCCATGTATTTCAATTCAAAAAAACTGTGTGTCTGACTCCAAAAAGAAAATTATACATTCTAGGTAAATGAACTCTAGTCCTAGAACCAAGATGGTTTTCTTGTGTGACTGTGTGCTGAGCACCGGCTCAGCCACCATAGAGAATTAGTTTCTACCTCAAACTCAGAGCCACTGCAACTCTGCACTTACCCATACTTCCGTCACAAGGTCCCCAGCTATTTCAAAAGCACCTGCACCTTGCATACCATTATAGTTTGGGCAGTGGAATTCCTGGGCCCAGATACTGCTGCCATTACTATCCCAAACCACAGATCTATAGTACCTCCATTCATACCTGCGCTTATGGCTCCAGATCCATGGCTTCCCCTAGGGTACCCCTCGTCAGACATTTATGCCAAAACCACCACAAGCAGTTTCTCAAGCTGGACCCAGTGCCAAGAGGGATTCCTCCAGCCACAACATCCCCAGTGGGAGAAAAAGAGATAGAAAGGACTTTAGCAGCCCTAGCCACCAAAGACCACAACAATTTTTGTCACCACTTCAAACATCTACATCATTGGCTGCTGAAGTTCCCTACAATCTTCATCAATGCCAACCTCAGCTGGAGGAGCTACACAAACACGACACTGCTGCACCTTCACAATAGTCAGAGCAGTTGTGTTTTACTCAACCAATCCCCTCACACCTCCATACAGGGGAAGTTCTTTCTGTACTGAAACCAGCCTGTGAAGTCTGGAAGAGATGACTGCTCCAACAAATGCACAGAAATCTGCTTAAGACAACAAGAAACACCAAAAACCAAAAGGGAGTATCACCATGAAAGGAACACAATAATTTTCCAGTATCTGTCTCCAAAGAAACAGAGACCTATGAACTCCCAGACAAAGACTTCACAATAATTGTCTTAAGGAAGTGCAGTAAAGTCCAAGAACATACAGGGAAATAATTCAACAAAATCAAGCAAACAACAAACAAAAAAATGGGGAAATTTGATGAAGAGATTGAAATAGTTTTTAAAATTCCAGAAATTTGTTTAAAAATAAATAACATAAAAATATGTAAATTGTGACAGTAAAAACATAAAATGTGTGGGGGAGGTAGAATAAAAGTGTAGACTTTTTAAATGCAATCAAAGTTAGGTATTTATTCACTTAAAATAGTCTATGATAACCATAAGATGTGTTATGTAAGCCTTATGGTAACTACAAATGAAAAACCTATAGAGCATTTACAAAAACAAAAAAAATAAAAAATCAAAGCATATGCTGGAGAAAATAAACTATGAATAAATGAAGACGAAAGAGAAAGATGAAGCAAAAGAAAAGGAAGGGAACAAAGAGTGTAAAAAATAACCAGAAAACAATTAATAAAATGGAGGTACTAAGCACAGTCAGTTTTCTGGCATATCCATAGGTTTTACATTCACAGACTCAATCAACCACAGATCAAAACTATCAAAAATAAATAAATAAATAACAGCACAACAATAAAAATAATACAAAATTTTAAAACAAGTATAACAACTATTTACATTTTATTTGATATTATAAGTTATCTAGAGTTGGTATAAATCATACAACAGAATGCATGTAAGTTTTATGCAAATACTGTGACATTTTGTATAAGGGACTTAAGCATCTATAGATTTTGATAATCACAGGGAGGTCTTGGAGTCTGTTGCCTAAAGTCACTGAGGGATGACTCTACTTACCTACCAACAATTATCTGGAATGTGAATGAATTAAATTATCTGAACAAAAGACACAGAGTGGCTAAATGAATAAAAAGATAAAACCCAACTACATACTGCCTCCAAGAGATTTTCTTCATATTTAAGGACATAAATAGACTGAAAGTGAAGGGATAGAAAATGATATTCCATGCAAATGAAAACCAAAGACAGCAGGGATAGCCATATTTAAAGAGATAAAATGTAAGTAAAACTATAAAAAGAGGCAGAGGATGTCATTATGTAATGATTAAAGGGATGTTTCATCAGGAGAATATAAAAATCTTAAATATATACACACTAAACATAAGAGCAAATATTTTTAAAATTTATTATTTTATTTTATTGACAAATAATGTTTACCTATATCCATGGGTATATAGTGATGTTTTTGGTATGTACAATGTATGATGACCATATCTGGATAACTTGTGTATCCATCATCTAAAACATTTGTCATTTATTTTTATTGGGAATGTTCAATATCCTTCTTCCAGCAATTTGAAATTATATGATATATCACTGTGGCATAGAACACTAAAAAGTGTTCCTATGGTTGTAATTTTGTATCTTTTAACAAATCTCCACCTCTCTCTTCTTTTTCATTACCTTCCTCAGCCTCTCATATCCTGTTATACTTTTTACTTCTATGAGATCAACTTTTCTTAGCTTCCACATATAAGTAAGAATAATATATGTTTAACTTCCTGTTTCAGGCATATTTCACTTAACATAATGTGCTTCAGTCCTATGTTATCGTGAATAACAGGATTTTATTCTTTTTTATGGCTGAATAGTATTTCATGGTGTATATATACCACATTTTCTTTATCTATTCGTCTGTTGTTGACACCTAGGTTGATTCTATATCTTGGCTATTGTGGATAGTGCTGTAATAAACATGGGGGTGCAGCTGTCTCTCAGACTTCGAAAACACAGGCAACAAAAGCAAAAGTAAACAAGTGGGATTATATCAAACTAAAAGTTCTCTGCCCAGTAAAGGAAAAAATTCAACAGTGCAAAAGACAACCTATAGAATGGGAGAAACTATTTTCAAAGTATTTATCTCACAAGGGATTAACATCCAGAATACACAAGGTACTGAACATCTTAACAGCAAAAATAATATAATCTGAGTTTAAAATGGGCTAACAATCTGAACAGACATTTCTTAAAAGAAGACATACAAATGGCTGACAAATATATGAAAAGATACTCAACACCACTATTCATCAGAGAAATATATATCACAATCATAATGCAGTATCATATCACCCCAGTTAAGATGACTATTACCAAATATAACAAAAGTAGCAAATGCTGGCAAGGATGAAGAGAAAAGGGAATTCTTTTACACTGTTGGTAGGGAAAGCAAATGTTCTTAAATGAGAGATAGACTGCAATACAAAAATACAAAAGTGGGGCTTGTCAAGGCCACACTTTCAACAACAGACAGATCACCCAGAAAGAAAATCAGTAAGGAAATACTGGACTTCAACTATACTTTAGACCAAAAGGACCTAACAAACATATACAGAACGTTTCATCCAAGAGCAGTAGAATAGACATTCTTCTCAAGTGCACACAGATCATTTTCCTATATAAAACATGTTAGCCCATAGAACAAGTCTTATCAAATTTATAAGACTGAAATAATATAAAATATCTATTCTCATCACAATGACAGTAAACTAGAAATCAATAACAGAGGAATTTTGAATAATTCATAATTGCATGGAAATTAAATAATATGCCCTTAAATAACTAATGAGTCAATGAAAAAATTAGAAGGGAAATTTTAAAATATCTTGAAACAAGGAAAAATGGACACACGATAAAATAAAACTTATGACATGCAGAAAATACAATTCTAAGAGAAGTTTATGACAATAAACAGCTGCATCAAAAAAGAAAGAAGATTTCAAATAACCTAACATAACACTTCAAGAAACTAGGGGGAAAAGACCAAATTAAGCCTAAAATAGTAGAGAGGAGAAAATTTACAAAGATCAGAGCAAAAATAAATTAAATAGAGACCAGAAAAACAATAGAGATCAACAAAACTAAGAGTTGGTTTTTGGAAAAGATGAGCAAAATCAATAAACCTTTAGCTAGACTAAGAAAACAAAAATTAAGACTACCAAAATAAAGTTAGAAGTTAAAGAGGAAACCTTAACAACTGATACCACAGAAATACAAAGGATTGAAAGACCCTATTATAAATAATTATTTACCAACAAATTGGATAACCTAGAAGAAATGAATAAATTCATAGAAAAAAAGAGTTTACCAAGAGTGAATCAGGAAGAAATAGAAAACCTGAACAGACTAATCAAGATTAAGGAGATTGAATTAGTAATAAAAAGCATCTCACCAAAGAAAAGTCCAAGAACTGATGGCTATGCTGTTGAATTCTACCAAACATTTAAAAAAAGAAATAACACCATTTTCCCCAAACTAATCTAAAAAATTGATAAGGAGAATTTCCAAAATCATTTTATGAGGCCAGCATTACACTGATACTAAAGCCAGACAAAAACACAAAAGAAAAGAAAAGAAAAGAACAAGCCATTATCCTTAAGGAAGGCAAAATCCTCAACAAAATACTAGAAAATTAAATTCAACAACACGTTAAAAGGATTATTCACCATGATCAAGTGAGATTTATCCTGGGGATGCAAGGATGGTTCAACATATGGAAATCTATAAATAGGATATACCACATAGATGGAATGAAGATAAAAACAATATGATCATCCCAATAAATGCATAAAAACCATTTAACAACATTCAACATCCTTTCATAATATAAACTCTCAAAAAATTAATTGTAGAATAAATATAGCTTAACACAATAAAGGTCATATATGACAAGCCCACAAGTAACATCATTCTCAAGATGAAAAGCTGAAAGGCTTTTCCTCTAAGATCGAGAGCAAGACAAAGATGTACAGTCTCACTACATTTTTTCAACATAGAAGTCCTAGCCAGAGCATTTAGGCAAGAGAAATGAAAGGCATCCAAATTGGAAACAAAGAAGTCAAATTGTCTCTGTTTGCAAATCATGTCAACTTGTATCTAAAAGTCCCTAATAACTCCACCAGAAAACTGTTATAACTGTTAGAACTAATAAACAAATTCAGTAAAGTTAAAGGATAAAAAATCAATATACAACAATTGGTAGTGTTTCTATACATTAGCAACAAACTATCTGAAAAAGAATCAGGAAACATCTCATTTACAATAGCTATAATACATAAAATACTTAGGAATAAATTTTACCAAGGAGGTGAAAGATCTTATCGCTCATTTAACATTTAACATTGTTAAATGTAACTGAAGAAGATACAAATAAATGAAAAGATATCTTGCATTCATGGATTGTAAGAATTATTATTTGCACGTTTATCAGCAACATACCTATTTCCAATACCATTAGTATTATATTTCAAATCTTTGTGAATTTGATAGGCAAAAATATTATCCCTTTGGTGTTTAAATTTTCATTGTCATTTCAGTGAAATAAAGCATTTTTCATGTTTATTAAACAACTGTATTTATTTCATTGTGTATTTCTTTTTTGTTAATTATATTTTAGAAACATCTTATGTTTCCCTAAACAATCTGCTTGTATTTATAGCTGTATATAATTATCTTTTATAAATATATCATGCTTTCTAATTAATTTAACTCTTAATTGATTTGGAGTTTGCTAGGTGTCTATGACAATCATTTTTACTTCACCTTTCCTGTTTTTTTAATCTCACTTTAATTGTTTTATTTCTTTGGCCATAATTCTAAAACAATATTAAACAATCCTAACAGAGGTAGGTAATTTATTTTAATACAAATTAATCACCAGCTGTGGTGACATGTGCCTGCAATCCCATCTACTGGGGAGCCTGAGGTGGGAAGATTGCTTGAGCCCGGGAATTAGAGACCAGCTTGGGCAATATAGTGAGATGCCTAACTCAAAAATAAAATAAGAAATTTATCTTTTTCAGTATTTTATGGCTCAATATGTGTTAGCTATAAGCAGAGATAGACATTTTTATAAGATTAATAAAGTTTGAAAGGATTTTATAAGAAGTGAGAGATGAATGGGTTATGTATTATTATTTATATATTTTTTCTATTGTAATATGCTATCAATACAATGTATTAATATATTTCTAAAATTTGATTCACATCTGTATTCTTTAATTAATGCTTATAGATCATGGTGCAGTGTTTTTGAGAGGTTGCTAAATTCTTACATTATGTAGGATTTGCACATCTATATTCACAAGTGAGATTTTTTTCTGTAAGGTTTGGTGGTTGCCTTTGTTTGTGGGTTTGATTTGTTTGTTTCTGCTAGACTTGGTATCAGAATAATACCTTCATAAAATAAATTTTGAAAATACAAAAAGGATTGCTAAAATGTCTGTATTACTCAAAGAAATTTATAGATTCAATGCAATCCTTATCAAAATTCCAATGACATTTTCCACAGAAATAGAAAAAAATTAGGAAATTTGTAGGGATCCACAAAGGACTCCAGATAGCAAAAACAATCTTAGGTAAAAAGAACAAAGCTGGTGGCATCACACTACCTGTCTTCAAAATATACTGCAAAGCTATAGTTATTATAATAGCATGGTATTGGCATAACAGATGCAAAGACAAGTGAAACAGAATGAAGAGCCCAAAAATAATTCCATGCATTTAGGGTCAACTATTTTTTGACAAAAATTCCAAGAACAGACAATTGGGAGAGGACAGTTTTTTTAATAAAATAATAATAATTATAAAAGAAAGGAAAAATACATATAATGTTAACATAAATCAAAAGAAAACTTCAAGGGCTATTTTAATTACATGCAAAGTATGTTTCAGAACAAAGGACATTACCACAGATAAAGAAGGCCATATTTTACAGAGAAAGGGGTCAATTAACCATCATGATATAACAACTGTGTACCTCCCCAATAATAAAGATTTAAAATATATGAAACAAAAATTGATAGAACTACAAGGAGAAAAGGCACACACAAATTTATAATTAAATACTTTAATACCCTCTCTCAATAACTGATAAACCAATTTAATATAATTGATACAGAACACTTTGACCAAAATGTCAGAAAACTCCTTCTTTTCAAAGTACACACACATTTTAGATAATACACATAGAAAACATAACACAGGCAAATTAGATCATCCTCTAAGCCATGAAAAAGTCTCAATCAATGATTAAACTATTCAAGTCACACAGAGATATGTACACAAATGTTCATGGTAGCTGTATTTGTAGTAGCCAAAACTGGAGACAACCCAAATGTCCTTCAGCAGATTAATCAATACCAAATTGTGGTATGGAATACTACTCAGAAATAAAAAGGGAATACTCTACTGATACACACAACAATAAGATAAATACCAAAAGTATGATGAGTGAAAGAAGCCAGAATGAAAAAATACATACTATTTTATTTCATTTATATAAAACTCTAGAGTATACAAAGTTATAAATAACAATAGAACACAAAGGAAAGAAGCCAGACTAAAAAAATAGATCCTGCTTTATTTCATTTACATAAAAATGTAGTGTATACAAACTTATAAATAATAATAGTTGAACACAAATTTCTGGTTGGTCAGAGAGGAAGGATATATGGAAGGACTTGAAAGAGAAGCTATTAAAGGACAAGGGAAATTTGGGGTTGAGGAATATGTTCACAATCTCGATTGTGATGATCTTTTCTTTTTTTTATTTTTTTAAAATTTATTATTATACTTTAAGTTTTAGGGTACATGTGCACATTGTGCAGGTTTGTTACATATGTATGCATGTGCCTTGTTGGTGTGCTGCACCCACTAACTCATCATCTAGCATTAGGTATATCTCCCAATGCTATCCCTCCCCCCTCTCCCCACCCCACAACAGTCCCCAGAGTGTGATGTTCCCCTTCCTGTGTCCATGTGTTCTCATTGTTCAACTCCCACCTATGAGTGAGAATATGCAGTGTTTGGTTTTTTGTTCTTGCAATAGTTTACTGAGAATGATGATTTCCAGTTTCATCCATGTCCCTACAAAGGACATGAACTCATCATTTCTTATGGCTGCATAGTATTCCATGGTGTATATGTGCCACATTTTCTAAATCCAGTCTATCATTGTTGGACATTTGGGTTGGTTCCAAGTGTTTGCTATTGTGAATAATGCCACAATAAACATACGTGTGCATGTGTCTTTATAGCAGCATGATTTATAGTCCTTTGGGTATATACCCAGTAATGGGATGGCTGGGTCAAATGGTATTTCTAGTTCTAGATCCCTGAGGAATCGCCACACTGACTTCCAAAATGGTTGAACTAATTTACAGTCCCACCAACAGTGCAAAAGTGTTCCTATTTCTCCACATCCTCTCCAGCACCTGTTGTTTCCTGACTTTTTAATGATTGCCATTCTAACTGGTGTGAGATGGTATCTCGTTATGGTTTTGATTTGCATTTCTCTGATGGCCAGTGATGGTGAGCATTTTTTCATGTGTTTTTTGGCTGCATAAATGTCTTCTTTTGAGAAGTGTCTGTTCATGTCCTTTGCCCACTTTTTGATGGGGTTGTTTGTTTTTTTCTTGTAAATTTGTTGGAGTTCATTGTAGATTCTGGATATTAGCCCTTTGTCAGATGAGTAGGTTGTGAAAATTTTCTCCCATTTTGTAGGTTGCCTGTTCACTCTGATGGTAGTTTCTTTTGCTGTGCAGAAGTTCTTTAGTTTAATTAGATTCTATTTGTCAATTTTGTCTTTTGTTGTCATTGCTTTTGGTGTTTTAGACATGAAGTCCTTGTCCATGCCTATGTCCTGAATGGTAATGCCTAGGTTTTCTTCTAGGGTTTTTATGGTTTTAGGTCTAACGTTTAAGATTTTAATCCATCTTGAATTGATTTTTGTATAAGGTGTAAGGAAGGGATCCGGTTTCAGCTTTCTACATATGGCTAGCCAGTTTTCCCAGCACCATTTATTAAATAGGGAATCCTTTCCCCATTGCTTGTTTTTGTCAGGTTTGTCAAAATCAGATAGTTGTAGATATGCGGCGTTATTTCTGAGGGCTCTGTTCTGTTCCATTGATCTATAACTCTGTTTTGGTACCAGTACCATGCTGTTTTGGTTACTGTTGCCTTGTAGTATAGTTTGAAGTCAGGTAGTGTGATGCCTCCAGCTTTGTTCTTTTGGCTTAGGATTGACTTGGCGATGCGGGCTCTTTTTTGGTTCCATATGTACTTTAGAGTAGTTTTTTCCAATTCTGTGAAGAAAGTCATTGGTAGCTTGATGGGGATGGCATTGAATCTATAAATTACCTTGGGCAGTATGGCCATTTTCACGATATTGATTCTTCCTACCCATGAGCATGGAATGTTCTCCCATTTGTTTTTATCCTTTTTTATTTCATTGAGCAGTGGTTTGTAGTTCTCCTTGAAGAGGTCCTTCACATCCCTTGTAAGTTGGATTCCTAGGTATTTTATTCTCTTTGAAGCAATTGTGAATGGGAGTTCACTCATGATTTGGCTCTCTGTTTGTCTGTTCTTGGTGTATAAGAATGCTTGTGATTTTTGTACATTGATTTTGTATCCTGAGACTTTGCTGAAGTTGCTTATCAGCTTAAGGAGATTTTGAGCTGAGACAATGGGGTTTTCTAGATATACAATCATGTCATCTGCAAACAGGGACAATTTGACTTCCTCTTTTCCTAATTGAATACTCTTTATTTCCTTCTCCTGCCTAATTGCCCTGAATAGAACTTCCAACACTGTGTTGAATAGAAGTGGTGAGAGAGGGCATCCCTGTCTTGTGCCAGTTTTCAAAGGGAATGCTTCCAGTTTTTGCCCATTCAGTATGATATTGGCTGTGGGTTTGTCATAGATAGCTCTTATTATTTTGAGATACGTCCCATCAATACGTAATTTATTGAGAGTTTTTAGCATGAAAGGTTGTTGAATTTTGTCAAAGGCCTTTTCTGCATCTATTGAGATAATCATGTGGTTTTTATCTTTGGTTCTGTTTATATGCTGGATTACATTTATTGATTTGCATATATTGAACCAACGTTGCATCTCAGGGATGAAGCCCACTTGATCATGGTGGATAAGCTTTTTGATGTGCTGCTGGGTTCGTTTTGCCAGTATTTTATTGAGCATTTTTGCATCAATGTTCGTCAAGGATATTGGTCTAAAATTCTCTTTTTTTTGGTTGTGTCTCTGCCCGGCTTTGGTATCAGGAAGATGCTGGCCTCATAAAATGAGTTAGGGAGGATTCCCTCTTTTTCTATTGATTGGAATAGTTTCAGAAGGAATGGTACCAGTTCCTCCTTGTACCTCTGGTAGAATTCAGCTGTGAATCCATCTGGTCCTGGACTCTTTTTGGTTGGTAAGCTATTGATTATTGCCACAATTTCAGATCCTGTTATTGATCTATTCAGAGATTCAACTTCTTCCTGGTTTAGTCTTGGGAGAGTGTATGTGTCAAGGAATTTATCCATTTCTTCTAGATTTTCTAGCTTATTTGCGTAGAGGTGTTTGTAGTATTTTCTGATGGTAGTTTGTATTTCTGTGGGATCGGTGGTGATATCCCCTTTATAATTTTTTATTGTGTCTATTTGATTCTTCTCTCTTTTTTTGTTTATTAGTCTTGCTAGTGGTCTATCAATTTTGTTGATCCTTTCAAAACACCAGCTCCTGGATTCATTAATTTTTTGAAGGGTTTTTTGTGTCTCTATTTCCTTCGGTTCTGCTCTGATTTTAATTATTTCTTGCTTTCTGCTAGCTTTTGAATGTGTTTGCTCTTGCTTTTCTGGTTCTTTTAATTGTGATGTCAGGGTGTCAATTTTGGATCTTTCCTGCTTTCTCTTGTGGGCATTTAGTGCTATCAATTTCCCTCTACACACTGCTTTGAATGTGTCCCAGAGATTCTGGCATGTTGTGTCTTTGTTCTCGTTGGTTTCAAAGAACATCTTTATTTCTGCCTTCATTTCGTTATGTACCCAGTAGTCATTCAGGAGCAGGTTGTTCAGTTTCCATGTAGTTGAGCAGTTTTGAGTTTCTTAATCCTAAGTTCTAGTTTGATTGCACTGTGGTCTGAGAGACAGTTTGTTATAATTTCTGTCTTTTACATTTTCTGAGGAGAGCTTTACTTCCCAGTATGTGGTCAATTTTGGAATAGGTGTGGTTAACTCTTAGTCTGTCTTTGTCTATGTGTATCAACTTTCCAGTTTAAACTGAGGAACACAGTCATCACAGAGATAGGTCCTTTCATATGAATACATGTAGCTATAGTCTTCTTATCAGGCCAGGTAGTGTGTTCAGCATTTGAGAGAAACTCTGCCATAATTTCATTATGAATGAATAAAAATGAGTGAATAATAAAAATAACAGAGGTTCTATTTGTCTGAAGATATTCTAACTATTCATGGAGAACTAAGTTTGCCCCTCATGGTCCAGTGTGGAATAATAGTAGACATAGCTGTTTTTCTTTCTTCATTTTTTGTTATAGGTTCAGAGGGTATATGTGCAGTGTTATTACATGGATATATTGTGTGATACTGAGATTAGGGGTATGACTGATCCCGGTACTCATGTAGTGAACATAGTACCCAATAGGTATTAGGATGGTGCAAAAGTAATTGTGGTTTTGTCATTTAATAGTTTATCAACTCTCAACCCTTTCCCACTGTCCCAACTCTATTAATTCCCAGCATCCTTTGTTCCCATCTTTATATCCATGCGCACCCAATGTTTAGCTCCCAATTGTAAGTGAGAACACATGATATTTGGTTTTCTGTTCCTGCATTAATTTCCTTTAGGATAATGACCACCAGCTGCATCCATGTTTCTGTAAAGGGCACCGTTTCATTCCTTTTATAGCTGGATAGTATTCCATGGTGTATATGTATGACATTTTCTTTGTCCAGTCCATTGTTGATGGGCATTTTGTTGATTCCATGTCTTTGCTATTGTCAACAGTGCAGTGATGAACATATGAATGCATGTGTCTTTTTGGTATAGTAATCTATTTTCCTTCAGGTATATAACCAATAATGGGATTGCTGGGTTGAATGGGGAGTTCTTTGAGAAATCTCCAAAGTGCTTTCCAAAGGAGCTGAACTAATTTGCATTCCCTTCAATAGTGTATAAGTGTTCTCTTTTTTCTGTAGTCTCATCAATATCTGTTGTTTTCTGAACTTTTAATAATAGCCATTTTGGTGGTGTGAGATGGTATTTCATTGGGGTTTTGATTTGCATTTCTCTGATGATTAGTGATGTTGAGTACATTTTCATATGTTTGTTGGCTGCATGTATGTCTTCTTTTGAGAAGTATCTGTTCATATCCTTTGCCCACTTTTTTAATGAGGTTGTTTGGTTTTTGCTTGTTACGTTAAGTTTCTTATAGATTCTGGATATTATACCTTTGTCAAATGCATAGCTTGTGAATATTTTCTTCCATTCTGTAAGTTATTTGTTCTTGATATTTTCTTCTGCTGTAGAAGCTCTTTAGTTTAATTGGGTCTCACTTGCCAGTTTTTATTCTTATTGCAATTGCGTTGTGGATGTCATCATAAATTTTTCCTAAGATCAATGTCCAGAATAATATTTAATAGGTTTCCTTCTAGGATTGTAATAGTTTTAGGCCTTACATGTAAGTTTTTCCTTTATCTTGAGTTAATTTTTGTATATACTGAAAGGAAGGTGATGCGGTTTGACTGTGTCTCCACCCAAAACTCATCTTACGTTGTAGCTCCAATCAGAAATAGGAACGCTTTTACGCTGTTGGTGGGAGTGTAAATTAGTTCAACCATTGTGGAAGACAGTGTGATGATTCCTCAGGGATCTAGAACCAGAAATACTATTTGACCCAGCAATCCCATTACTGGGTATATACCCAAAGGATTACAAATCATTCTACTATAAAGACACATGTCCATGTATGTTTACTGCAGCACTATTTACAGTAACAAAGACTTGGAACCAACCCAAATGCCCATCAATGATAGACTGAAAGAAAATGTGGCACATATACACCATGGAATACCATGCAGCCATAAAAAGAATGAGTTCATGTCCTTTGCAGGGACATGGATGAAGCTGGAAACCATCATTCTCAGCAAACTAACACAAGAACAGAAAACCAAACACTGTATATTCTCACTCATAAGTGGGAGTTGAACAATGAGAATACATGGACACAGGGAGGGGAACATCACACACTGGGGCCTGTTGGGGGTTGGCAGGGAAGGGGAGAGAGAGCATTAGGACAAATGCCTAATTCATGCAGGGCTTAAAACATAGATGATGGGTTGATGAGTGCAGCAAACCACCGTGGCACTTGTATACCTGTGTAACAAACCTGCACATTCTGCACATGTATCCCAGAACTTAAAGTATAATAAATTTTAAAAAAAAACCTATAGAAAGCTTTTTTATGGGCCAGGCCTGGGAGCCTGGCCTGACTTCCCAGGCTCAGGTGATCCTCCTACCTCAGCCTACAAAGTAGCTGCACCACGGTGCCTGGTTAACTTTTTGTATTTTTAGTAGATATGAGGTTTAACCATGTTGCCCAGGCTAGACTCAAACTCCTGGGCTCAAGACATCCACCCAGCTCAGCCTCCCAAAGTGCTGGGATTACAAACATGAGGCACCGTGCCCGGCCCATAATAAATAAATAAATACATAAATACATAAATAAATAAATTGTAGCTCCCATCATTCCCATGTGTTAGAGGAGGGACTGGTGGAAGATAATTGAATCTTGGGGGTCGGTCTTTCCCATGCTTTTCTCATGATAGTGAATAAATCTCATGAGATCTGATGGTTTTATAAAGGAGAGTTCTCTTGTATACACTCTCTTGCCTGCTGCCATGTAAGACATGACTTTGCTCCTCTTTTGCCTTCTGCCATGATTGTGAAGCCTCGCAAGCCATGTGGAACTGAGTCAATTAAACCTCTTTTATTCATAAATTACCCAGCTTCAGGTATGTCTTTATTAGTAGAGTGAGAACAGACTAATACAGAAGGGGTCCAGTTTCAGTCTTCTGCAGATGGCTAGCCAGTTATCTCAGTACTGTTTGTTGAATAGGGAGTCCTCTTCCCACTGCTTGCTTTTGTCAACTTTGTCAAAAATCAGATGGTTGTATGTGTGAGGCTTTACTTCTGAGTTCTCTATCCTATTTCATTGGTCTATGTGTCTGTTTTTGCATAGTATCATGCCTTTTGGCTACTTTAGCCTTGTAGTATAGTAGTCAGGTAATGTGATGCCTCCAGCTTTGTTCTTTTTGCTTAGAATTGCTTTAGCTATTCAGGATCTTTTTTGTTCCATATCAATTTTAGGATTTTTTTCTAATTTTGTGTAGAATGGCATTGGTAATTTGATAGTAACAGCATTGAATCTGTACATTACTTTGAGCAGTATGACCATTTTAACAATATTGATTCTTCCAAACAATGAGCATGGAATGTTTTCCCAGTTGTTTCTGTAGGCTATGATTTCTTTCAATAGTGTTTTGTAGTTCCTTGTAGGGATATTTCACCTCCTTGGTTAGATATGCTTTTACATGTTGTTGGGTTGTGTGTGTGTGTGTGTGTGTGTGTGTGTGTGTGTGTGTGCAGAGCTATTGTAAATGAGATTGCATTCTTGATTTGTCTCTCAACCTGAATGTTAGTGCTGTATAGAAATGCTGCTGATTCTGGTATATTTATCATTTATCAGTCCTTGGAGCCTTTTAGTGGAGTTAGAGTTTTCTATGTTTAGTGTTATATAATCACCAAACAAAGGTAATTTGATATTTTATTTTTTTATTTGGATGTAATTTATTTCTTTCTCTTGCCTGATGGCTCTGGCTCAGTTTCCCAGCACTATGTTGAATAGGAATGATGAGAATAGACATCCTTGTCTTGTTCCATTTCTCAAGGGGAATGCTTCCAGCTTTTTCCCATTCAGTAAGATGTTGGCAGTGGGTATGACATAAATGGATCTTATTATTTTGAGGTATGTTCCTTCTATAAATGCCTAGTTTCTTGAGTGTTTTTCTCATGAACCAATGATGAACTGTATCAAAAGCTTTTTCTGTGTCATTAAGATGATTATACCATTTTTGTTTTTAATTCTGTTTATATGGTGAATCACAGTTATTGATTTGCCTATGTTGAACCCACCCTGCATCCCAAGAATATGCAAATAAGTATAGATGTTAGAGAACAGCCCATAGCTAGTCCTTTAATTTGTATTGCTGCCTCCAAATTAGCCAGTCAACCTGCCTGTAAAACAAAGATTCCCCCAATTCTCTAAGTTTTATCAATGTGATTTTAAATTTGGGTGGGTTTCTCCTCTACTTTTTTTTAAATTACTGATTACCATCTGTGTTCAATATCAGTAATTTACCATTAAATAAAATAAAATTTTTAATCAAACATCATGTTACACTATCAAGAACTGACTTGTCTGAAACACTGGAATCTATTTGGCACCTATTTGTGCCTTGTTTGCTATCCTGAGCAAAATATGACTGTTTGCTATTAGGTTTTGTAAACATTGATACAATTTATTTTTCAAAATAAACTAGTGATACTATTTCTTAAAGTACAAACTAAAATCTCATTTTACTAAAATTAATAACATGAAACATACAAAGAAGAAAATGAAAACCATCCCAGAGAAAGAGGTTTTCATTACCAGGATTTAGAGAGGTATTACCTATAAGGTTCTCACTGAGTAGCAATCTAGTTGCTGGAATGTCAACTCCACTGGCATGTCAAATCCCTGAGACCAAGGACCTTTAATAATCAGTCCCTAATTGCTTACCTATGTAGTAAGCTTTCCAAATGAAAAACACCCAAAACTTTTTGTAAAGTAAGGAAATACATTTTCAATTTTGTAGATGACAAAACATCATAGGACTGTCACTCATACATTTCTCCAGAAAATAATTAACTAGCATTTTTAAAATGGAAGTGGCACTGGGTCAAAACCTACAAATTTTTCAGGCAAGAAAATATAACTCAGTGGCTTTATGTCTGAGAAAACTGCCACTCAAATTAAAGGATTATAAACAAATATTTTTAATAGAATAGCTCAGCATGTATTTTTTTTCTAAAGAATCTCTTTGAATAAATTGAGAATAAACTAATTGTGGTAGGTGCAAAAAAAGTGGCCTCATTTCTACTTTTTAAAAATGCTTAACCATGCAAATATATTTCCTATGTGAAAATTAAATGTACCTTTAAAAAAGCATAGTTTTTTTCCAATCACCACCTTATCTTGTTTGGGTCTTCATAATGTTAATAAATTACACTTCCATACATAGCTATTTCATCTAAAATCTTAGGAGTTTTTAAGACATCGTGTCTATCAGCAAGTCTAAATGTCTCCACCATCAAAATACATGTCAAGTTCTCTGAATTCTTCTTACTACGGTCTCCTCCTCCCACTCTCCACCAGGCAAAGTTACCAACATCATCTTTTGTACTTGGTACTGCAACATCTTCAAACTGTTCTCCTTGCTCCTATACTTGCCTCCCTCAAACCCATTCTCCACACAATAGCCAGAACGACCTGAAGATTACAATTGTTGACATTATAATTACACACTGAGAATAACCTCCAAATGCCATGAGCTGGATAACATCTGCCTACCTCTCTAATGTTGCCTTATACTTTTCCTTCTTATGCTCACCATTTCCTCATCATGATGGTCTCCTTTCTGTGCCTTACTGTACCAGCTCAATCCTCTTCCACAGTCTCCATTCTCGTTCTTCACATTGCCTGAAATGCCCTACCCTAGTCATTCAAACCTCAGCTTAACTTTCAGCTCCTCAGGGATAACTTTTCTAACTACTCAATCTAAAATAACAGCACCACCCCCCGCCCTCATTCACCCTCCAACACATCCCTCTGTTATATTCTTTCATTCTCCCACATTTTACTGTCTTTTTTGTTGTTGTTGTTGTTCTTTGTCTGGCTCCCTCCACTGGAATGTCAAATCCCTGAGACCGAGGACCTTGTATATAATAACCAGTGCCTAATCACTTACCTATGTAATAAGTTTTCCAAATGATAAACACCTAAAACCTTTTGTAAAGTAAGGAAATATATTTTCAGTTTTTTAGATGACAAAACATCGGAGGAAGTTTTTGACATTTTCTCAAAAAACAGAACCATCATGGTTGGAACCAGGACTGCAAACTTGTCTTTTGAGCTCCAGTCTTGTGCTAGTTTCACCACATTTGGATGCCTTGTTTAGAAAGCTAGTTCAGGCCACTCTGAGATACATCTTTTAAAACACACAGACATTCACACAAACATACATCTTTCTTTTTAATAGTATAAAATTGCCTAAGATGAAAAAGCATTCTCAGCAGAGGGGAAAGGTCTATTTTGCACTAGTTAATATCTCAGTTAAAATATCTTCTTCTAACTAATTCTAAAGCATTGTTGTCAATATTGAGAAGTGACATCCCTGGGAAGTCCCTTAATTGCATAAAACAAAACTAAAGTGAAAAATAAAAAACAAAAACAAAACAAAATAATTTGCATTCTCAGAAATATCTTTACCACTCTATCTTTCTCTCTCCATCCATTCCCTTCTCTTATCCTGTCTTTTTTTTTTTCTAAACCTGTGTTTACGGCTTTGTGGTACAAGCATCTCTGTGGGCATTGTTTCTCTTTCTATCCATCTTTTCTCCTATTTTTTTGTGTATGCTTTTTCTCTTTTTTGCCTCTGTTCTCTCTCTTGCAATTATCTTGTATTTCTAACTTTGTATCTTTCTGGGACTGTATTATACTGCTATGCTTTCACCCAAGGAAAATGGTATATGTTAGAAGTTGCAGCACTGATCATAATAGGAAAGAAACCTGCTAAAATGTTATCTACCTCTCTTCATCTCTGTCCACTTTTAAACATCTCTGACTGCATCTCTGGCTGAGCTGGGCATAAACATGAATGAAAGCATACTTGACTGTGTATTGAATTTGCTTTATTAAATTTAAGTTTGGTATTTTAATTTTAATGTGACTCTGAGGAATGGCATCTTTCTTTATAATGTGTTACAAAAAAAACTTACATTGATTTTTTTCTTGTATGATTAGATATTTTTATGTTATATTATTTCATTAAAAACCAGAAAGCTCATTATCCTATAGCAGGGCTTAGGAACCATATATTCAAAAAAACCAATAATACAATAGAGTATTTCTTCTTTTACTTGAGGGGCACTCCCCTGGAGGAACTGGTCTACAAGATGCATAAAGTTCTTTTTATTTAAAGACAAACTTTGAAATGATAATAATTTAGATATACTGAGTTAAATGAAGCATTATTAACATTGAATTAATCATTAATCATTTTGCCTAATAAGTGTATGGGACATTCCATTATCACTGCCACTGATAAAATACCAAATTCAAAACCCTAACATGATTCAATGGGGTATTCACTGGCATGTGTTTTGAATATTTAATCTTTAAAATGTTCTTGTCTCTTTCTTTGTCTAATTCTAATTGGCAGTCTAATAATTCCCATTGGTAGAACTCTGCAGAATTCAGGTAGCGGTAAAACCCCAAAGTACATTCTCTATTGCATTAATTGTATTACAAATGAATAGAGATTTCAGAATTTATAATATTCCAACATGAGAATATATATTTAAGCACAAATTCTGAAATAATTAGCTAATCTCCCTTTTATCAGACAGAAAAGAATAGCCACTTGTTTGAGAGTAGCATTTGGCTCCCGGCAAGGTAAAATTTTTTATCATTCTTTATATTTAAATTAAATAGAGAAAAAGAAAAAAAAAGAAAAATTATACTATTTGTCTTGGTTATCTGCTGCCTTGAAATTTATGAGAACAGAATTCTGCTGCAGAAACAGAGTAAGGGTGAGTTGTAAATTCAGGTGTTCAGCACTTTTCTCAAATATACCTGTTTCTCAAATAAACCTCCTATTATCTAATACTTAGTACTATTTTAAAGGTGCTAAAATTTTTAATTCTACTATTGTTTTAAAAATAAAAATACCAATTGATTATGAAGATTCACCACCTGGATTTCAATTTGTATATAATACAAATGACTGATTTCATCTTTATCCTAAACCAAAGGTAAAGGGAGGAAGAGTGAAGGAATCACAATCAGTCAAAAAGGGCAGGCTGAGTCTCAGAGACAAACTTCATTGACTTCACAAGTTTGGAAACCTCTGGTTCCACACTCAGTTACATGTGTTTCCCCATCTGCACATGGTCCTTACATCCAGCAATATAAGGCTCAGAGTTAGCAATCCTAAAACAAGAAAGACATGATTCTCAAACATGTCTGAATTAGATAAGAAAACCTTTACTGAGACCCTTCCTAGAACCTCCACAGTTTCTTACTCTGAAATCCACTTAGATTCAAGCTGTTATCATATCCCTTGGAATTAATCCCAGGGCAGTGACAAAAGATCTATTGACATGGTATCCATTTTTTGCTAGAACGTATTTATCACTGAATGCTTCCTCTCTTCATTTACACAGATGTGGATTAGCTCCTAACCACCTAATTTGATCATCATATTCCCTCTACCCTGTGAAGTAAAAACAGCGAATATATTATTTCTCTTTAATAGATTCAAAATACAGATATTAAAAATTAAATGACTTGCCTAAGGTCATTAATTGTATTAAATAACTTGCCTAAGCTTCCTAAAATTGCAGATATGGTAACTCAGCAAGGTAAAATAATTCTCAAACCAGAGACCTATTTTAGAACACCAAAATAACTTGCCTCATTTTTATCAAGATGAGTTAAAAACAGACAAAACATGTGACAAAACCTGAAGTAATTAATGAGTGATTCAGACTCAGTAAATTTCAAAGAAGATAATATTCAGGAAGTAAGGCTTAGCACTGGGGAGCAAGGAAAGCACTTTAGGTCTGTAGAAAAAGTCATTGGAATGAAATACATAGGAAGCAACTAACTACTGTGCTCACTCTACCTTGGAACAGGTTAAGCAATTTATTATTTCAGAATCAGTAAAGGGTAGGCATTGAATATATTTAAGGAGAATATGTGTAAAGAACAAGGTGAAACTTACTTAAGACTGAAAGAATGTAGGCAAATGAGAGAAAGAAGAAAGAGAATGACAAGGAAGAGAGCAAAGAGGGAGGAAAAGCAAGGGATTAGGAAGATAAATTGCAAGAAAAAATTAAAAAGCAAGTAACAGGAAACAGAAGCTAAAAGAGAATGTAAAGAAATATTGTTGTAAATGAGTGTATGAAGACAGAATTAGCAGGAAGAGAATGGGGAAGGATGGGAAATAAGAAAGAAGCAAGATAAAGTGAATGAGGAAGGATAAGGGAGTGAGCTGCTAGGATGTTGATCAGGTCCCCAGACACTTGGCTTCAGGAGCTGGTCTGAAAACAGTCTGGAATTGAGATATGCACAGTGTTGCCTGCAGATGCTTACTGCTCTGCAGTCTGGAAGCTGTTGTGCGGGACAGTATGGGGACCCTCTCCACTTATGCATCTTCAGTGCCAAAGGAGTATGTATGTATGTACATATATGTATGTGTGTATATCTTTCTATCTATATCTATCTATCTATCTATACGTATATATATATCTGTTGAAATAATAAGGAAGGTTAGAGATGGTGACCATCATTTAGGTTTCTGTCTTGGCCTACACTGACAATGCCTCTTTGTCTTATCTGACTAGAACAAGAAGTTTGCCCCTGTGAGATCCATTGTTTGGTGCTTTTTTTTTTTCGGGAACTCATTTTGTACAGAGGAATGCCCATCTAATGCATATGTGTCCTCCATCTCTGTGACAAATACAATTTGAGAATCAACAGAACAAAAGGTACATAAATGAGGACAAAGGAAAGAAGAAAAGTGGATTAAAGATGTTGAGTAACATGGAATTTCATCTGTTAGTTAACAGAAAATAGACGGAAATAGTAGAAAATAAAAGCAAAGGAAGAGTGAGAGAGGCTGAAACTCTCAGGTGCTCCCTGTGTCTTGGAATCCTCAACCTGGAGAAGCATGAGATAACTAACTATAATTGAACATCTGGAATGAATAAAAGGTAGGACTAGGGGAGGGAGCTTCTGACTTAAGTTCTTAAGACCAGGTTTCTGTAGGCAGAGCAAGGTATAAATGTGGAAGCCAAGAGGTGTCTAAATGGGTAAAAAAGAAACAGAAATGCCTAAACTAATTTGAAGAACACCAAAATACTTTTTTCCTATTTCGGTTTTCTTAGATTCACTATGTGTGTGTTTATACAAGTGTGAATATGTATTTGGAATGCATAAATATGTACCCATGTGTTGTAAGTACTTATTCCATAGCATTTGCTGCTAGTTAACGAATGTTACTAGTCACATAAAACAAATGTTCTGATGTTTCCTAATAGTCGTGCTGTAAAATGCTAATATATTACCTACGTTTCCCCTGAATTTTCTTACGGATTTTTAAGGCTGATTTTTCTTTATTCTTTTTCTCCCTTCTCTCTTTCTAGTTCCTTTTTCTAGGGATGCCATTAGTAATTTCTGTCAAATTTCAATTAAGAATTTATCTCCTCCAGTCCTCCTCCCCTACATTCAGTAGCACTGCTTCAAAAAAAAAGTTATATTGAAATGTAATCAGCACATTATAAAATTCACCATTTAAAGTATACAAATTCAATGGTTTTAAGTATGTTTACAGAGTTTGTGCAAGCATCAACATGTTATAGCATGCATCAGTACTTCCTTTTTATTGTCACATTGCATGATATTGTATCCACAGCACTTTTGAAAATAAATATTGTATGTAGTCAAAAGTCAAGGGTAACATTTGTACATATCACATTATAGCATTTTGTTTTCATTAATAATATTTCATCTTTGAAATCATTCATTGCAATAGTGAAACATGCATGGTATCATCGTATGTGAGTATTTATTTATAAAACATTTTATAATAATCTCAACACGATCATTAAAATACAATCACAAATATATATATATATTTTTTTTTGAGATGGAGTCTCGCTCTGTTGCCCAGGCTGGAGTACAGTGGTGCGATCTCAGCTCACTGCAAGCTCCGCCTCCTGGGTTCACACCATTCTCCTGCCTCAGCCTCCTGAGTAGCTGGGACTACAAGCACCAGCCACCACACCCAGCTAATTTTGTTTTTGTATTTTTAGTAGAGATGGGGTTTCACCATGTTAGCCAGGATGGTCTCGATCTCCTGACCTTGTGATCTGCCCTCCTCGGTCTCCCAAAGTGCTGGGATTACAGGTGTGAACAAATACATTTTTAAAAACATAGCTTATAATAATATGCAGAGAAGTTCCATTATTTTTATGCATCCCAATGGATTATCTTGTGCACCTCCTTGGGTGAACACATCTAATTTTGGAGATTAGTATACAGACTAAACCTTAATTCCAGATTTCTCTGACATGAATAGAATACTTATTTAGACAAAGCTATGGCCAGAAAAGGGGGAATATTTAGACATGCAGCATCATATTTACTTAAGTGCCTAAATAAAATATTGCCAATTGATGAGACATAAATAATTCCCTAAAAAGTGTAAACTGAGGAATAAATACCTGCTTTCCTCTATCACTTGATAATGAGAGAAAAGAAAACTCATTGCAAGTTTAAAACTTCTCTGCAATTGCATTTTTTCAACTCTCAAATGAGTACATCAGATTATATGTTCTGTATGGCCAATTCCAGCTCTATTATATTTTAATTTTATTAGCCGAGATAGTCAAAATCTTTTACATATTCTGATAAATTTTGTATTATGCAAAAATGTTTGTGAAAAGAATATCATTTGGCTCTCACTCTGAGATCTGAAGAAGAAGTAGGTTATAGATATATAGAGAGCAGATGAAACTGAATTAGTATTAACTAGAACTTAAGAACAGGTTGTAGAGCAGATTCAGAGTGGTACTCAGCCAAGGCTTTAACTAGGGAATTCCTCTAAGTTAAGAGAAATATACAGATCTTGCTTGCTATCTTGGTGATCAGTTTGAAGTAAGAATACACAAGAGCACCAAAGCACAACAATGTGATGGGAATAAGCAAGGAACAAATTTAGAAACCAGTCATATAGGTAACAACCAGGAACCAAGAATTCCATAGGAACTGGTGGCAGAAGCAACTGTGAAAGCACTTTATTCTGTGACAGGAAGAAAGGGAACTAAAACCTAGCAACTAATCTAACATTTAGAGACAGTGGACCACCACTAACAGCAACAAAAACAAACAAAACAGACAAACTTGATCATGCTTAAGTTATGCTTTAATAAGACAACTTCTAATATTCTTCAAGCAAAGTAGCCTGGAATCCTACAGGAGTGAAGTTACCTAGAAGCCTGAGGTTAAATGGGCATGGAAATGTGGCTACCTAAAAACGTATTTTATTTTAGTGAGGAATAAAGAGGATGAAGAATAGAAGGGTTAACTCAGGATACAAGACATAAGTTGTCTTCAGCTACGGAACATTGGTTGGGACAAATAATGTTCTTATCTGGAGAGGAGATAGAAAACAGATGAAAAGGTGGTTATAACAGATAACAATTTGCCCTATTTTATTCTGCAGAGTGAGAAATTATGGAAACACAGAACCTCACAGTGGTGACAGAATTCATTCTTCTTGGTCTGACCCAGTCTCAAGATGCTCAACTTCTGGTCTTTGTGCTAGTCTTAATTTTCTACCTTATCATCCTCCCTGGAAATTTCCTCATCATTTTCACCATAAAGTCAGACCCTGGGCTCACAGCCCCCCTCTATTTCTTTCTGGGCAACTTGGCCTTACTGGATGCATCCTACTCCTTCATTGTGGTTCCCAGGATGTTGGTGGACTTCCTCTCTGAGAAGAAGGTAATCTCCTATAGAAGCTGCATCACTCAGCTCTTTTTCTTGCATTTTCTTGGAGCGGGAGAGATGTTCCTCCTCGTTGTGATGGCCTTTGACCGCTACATCGCCATCTGCCGGCCTTTACACTATTCAACCATCATGAACCCTAGAGCCTGCTATGCATTATCGTTGGTTCTGTGGCTTGGGGGCTTTATCCATTCCATTGTACAAGTAGCCCTTATCCTGCACTTGCCTTTCTGTGGCCCAAACCAGCTCGATAACTTCTTCTGTGATGTTCCACAGGTCATCAAGCTGGCCTGCACCAATACCTTTGTGGTGGAGCTTCTGATGGTCTCCAACAGTGGCCTGCTCAGCCTCCTGTGCTTCCTGGGCCTTCTGGCCTCCTATGCAGTCATCCTCTGTCGTATAAGGGAGCACTCCTCTGAAGGAAAGAGCAAGGCTATTTCCACATGCACCACCCATATTATCATTATATTTCTCATGTTTGGACCTGCTATTTTCATCTACACTTGCCCCTTCCAGGCTTTCCCAGCTGACAAGGTAGTTTCTCTTTTCCATACTGTCATCTTTCCTTTGATGAACCCTGTTATTTATACGCTTCGCAACCAGGAGGTGAAAGCTTCCATGAGGAAGTTGTTAAGTCAACATATGTTTTGCTGAATAGAAGAAAGAGAAAAGCAAGAACGGAGAAAGTCCAGTTGAATTTAGCTAAATCATTTCCTCATTCATGCATTGAATCAGTCAGTCATTTAGCAAGTATTATAATTATTAAGTACTTCCCATTTTCAGGCACTATTCCAGGCATATGAATGAGACAGGTAAGATTCCAGGTCTCCTAGATTTATATTCAAGGGGATAAATACAGGTTATTAGATTTATTCAAGGGGATAAATACAGTTTATTAAATTTGAAAAACAACTATAGTTTCAGAAAGAAACAGTGTTCTGTAGCAAGCAGAAAGTGGTATTATGCTAGAGATTAGCTGGGGAGGTGGTAATTACCTTACTTTTGGTTGTTAAGTGAGGCCTCAAGTGGTGTTTAGCTGAAACCAATATGATTCGAAAGAAACAACCATGCAAATATCTGGGGACAGAAATTCTAGGCAAAAAGGCTGACTAGTACAAGAATCCAAAGATCTTATGAGCTTGTTATATTTGATGACCATAAAAAGGAAGAGAACAGCTGTACTATATTTAGTGAATGTGAAAATGGCAAAAATTGAAGTCAAAGAATTTGGTAGGGGCAAAATTATGTAGAGCATTTTAGTCAATAAGAAGTTCAATTTATTCAGATTTCAAAAGGAGATTCTTGAAAGACAATAAGCAGGAGAGTAACTCTTTAATGTTTCCTATTTGACTTAAGGGAAGATCCTCAAGATTCTGATTACAGAACTATGAGTAGTAAAATATCATTAAGTGGAAAGTGCGTGCTGCTAAGTATTTTTTATTTATGTCAACACTTAAAAGGTCTAGTTACTTTTTCTAATTTGATAGAGAGAGAAAATTAAAACTGTTATATTTTATCAGAAACTGTGAAAAGACAATTTAGCTATATATTTCAAAGTTTTGCAGAGATTTCTGCTTATTCCTAATGGGTAATTTTTAAACATTAGATAAAAACTTGAGTTCACTTACAAATTATTTCACCCTGAATGCAATGATCAATAGTTATATGTAATACAAGTTATTATTTAGATAACTAAACCACTCTGATTATTTGAATAAGCATATATAAGGCATTAGATACTTACAAATCATTGAAGAACTATAAGACCAGGCTGTAGACCTGGCTTACTAAAATAAATTTCTAAACATTACCAATAAATTGGTCTATATAAGGAGTAACTGTCCCCACAGCGATTATGAATGTAGGGAACACAGAAATCATTTTTTAACTGCCAGTTCCACGATTACAGCATTTGAAGGCACAAAATACTCAGTATTGCTCTAGTCCTATTAGACACCCCTACACAAAATGGAAACCTTACATTTTGTAATCTCTATTACCACTTCCTTCATTTCATTTTTTAAATTTACTTTTAAAACTATTAGTATTATTATTAAAGCCTACATAACTCAGTGGTCTCTCATCCAAGTATTAACCAGACCCAATCCTGCTTAGCTTCTGAGATCAGACATGATCAGGCACATTCACTTCCTTCACTTCTAAATTTTAATCTTTCATAAGTGAATTAGAAGTCCTGAGAATATATCAGAGACTGATTTTAAACCTGGCAATCTACGAATGAGCCAGAGATTGACTGAGTCCTATGAAACCTGAAAATCAGCTTCAACTCCACAAAACCTTTATTTAAATTAAGGCGCGGCTTCTTAACTTCGGCACGATTGGCGTTTTGGACAAAATAATTATTTGTTGTAAGAGGCTGCCCCGTGCATTGTAGGTTGTTTAGTAGCATTCCTGACCTCTACTTACTAGGTGCCAGGAGCATTTTCTTAGTGTAACAACCAAAAATATTTCTACATATTGCCAAATGTTCCCTAAAAGGTAAATTTTTTTTTTAATTATACTTTAAGTTTTAGGGTACATGTGCACATTGTGCAGGTTAGTTACATATGTATACATGTGCCATGCTGGTGCGCTGCACCCACTAACTCGTCATCTAGCATTAGGTATATCTCCCAATGCTATCCCTCCCCCCTCCCCCCTCCCCACCACAGTCCCCAGAGTGTGATATTCCCCTTCCTGTGTCCATGTGATCTCATTGTTCAATTCCCACCTATGAGTGAGAATATGCGGTGTTTGGTTTTTTGTTCTTGCAATAGTTTACTGAGAATGATGGTAAATTTTTTACAATGAGAAACACAGCATTAAGGGGATTTACTTCTGTGTCCATCTTGTAATGAGGTGTGTGAACTTTCTTTGCAGGAAGTAACATGAACTGGAGCATATACAACCTATCATTTTTAATAAACAATATCCATAATTTAATAAAAATCATAAGAAACACCAGAAGAGTGAAAAATTTTTCGAAATAAAGAAAAAAAGATAAATAATTGGAATATAATCAGAGTCTACCCAGAGTATGAAAGTGAATAACCGTAACATTATAATCATCATGACTAGTATGTTCAAGACAGTAGAAGAAAAGGTGTAATAAATAGATAAAAGGATAGCAAATTTCACCAATTAAAATCCATAAAGAGAAGTAAATGAAAATTGTAGAACTAAAAAATTTTGAAATTAAAAATTCATTAGATGAGTTTAAAATCAGATTAAACACAGGAGAAGACTACAGAGTGTGCTGGAAGTTAAATCGATAAAAATACTAAAATTAAGAATGCAAATAGGAAAAATGGAAAAATACAAGAAAAAGTATTAGAGATGTGTCAGATGCAGTGAAATCTCATATATATATGTATTTCAATTACATATATATGTAATTATATATATAATTGAAGTCCAAGTGGATAGGCAAACAAGAGAATGAGAAAGGTGAAATATTTGAGGAAAGAATTACCAATAACTTTTAAAACCTGATAAAAGACAATAAGCCACAGGAAAAAAATACACGGTGAACCACAAGCAGAATAAACAACAATGAAAAAGACCTAAACACATCAACGTGTGACAATAAAAATTAAAAACAGAGAATCTTAGCAGCTGGGATGAGAGGCTGTCCTTTAGTTTAAAGGGAACTGATAAATTTCTTCATAAAAGAAACACAGAAGCCAGAGAAAAATGGAAAAACATCTTTAAATTGATGAAAGAAGATAATATCAACCTAAATGTCTATGTGAGATAAAGTAAATCATTTAAGTAAAGATGAGATAAAGCATCTTATGACAAAAATGAGAGAATCTGTTGCCTAAGAACTTCTAATAAATAAATATTAATAGCAGTTCTTCAAATAAAAGAATCCTGGAGAAAAACACTAAATTAAAGGAAAAAATAAAGAAGTAGACTGGCAAATAAGTTGGCATATGTAAATAAGTATACACTGAATATTGACTATACAAGCAATAGTATGATGTCTTACGTAATTTGCTATAGATAGATACATATATACACATATATAAGAATATTAGAAGTTTGTCTTTCTGTACCTGACTTATTTCACTTGGCATAATGACCTCCAATTCCATCTATGTTTTGGCAAATAATAGGATCTCATTCTCTTTTATGGCTGAATGGCACTCCATTGTGTATAGGTACCATATTTTCTTTATCCATTTGTCTGTTAATAGACACTTAGGTTGATTCCAAATATTGGCAACTGTGAATAGTACTGCAATAAATATGGGAGTGGAGATATCTTTTGATATACTGTTTTTTTTTCTCTAGGGTATATACTTAGGAGTGGGATTGCTGAATTGCAAGGTAACTCTATTTGTAGTTTTTTGAGGAACCTTCAAACTGTTCTCCCTAGAGGCTGTACTAATTTACATTCCCATCAAGTGTTCTCCACATCCCCACCAATATTTGTTATTTGATTTTCATCTCTCTGATGATCAATGATGTTGCATACCTTTTCATATACCTGTTTGCCATTTTTATGCCTTCTTTTGAGAAATGTCTATACAAATGTTTTGCCCATATTTTGATTGGATTAATAGATTTTTTCCTATAGAGTTGTTTGAGCTCCTTGTATATTCTGGTTTTTAATCCCTTGTCAGATGGGCACTTTGCATATATTTTCTCCCTTTCTCTGGTTCAATCTTGATAGGTTGTATGTGTCTAGGAATTTATTCATTTCTTCTAGATTTTCCAATTTATTAGCATATAGTTGCTCATAGTAGCCATTAATGATCCTTTGAATGTCTGTAGTATCAGTTATAATGTCTCCTTTTTCATCTCTAATTTGAATTATTTCAGTCTTCTCTTTGTTAATCTGGCTAAAGTTTTGTTGATTTTGTTTATCTTTTCAAAAAAGTCAACTTTTTGTTTCATTCATTTTTTGTATTGTTTTCTTCATTTCAATTTCATTTATTTCTGCTCTACTCTTTATTATTTCTTTTCTTTTGCTAATTTTGGTTTTGGCTTGCTCTTGCCTTTCTAGTTCTTTAAGATAAATCATTAGGTTGCTTATTTGAAGGTTTTTTTTCTTTTTAAAGGAAGCATTTGTAGTTATAAACTTCCCTCTTTGTTCTGCTTTTGCTATATCCCATAGGTTTTGGTAGGTTGTTTTTCATTTATCATTTGTTTTAAGGAATTTCTTGATTTCCTTCTTAATTTCTTCACTGACCCACTAGTCATTCAGGAGCATATTGTTTTATTTCTTCCAACTTGGAGCTCCACTCCATCTGTAGTGGCCATCTTCCTGAGTTGTCATGGCCAATCAGATGCTGAAGCAAATGCTTTTAAACTATCAGGGTTACATTGGTGCAGCCCTAGTTTTAAGGAGATTGAGAGTTTTTACTGGACCTCACCTCTACAGCATCTATCCTCATGAATAAACTGATAACTTGCCTCATCACCATGGATGCTTAGCAGCAAAGGCTGTATTTGAAGATATTCTAGGCCAGATATGGGAGAAGAGGAAGCAAAGAAGATGGTAAGTGAAGCCACTGCAGCTGGCTTCTTCAACAACCTGGGCTCTGGAAGCCACATTGATCTCAGCATTATAGGCAAGAGAAAGGTAGATTTTCTTGGCCGATTCACAGTGCCCAAAAAGAAGGGGACTAGATTTGGCAGGTACAGGTGTGAGAAAAGGGACCACTGCAGTCCTCACCAAAGAAGCCACTACTTTTTCGAGGCGTTGGAATAAAAGTCCAACCAATGGACACTTTCTGAATGGTGTCAGTGGGTGGCTGGCTATTGCTGTAGAAGATGGCAGCCATTGGAGGCCCTCCTGCAAGACATTTATTTGGCTATGTTTGCTGAATGAAACTCAATAAAAAATGAAAACAAAAGAAAAGAATGAATAAAACCTAGTATTTATTTTATAGCACAACAGGATAAATATAGAGCTTATCCACTGATGGTGGGAATGTAAATTAGTTCAGCGAATGTGAAAAGCACTTTGGCAATTTCTGAAAGTTAAAACAGAATTACCATTTGACCCAGCAATTCCATTATTGGGTATATACCCAAAGGAATATAAATTGTCCTACCATAATGACACATGCACGCATGTGTTCTTCACCTCACTATTCAAAATAGCAAAGACATGAAATCAACCTCATCTCCCATCAATGGTACAATAGACAAAGAAAATGTGGTACATATATACCATGGAATACTATGCAGCCATAAAAAGGAATGAGATCATGTCCTTTGCAGCAACCTGAATAGAGCTGGAGGCCATTATCCTAAGCAAACAAATGCAGGAACAGAAAACCAAATGCTTACAAGTGGAAATACAAATACTCACTTCTAAGTGGAAGCTAAATATTAAGTACATATGGACACAAAGAATGGAACAACAGACCTTGGGGTCTACTTGAGGATGGAGGGTGGGAGGAGGGTAAAAATAGAAAAACTACTTACCAGGTACTATGCTTATTACCTGGGTGATGAAATAATTTGCACACCAAATCCCCGTGTCATGCAATTTACCTACATAGCAAACCTGCACATGTACCCCTGAATCTAAAATAATAATAATTATACATTTTAAAATAACTAAAAAAGTATAATTGGATGTTTGTGACACAAAGAATAAGTTCTTGAGGAGATACATATGCCATTTTCCATGATGTGACTATTGCGTATTGCATGTATGTAACAAAGCATCTTATGTGCCACATTAATACATGCACCTACTATGTACCCACAAAAATTAAAAATAAAAAAGTTCTTAAAGTAAAATAAAATGAATTTTATAAAAATTAGGTGGAAAATATGAAAATCATTATATCAATGTGAATTGAGAGTCTGGATAATAATCCAACAATTTGGGCTGAATAAATCATTCTCAGAGAAGGGAGATCCAGGTATGCTTAAATTATTCTGCTATACTGATTGGACCAAATGATTTTATTTGAATGATCACATAACATAGAGAAAGTAGCTTAGTTCCTTTTACGGATGAAATTACTTTAAGAGGAATAAATAATAGGACTACAAAAATAAAATGCTAGATTCATGGCTTGGAACATAATAGTATGTTACCATATCAATGTTACCATTGCACTTGTTAAGAATTATAGGGAGGAAAATATGAGGAAATTTAAGTTCACTATGATAACAGTCCAAAAATGGTCAAATATTTGCACACTCATTAAGCAGTAAAGATCAGGAGAGAAATAGTTTTGCTGAGCACTGTATCTTTGCCAGATCCATGTGCAGTTGCAAATGAACTTACTTGCATACTTCACAGAAACACAAAAGACCCAGATGCTGAAGTTGAGATAGAGTAATTGTGTTATTGTAAGAGTATACAGCACAGTGAAGGAGTAGACTTACAGCTATGGATGAGAAGTATTAAGATTTCTATCTTCAAATTCTATTACCTTTTGAAAGAAACAGGTTTTCATGCTACTCTGAATAATGCTTTCAAATATAATGGTTAGAATATAAGGCACTTATGACTAAATGCTTATATTAGTGATATTAACTATGCATAGAAAAGTGCATGTAATTAAATCTTCACTATGATACTAGATATTATTTTTAAAATTTAAGCTGTCAATATCATACTGAATGGGCAAAAACTGGAAGCATTCCCTTTGAAAACTGGCACAAGACAGGGATGCCCTCTCTCACCACTCCTATTAAACATAGTGTTGGAAGTTCTGGCCAGGGCAATTAGGCAGGAGAAGGAAATAAAGGGTATTCAATTAGGAAAAGAGGAAGTCAAATTGTCCCTGTTTGCAGACGACATGATTGTATATCTAGAAAACCCCATTGTCTCAGCCCAAAATCTCCTTAAACTGATAAGCAACTTCAGCAAAGTCTCAGGATACAAAATCAATGTACAAAAATCACAAGCATTCTTATACACCAAGAACAGACAAACAGAGAGCCAAATCATGAGTGAATTCCCATTCACAATTGCTTCAAAGAGAATAAAATACCTAGGAATCCACCTTACAAGGAACGTGAAGGACCTCTTCAAGGAGAACTACAAACCACTCCTCAAGGAAATAAAAGAGGATAAAAACAAATGGAAGAACATTCCATGCTCATGGGTAGGAAGAATCAATATCGTGAAAATGGCCATACTGCCCAAGGTAATTTATAGATTCAATGCCATCCCCATCAAGCTACCAATGACTTTCTTTACAGAATTGGAAAAAACTAGTTTAAAGTTCATATGGAACCAAAAAAGAGCCCACATTGCCAAGTCAATCCTAAGCCAAAAGAACAAAGCTGGAGGCATCACACTACCTGACTTCAAACTATACTACAAGGCTACAGTAACCAAAACAGCATGGTACTGGTACCAAAACAGAGATACAGATCAATGGAACAGAACAGAGCCCTCAGATATAACGCCATATATCTACAACTATCAGATCTTTGACAAACCTGAGAAAAACAAGCAATGGGGAAAGGATTCCCTATTTAATAAATGGTGCTGGGAAAACTGGCTAGCCATATGGAGAAAGCTGAAACTGGATCCCTTCCTTACACCTTATACAAAAATCAATTCAAGATGGATTAAAGACCTAAACGTTAGACCTAAAACCATTAAAACCCTAGAAGAAAACCTAGGCATTACCATTCAGGACATAGGCATGGGCAAGGACTTCATGTCTAAAACACCAAAAGCAATGGCAACAAAAGACAAAATTGACAAATGGGATCTGATTAAACTAAAGAGCTTCTGCACAGCAAAAGAAACTACCATCAGAGTGAACAGGCAACCCACAAAATGGGAGAAAATTTTCGCAACCTACTCATCTGACAAAGCGTTAATATCCAGAAGCTACAATGAACTCAAACAAATTTACAAGAGAAAAACAAACAACCCCATCAAAAAGTGGGCAAAGGACATGAACAGACACTTCTCAAAAGAAGACATTTATGCAGCCAAAAAACACATCAAAAAATGCTCACCATCACTGGCCATCAGAGAAATGCAAATCAAAACCACAATGAGATACCATCTCACACCAGTTAGAATGGCAATCATTAAAAAGTCAGGAAACAACAGGTGCTGGAGAGGATGTGGAGAAATAGGAACACTTTTACACTGTTGGTGGGACTGTAAACTAGTTCAACCATTGTGGAAGTCAGTGTGGCGATTCCTCAGGGATCTAGAACTAGAAATACCATTTGACCCAGCCATCCCATTACTGGGTATATACCCAAAGGACTATAAATCATGCTGCTATAAAGACACATGCACATGTATGTTTATTGCGGCACTATTCACAATAGCAAAGACTTGGAACCAACCCAAATGTCCAACAATGATAGACTGGATTAAGAAAATGTGGCACATATACACCATGGAATACTGTGCAGCCATAAAAAATGATGAGTTCATGTCCTTTGTAGGGACATGGATGAAACTGGAAATCATCTTTCTCAGTAAACTATCGCAAGAACAAAAAACCAAACACCGCATATTCTCACTCATAGGTGGGAATTGAACAATGAGAACACGTGGACACAGGAAGGGGAACATCACACTCTGGGGACTGTTGTGGGGTGGCGGGAGGTGGGAGGGATAGCATTGGGAGATATATCTAATGCTAGATGACGAGTTAGTGGGTGCAGTGCACCAGTATGGCACATGTATACATATGTAACTAACCTGCACAATGTGCACATGTACCCTAAAACTTAAAGTATAATAATAAAAAAAAATAAAAAATAAATAAATAAATAAAATAAAATAATAAAATTTAAGCTGTGTGGTTAAAAGGTTAAAATGTACAGAAAATATCACATATATTTGATTTTTCCCAAGATAATTTATATTAGGTTTGAATCTAGGCTCTGATAAAGACAAGAAAAGACATGGTGAGTAGCAACACATCTGGAATGAGACTTGGAAAATAGAGCAACCATTAGCCAAACAGAGGAGGCACTGAACTAAGTACATTTATGTATATTGTGCACTGACCTTTTCCCTTGAAATATGTGTATATTTTCTTTTGATTTTATTCAGCTTCACTGAGTCCACGTCAGTCAGTAACACAGTATTTGTGGCTTATATCCATACTGGAAAAAGTCAAATGAACATTAAATAAAATTATTGTGAGGAAACTAGGTTTAAAGAAGACAAGTAACCCACAGACATTCCACTGGTCAAACAAAACATCACACTTTTTCTTTTTCTTTTTTTTTTTTAAGTTTGGATTAGCAAAGTAAAATGATTCACCTCATTCCTTACACCTCTTTGGGAGAGAAAAGTGAAACAATACTATAATGAATCCTAGTTTTAACAGGATCATTATACAAAGTGTATTTTAACCTGCATTTTTTTCACTTAGAAGAATGAGCATTTTCCACATTCTTAAACAGTTTTCTCAAACATCATTTTATTCATTGTGCAATATTACATCCTAGGATGTTCTATAATTTAAGAAAGTAAATGCAAATTGTAAATATTTAAACTGCTTCTTTTTTTAAATTTGTGTAACTTTTATATTTTATTTTTATTGATATATGATAGTTGTACATATTTATACCATACATGTGATATTTTGATTGCATACAATGTGTAATAACTAAAACAGGGTAATTTAGATATCCACTACCTCAAACATTTTTCATTTCTTTGTGTTGGAAACATTCCAAATCCTCTCTTCTGACTATTTGGAAAAATACTCTAAATTAATGTTAACTGTAGTTGCCCTAGAAATATACTATAAATTAATGTTAATTATAGAACTTATTCCTTCTATCTAACTGCATTTTTGTATCCATGAGTCAACGTCTCTTTACACCCCCTGCCCCACTATGCTTTCCACCCTATGGTAACCAGCATTCCACTCTCTACCTCCATGAAATCAACTTTTTTATCTCCCACTTATAAGTGAGAACTTATTATATTTATCTTTCTGTCCCTGGCCTATATCATCTAACATAATGACCTCCAGTTTCATCCATGTTGCTGCCAATGACAGGACCTTGTTATTTTTATGGCTGAATAATATTCCATTGTGTAGGTTTACCACATTTTCTTTATCCATTTTTATATACACAGTAATGTTACCATGAAGATTTTATAACACATGCATAATCATTTCCTTCTGATAGTTATGAGAGCTGAAAGATCTGTCTCAAAGGTTCTGCACATTTTAAAGTTATTTTTTCTTTTATTTAACTTTTAAGTTCAGGGGTACATCTGCAGGTTTGTTATATAGGTAAACTTGTGTCATGGAGGTTTGTTATATTGATTATTTCATCATCCAGGTATTAAGCTTAGAATCCATTACTTATTTTTCATGATCCTCTCCCTCGTCCCATCCTCCATCCTTTGATAAGCCCCATTGTCTGTTGTTCCCCTCTATGTCTGTGTCATTTAGCTGCCACTTACAAGTGAGAACATATGGTATGTAGTTTTCTGTTCCTGCATTAGTTTGCTAAGGATAATAGCCTCCAGCTCCATCCATATTTCTGCAAAGGAGTATTTATATTTCCACTCATAAGTATTGGTTTTCTATTCCTGTGTTAGTTTGCTTAGGATAATGGCCTCCAGCTCCATTCAGGTTGCTGCAAAGTATATGATCTCATTCTTTATTTTATGGCTGCATTGTATTTCATGGAGTATATGTACCACATTTTCTTTATCCAGTCTCCCATTGATGGCATTTAGGTTGAATCTATGTCTTTGCTATTGTGAATAGTGCTTCAATGAACATACGCGTGCATGTGCCTTTATGGTGGAACAATTTATATTCCTTTGGGTGTATACCCAGTAATGGGATTGCTGGGTTAAATGGTAGCTCTATTCTTACGTCTCTGAGGAATTGCCACAGTTTTCCATAAAGGTTGCACTAATTTACACTTCACTGGTACAAAAAAGGATGCATAGACCAATGGAACAGAATAGAGAGCCCAGAAATATGGCTGCATACCTACAATAATCTCATCTTTGATGAAGTTGACAAAAGTAATGGGGAAAGGATTCCTAATCAATAAATGGTGCTGGGATAACTTGCTAGCCATATGCAGAAGATTGAAACTGGACCTCTTCCTTACACCATATACAAAAATTAACTCAAGATGTATTAAAGACTCAAATGTAAAACCAAAAACTATAAAAACTCTGTAAGACAACCAGGCAATACCATTCAGGACATGGGAACAAATATTTCATGACAAAGACACCAAAAGCAAAAATTGACAAATGGGATCTAATAAAACTAAAGAGCTTCTGCACAGCAAAAGAAACTATCAAGAGAGTAAACAGCCAACCCACAGAATTGGAGAAAACTTTTACAAACTATATCTGACAAAGGTCTAATATCCACATCTATAAGAAATATAAACAAACTTACAAGAAAAAAATAACCCCATTAAAAATTGGGCAAATGACATGAACAGACACTTTTCAAAAGAAGACATACATGTGGCCAACAAATATATGAAAAAAAAAACTCAACTTCACTGATCATTAGAGAAATGCAAATCAAAACCACAATGAGATACCATCTCTCACCAGTCAGATGGCTATTATTAAAAAGTAAAAAAATAACAGATGCTGGCAAGGTTGTGGAGAAAAAGGAATGCTTATACAAAGTTTTTGAAAGACAGACAACTGAAAACATTTTAGAGCCTAAGATACTTTCAGAGGAGAGCAGGTACAAAAAGGTGACCAAGTGACATGAGCATTTGAGAGCAAACAGTGTGGCAGGCACCTAGAGTAAATAATATGTAATAAGAAAGAAAACACTACTTAAAAAGAGGTGAACTATTCTTCAGAGAGAAAGTTTTAGACAGCAATTTGTCAAATACACTGTATCTCATATTTATATTTGAGTTGATAAAAGTTAAAATCAAATTAGCTAATAAATAACAAAACCCTGAAATGGGGCTAGAATAATGGATCCATAAACAATGATGATAGATATATTAATAATAGATTCATTAAGTACTGGGCCTGAGAAACCACTGAGAGTTGGAGCTCAACCACCTTATTTTACCAATGAAGAAACTGAACCCAGAGGAAAAGATAAGGCAGCTATTGGAGATAAAGCTGGTTCCAGTATCAGTCTGCCATCTTCATTTCAACATTCTTTTCAAATATCATGCTGATCCTTTTTTAAAAAAAAAATTTATTTTAGGTTCAGGGGTACATGCACAGGTTCGTGATACAGGTAAACTTGGGGATTTGTTGTACAGACAATGTTGTGACCCAGGTACTAAGCCTAGTATCCAATAGTTATTTTTTCCTGCTCCTCTCCCTACTCCCACCCTACTACTACCCTCTGGTAGGCCCCAGTGTCTGCTGTTCCCCACTTTGTGTGCACATGTTTGCCTTAAGTTCATAGAATTCAGAGAAGGATAAAGATCATGACTATCCATATGACATCTCTTGGTTCATATTAACTAACTAGAGTGACATTTCTAGACTGTGGACTCCAATTATCACTAGATCAGTGTTATTTCCATGAATATGAATGTAGGTCTGTTGAAGACTATAGCTAATGTATGAATTACAAAACCAAGTTTACTCAAAGTATACAATTTTATAAAGACAAGTGAGATGCGACATGGGAGCTAAAAGCAGAAAGCAAGATATTTAGATGTCACGAGAAATGTCACTTGTACTCACAGTGTATTTCTTGCTTCCTCTAGAATATGCAGTCAAGGTTAGAATGTGATGGGGCTAGTCAGTGTCTCAAAATATTGATTCCTGCTACTTAAACACAGCTGCCTTTGCAACTTATGGGCCTTGTAAAAGCATTTCTAGAAATGTGGGTTTCTGCCACAGCAAGCCATGGGTAATGACAGTCACATTAGAGAACAGTCATCTCTGCCAGAAAGCTCTGGAAGTTCAGGAGGGAAACTACAGCAGTCTCTTTCACTGCAAACTTTACTGCATCACTTATCCAGACCAGTTTTATATCTGCTGGATCACAGCTCCTTCAAAACCCTGGGGCTGATTTGATATGGAAACACAATTTCTTAAGGTAGTAGTAGGAAGACAGTATCTCCAAGCTTCACTCAAATTTGAACTAGAAAGAGGTTGTGAGGAGCCCCTCTGTCATCCAAGGAATTCGGACTAAGGCATCTCACTGCCAACAAACAGTAACCTCCCAAAGATGATCAATTCTTCTTTGACCTACAAAGACAGAGCGTACATCTCTGAGCTCATGATTTGCAGGGGAACCTAGTGACATGAACATGTATTGCTTAAGAGTAGAACCATCCCAAATGTCCAACAATGATAGACTGGATTAAGAAAATGTGGCACGTATACACCATGGAATACTATGCAGCCATAAAAAATGATGACTTCATGTCCTTTGTAGGGACATGGATGAAGCTGGAAACCATCATTCTCAGCAAACTATCACAAGGACAAAAAACCAAACACCGTATGTTCTCACTCATAGGTGGGAATTGAACAATGAGAACACATGGACACAGGAAGGGGAACATCACACACTGGGGACTGTTGTGGGGTGGGGGGAGGGGGGAGGGATAGCATCAGGAGATATACCTAATGCTAAATGATGAGTTAATGGGTGCAGCACACCAACAAGGCACATGCATACATATGTAACAAACCTGCACGTTGTGCACATGTACCCTAAAACTTAAAGTATAATAAT